>NC_000006.12:166961242-167276317 GCF_000001405.40 Homo sapiens | reverse complement strand
CCCCACATTCATCCCAATACTGTCACAATAGCCAAGATATGGAACCAACAGAGGTGTCCACCACCAGATGAATGGATGAAGAATGCAGTATATATACACAACGGAATACTATTCAGCCATAAAAAGGAATAAAACCCTGTCATTGTGGCCACATGAATGGAACTGGGGACAAGATATTAAGTGATGTAAGTCAGGAACAGAAAGTTCAACACCACACGTTCTCACTCATATGTGTGAGCTAAAAAAAAAAAAAGAAAAGAAAAGAAAAAAATGATCTCATAGAGTTAAAAAGTAGAATGGAGGATACTAGAGGCTGGAAATGGTAGGGAGAGGGGAGGGGTAGGGAGAGATGTGTGATGGACACAAAATCACAGCTAGGCGGGAGGAAGGAGCCCAGTGTTCTGTGCCACTGCAGGATAACCAGAGTTAACAGCAATACACAGCATCCATTCTCATTGCACTTTCACCAATCTGAGAGAGATTAGCTCAGGTCCAATCAAAAGACTCACTTCTTGGATACTCGAGCATACAACCCGTGAGGAGCACAAGGTTGCATCTGAGCTGGACACAGATGAAAGCAGGGTGTGGACCCAGCATCCTGTCTGTGCTTGGTGTGGTGGGGAAGTCTGACTGGGCAGAACCTGCTGGTCCAGCCAGCCTGCTGGGACATGTGCCTCATGCAGAGCCAGGCCTGCCTGATGCTGCACAGGTGTGAGGATGCTGCCAATGAACACACGCACTGTGTCTGTGCAGGCACATCAGGAAGTTACCACTCTCATGACCAAGAGTTCCTGGAAGATCCCCCCGCTGACTGCCCTTGGGGGTGGGTGAGCTGACCACCAGGTATCATGAAAGCCCAAATGTGGAGAGTGCCAGCTCCTGGAAACTGATTTGCATTCTCAGGACAACCTGGGGAATCATTAGGGAAACGGAAGGGTGTGAAGAGGACTGACCTGTATTCCAACAGATAGAAAGCCACGTTGCCAAACGCCACTGAGGAAGCCACCTGCCTCACTGTTGGGACTGGTGCTGTGTGGGCCAGCGGCCATCCTGCCAGAGGAGGACGTGGCAGAATGACAGGCTGAACTGGTCCAACAGGAACCCAAAGACCCTGCAGAGTTTCGCAGGCAACCAGGCAGCTCAGTGTGAAGTGAGAAGAGTGACACACCAGCCCAAGTCTCCTGCATGCAACTGCCCAGACACCTGAAAACACAGATGCCACGGTCAGCTCCTATGGAAGGAGGCCCCCTCAACACTTCCACGTGGTGTTGCTGCCATTGGAAAAGCAGAACTCAGTCCATCTTAGAACCACACTCTGGGACTCAGTGCCACGTCTGGTAACACCAGTTGATGTATGAAGGACTTATTTTTTCTCCCTGTCTGAGACGTATTTGTCTGGAAGAAGGTCAAGGAATGAGCCTAATCAAAGTAGCTTTGCAGGAGCAATTTGCACTGTGAGCTTGGACCTTGCAGAAGTCGACTGCATAGGGAATGGGGGCTGACTCTGTATTATTACTTCATTACTCGCTAGTCTCTGTGCAGGGCATGGAAGCTCTGCATGGTAGTTTTGTTGTTGTCATTGGTATTGTTTTTAAGGATGAGGAAACAAAGCTCAACAAGACTAAAGAAGGTGCCCATGTCACGTAGCAGGTGAGTGATGGAGTCTGGATTTGAACCCTCATCTAGACAGCCGCCAGTCAGCTAAGAGTGTCATAGAGAAAACATCAACTGCAGGCACTAACAGGAATCAGCCTTCTGGATCCAGGCCTTGAGTTAATGTATGAATGAAACACAAAAGGACTCCAGTGTGAGAAGCAGAAATTTGGGCAGGAAGAGGAGGATAAACAGGAAGAAGAAGAACAGGATGACGCTTCCTGAAGAAATAACCATCCCAGCTGTATCACTACACACATCTAGAACCCTTTAGGCAGGAGGAGGGAGGACGGACCGAACGTGGAATACGTAGGATTTTTCCATTAGCCTGAATGTACCACCAGATGGAAGGAGGGTCAAGAACATAAGTCTGTGCCTTGAGGACTAAACTCTGACCTTTTTCTTCTCCTGCCCAAATTCCTACCTAAGGGGCCTGGGGAGGTCACCCTACAAACCACAAAGCCTCATTGGAGGGGTCTTACTAACCCTGTGTAACTCGGCTCTTTCCAACCTTACTCTGGCGTAACTTCACATGACAGATAAGGAAGAAAATCCAAATATTTTAACCCTAAATATGTTTCTTGGCCATATCTTGAAATGTCCCTGCAAAGCTGTCTCTTGTGGGGAAAGTCTATATTCTGTAGAAAATCCTGTTCCCTTTCCAGGCCTTTTTCCTCATCCAGGAAATACTCCACTAAGTTTCTGGCACATTTTAAGTCTGATAAACATTTACCATCGATTCTCTCTAAGCCTGCTACCTGGAGGCTGCATCAGCATAGTAAGGACCTTGGTCTCCACAACCCCTTATCCTAACCCAGATATTTC
Organism: Homo sapiens; assembly: GCF_000001405.40. Classification (NCBI taxonomy): domain Eukaryota; kingdom Metazoa; phylum Chordata; class Mammalia; order Primates; family Hominidae; genus Homo; species Homo sapiens. The sequence goes on along the minus strand of NC_000006.12, from coordinate 167,273,839 downwards.
CTTTCTATTGGTTCCAGGTCTTTAGATGAACTCTTTCAACCAACTGCCAATCAGAAAATCTGTGAATCTGCCTGTGATCTGGAAGCCCCTGCTTCCTGGTGTGCCACCTTTCCCGTCTGAACTGATGTACAGCTTAAATGTATTGATTGATGCCTTATGCCCTATAGCATGTATAAAACCTAGCTGTGCCCTGATCACCTGGGCCACACGTTCTCCGGGTCTCCTGAGGACTGTGTCACGGGCCATGGTCACTCACGTTTGGCTCAGAATAAATCTCTCCAATATTTTACAGAGTTTGGCTCTTTTTATAGACAACTTTTTAAAATGTCAAGTCAGGATAGGATCTCACCACATATGGCACCCAAAGGTGTGCTGGCTGCCCACTGACTATTCCAGTTGACAGAGCCAGGTACAGGGTCAGAGTCACAGCAGCTCCCATGGGCCAATGAGGAGGCATGGCTGGGGAGGAGGCTCTGTCTCTCCACACCCGATGGAGGCAGCTCTGTTCCTGAGCTCAGGGTGGGCTTCACCTGGAGTTAGGAGTTGGGGGCCTGAGTCCTGCTTCCTTATTGCTCTGGTGCCCAAAAAGATGAGCAGTCATGGTGAGATGGGGCCTGACCCAGCGTGCACAAGCCCGGGAAGGAAAGGAGTAAAAGGACCTGCTTCCCTGGGACCAGAGCAAAGAGCAGAAAGAGAGTAAGTGATTGATGTCACCTGGGTTAGAAGGCGGCAGTAAGAGGAGCACGTTCACGTTAGCGGCTTGCCTGGGCAGTCACAAAGGGGCCCACAGGCAGGCGAGCCTGTAAACCAAAAATACAATTCTATGGCCCCCCAACCATCTGAATGAACCTCCTCCTCTGCCAGGGCACTCTTAAATTTTAACCTGAGAGTCTGGTTCAGGCCACGACGGGAAGTGGGGGCCGGACAGACCTCATTATATCCTACAGCACTAACATCAACACAGACCTTACCTCTGATAAGAAACATCTGTGATCTGTTCCCTCTGAAGCCTGCTACCTGAAGGCTTCCTCTGTAAATAAGAACTTTGGTCTCCACAACCTGTTATCTTAACTTATCTTAATTTCTTTCTATTTGCTCCAAGTCTTTAGATAAACTCAACTGATTGTCAACCAGAACATTTTCAAATCTACCTATAAGCTATTAATAGCAATAGGTCCCCCAAACCTCCCACCAGCACTTCAAGTTGTCCCACCTTACTGGACCAAACCAATGTACTTCTTAAATGTATTTGATTGAAGTCTCATGTCTCCCTAAGATGTATAAATCCAAGCTGCTCCCCACCACCTTGGGCACATGTTCTCAGGACCTCCTGAGGGTTGTGTCACAGGCCATGGTCACTCATACTCAGCTCAGAATAAATCTCTTCAAATATTTTACAGAGTTTGGCTCTTCGTCAACAGGCCCCTTGCTAGGCCTAATGCTCAGCTGTCACCACCTGGAAATTCTTCATCATATCTTTGGACGTGTGCTCTAAACGTCACTGGGACCGGGAGCAGGCCTGAGAGCAGAGATTTGTGCCACCTGCACGTCTGCCACTGCTCCTGGCCTCTCCATTTGCATAGAACATTCTCGATGCCCTGTGGGATTCTGAGGCAGCCATGATGGTGGGAGTTCAAGGTAAGTAAAGAGCAGCAGAGTCAGCCACCCCCAAAGACACCACTTTGGCATAAGGATCATTTTGAGCTGAAGACAATTTTTAAGATGTAGATATAAGTGAAGCTCTCTCTCCTGCCCCTCTTTGCCTAAAAGCAGGACATAATTTAGTGAAGGTGTCCCCACTCCTGTCTCTACCAGGAAGGACAGAAGCCAATCACTGGGGCAAGTCTAGGCCTTATCAGCCTGGAGACAGCACTGGAGGAATCTACTCAGCAAACTTGACTACTAGGAACTAGCCCTTATCCTCCATTCATTTCCCATGTGTTTAGCTGGCTGCAGTTTGCTGCCCTAGAAGCCCAAAGGTCTTTTCCTTTGTCTTGTCACTCCTCTAAAATTTGTCATTATTTTGTTTAGAAGCTCTATCAGCCCAAGTTCTAATAAACCCTTGGAGTGACTCATGGCTGAGTGCTCCCATGTGTGTGCATGATGAGCATGTTAATAACCTTGTTTGTTTCTATTTTGTCAACCTGTCTTTTGCCATTCTAATTTATAGGACCTCAGCCAGAGAACCTAGGATGGGTAGAAGGAAAAGGAAACTTTTCCTCCCATATGTGTGTCCCACTTATGATAGATAAGTGGGGGCTGACGAGCCTGTAAACCAAAAATACAACTGCCCTGAGAGGCCACGCCACCTCCTTGAATCAGAAGTTTACAGACAGAAGGCAGGAAACAGAGGCAGCCACGGAGCCCATCCCACATCTCACCTGTGCTGTTTCCTGAATGGCCCTTTCATTAATCCTGGAGATGATGGCACGGAAGGGCAGGCAGAGGGCTGCAGCCTGGCTCCTTTCCTTCAGTCCTCCTGATGAGGTTCTCGCTCTTTCTTAACTCTGGCCCTCAGCAGAAGCACCTGGAGACCTTGCTAAACTCTGCACAGCTGAGCCCCGCCCAGAATTGCAATTCCCTCCCTTGCTGCCTAATGACTCCCAGGTGCTTTCCTTCAGGCCTCCTGTTGAGGTTCTCTGTCTTAAGCTCTGTCTTAACTCTGGCCCTCAGCAGAAGCACCTGGAGACCTTGCTAAAATCTGCACAGCTGAGCCCCGCCCAGAATCGCAATTCCCTCCCTTGCTGCCTAATGACTCCCAGGTGCCGCGACGCTGCCAGCCAGGGGAACACACTGCGGGAACCCATGCCTGGCACAATCCTTCCCATCCAGGCCTCCGCCCACGTGGCAGCCCATCCCTGCAACACCTGTATCTTCCTGGACAACTGAATTCAAATGCCCCTTTGTGTTAGTTTCTTGAGGTCGCCACAACAGGAACTTCTTGTCCCCCAGCCTGGAGGCCGGGAGTCTGCACCCACGGTGTCAGCCGGGCCAGGCTCCCTCTGCAGACTCCACAGCGGGAGGGCGCCAATGCCTTGCTCTTAGCTCTGGTGTTCGGGGAAACCCTCGTTTGTAGACGCGTCACCCCAACCTCTGCCTTCGTCCTCAAGTGGTCACCTTCTCCCCGTGCTCCCCTCTCCTCCCATGAGGACATTGGTCACATGGAACTCGAGGCTCACCCTGCTCTAGTTGACCCCAGCTCAACTTGATCAGTTCTGCAAGTGAGGGCTCGTTCACAGGCACCAGGTTAGGGCTTCAACATACCTTTCCGGGGGATGCAACTCAACCCACAACCCTTTCTCCTCCGAAGGTCTGTCCATGTCCCCCACACCGGAAGGCTCCCCTTTCCCCTAACCCCCCATGTCCTTCGTGATGGGGCCCTGCTCCCTCATCCCACTGAAAGCTCCCTGACAACAGCACTCATCTTGTTCACCTCTGGGCACCCCACAGCCCTCCGCATTGCACCCTCTGCTCATAGTTAAGGCCAGTTTGTTAAGAGATGGCATCGGTGATTATGACGCCTGGCTGACTTGTGACAAGTTCTGTCTTAAGAACTTAACACAGAGCTTCACAACAGCCATTAACAGGTATGTGCCATCATTATCCCTGTCTTAGACATGAAAAAAGAGAGATGCAAAATGATTAGGTGACTTTGAGAGCCCATGGTCAATAGATGCCACAGCCAGACATGAACACAGATGGATGGGTCCTCCAGAGTGTGCCAGATATAAACGCGGTGGGGTGGGGACTCCGGACCATGTGAACGCCCCCCCCCCACCCCCACCCCCACCCCGTGCAGCCTCTGGGCAGTCCTTTGTTCTGACTTCTCAGCTTTCTACCAGGGCCAGCTGCAGAATTTAGGGGCCCAGGACAAAACACAAATGCAGGACCCCCTGTACAAAAAGCAGGAAAAAGTGCCATTATTGGCCGGGCCCAGTGGCTCACGCCTGTAATCCCAGCACTTTGGGAGACCGAGGCAGGTGGATCACGAGGTCAGGAGATAGAGACCATCCTGGCCAACACGGTGAAACCCTGTCTCTACTAAAAACACACACACACACAAAAAAAAGCCAGGCGTGGTGGTGGGCGCCTGTAGTCCCAGCTACTGGGAAGGCTGAGGCAGGAGAATGGTGTGAACCCAGGAGGCGGAGCTGGCAGTGAGCCGAGATTGTGCCACTGCACTCTAGCCTGGGCGACAGAGCAAGACTCTGTCTCAAAAATAAATAAATAAATAAAAATTTTTTAAAAAGTGCCATTATGGTAGTAAAATATAAAGCTTTTTCCTTCCCTCTGCAGTCTCTTTCCCTTCTTTTCATTGGGTTCCTTTATTTGCCACATTGTCATTCTAAGAAGGAAAATTAAAAATTATTAGTCAACTTATTTTGTGCAATGCCAATTTCAAATGCAAATATAGGACCATTTATCTCATTTGCAAAATCACCAAAATTTCTCAATTTGCAGTTCGTAGCTTGTACATGTTTTCTTCTTATCAGAACAGTGAGGCACTACACAAAACTCCCTCAACTGTATCCACTACAGCTCCTGATCCAAGACTGGGTCTCTGGGCGTCGCTCACCGTGGTTCCCTCAGCACAGAGCCATGATGTTCTGGCCAGCACGGGCGCCTCACTCGCCCATGCAAGCCCTGCACAGCCTGCCTGTTCCGCCGGTCTCCAGCCACGCTCATCTCGCTGGGTTTTCCCAGCCTGCTCACCTCTCAGCCTCGCTACGGCTGCCCACACATTCCTCTCTCAGTCACACATTGGGGCCCCTCCAGCTGCTTCGTCCTGGTCCCAGTGGGCCACCAGGTAAAAGTGTCACACTTGTAAATGTTCAATTGATGCAAATTCACATTTAAAGTTTGTTTACTCTGTCCCTGCACAAAAGCTTTATTTTAAAGTTACACGATTAGACAGAAGTGGACCTTTGTCCTGGCTGAGGCCCTCCCATGGGTACCCACCCCCTGAATGGCTGATGCAAGACGGCAACAGTGTTGACTGAAACCAGGCAGTTTCAGGCCACAGCCAACTGGGGACACAGCAATGAGTGATGAACGGTCGGGGTCCTCTATGCCGCGCCATGAAACCTGAACTAACCAGACAAGTTTATCCAGAGCTGGACACGACCCTTTGGGGGCCATGCAGCTTTATTATTATTATTACCATTATTATTATTATTATTACTATTTTGTAGAAATAGGTCCTCACTATGCTGCCTAGGCCAGTCTCCAACTCCTGAGCTAAAGTGAGCCTCACTCCTTGGCCTCCCAAAGTGCTGGATTGACAGGCAGGAACCACTGTGCCCAGCCCCCACACACATTTTTTAGTCATCACTGTTGGGGTTTGGTCCTGGGTGTGTTGCTGGGCCTGACGGGAAGTTCCTCAACAGGTTCCTGATGTGAAACCCCGTGTTTCTCCCCTGAAAGGGGGCATCCAGTTTCTGTGTTGCTCTAATCTCTGAGACAGACCTCTGCGTTTCTTCCCTTCTGCTATCACCTTGTTGAAGAGGGTCCTGCTCTGAGGGCTGCCAGAGGTGCCTGGGCCTGCGGAGATGCTTTTTCTTGGAAGCAAAGGCTGTGTGCAGCCATTCTGGCCACCGTCCCTGGTAGGAGTCCTCCCCATGCTTCTGGGAGCCGGGGCCACTGCTTGCCTCTGACTGAACACGCACTGGCAGAGGCCTAGAATGATGAGCTCTTACAGTGTGACTGCAGTCCGGGTCCAGCCAGGGAAAAGCTTCATCCTAATTATGACTGTGGGACTCAGGCATGTCTGTTGTTAGGTGGAGGCTTGATCGACAGGCTCAGCCGCCCTGGTGTTCTGACTCTTGTTCCACTCACTGCACAAAATGAAGCTGGCGGAATATTGCTACAAAAGAATGATCGTGGCAGGAGGCGGGGTAGAGCAATGTCAGGTCACGGTGCGTCTTGCACCGAAATATTAAGGCAGTTGTAATGATCTTTGTCTCACAGAAATGAACAGAGTGATGAAGGAGGCTCAGAGAAAGGCAGCTGAGAAGAGCAACAAGGTAGAAAGGCTGACTTAAAGTAGAGAAATAAAAATTCATCCAGCACCTCCCAAGGTCGGACATTGGTCAAGACACGCCCAAATAGTTCAGGTCATTTAACTTTGCTCAAATTCCTCAAGGCAGTTATCACGACTCCTCCTGCTTTAGAGGTGAGAATGCCAAGGCTCCTGAGGGCTGAGTAAGGAGCCCTGGTTTGTTTGAGTGCAGGTAACACAACAGGTGTTAAAGCCCAATCTTCAGGGTCTTAATCCAACAGAAGTTAACTTTCGCTTAACTTCCCATCCTGTCCGCATAAAAGGGCTTCAAGTCCTCAGAAGGTTCTGGATTCAGCCTGCATGGAACAAAGGGCCCCTCTGCTCATTTCCATTGCTGAGCCTGACAGGAGAGGCTGGGATCGGAGTTCACCTTGAACCTAGGGTGGAAGGGAAGTGCATTTTGTGAACACATAGCACCCAGGCCAGGCACCCAAAGCCACACAGCTGCAACAGCAGCCTACAGTCCGACGCGGGTCAGGCAACGGAGTCCAAGCTCACGTGTTCTCTGACTTGAGTTTTCTGAACCTCAGAGTCCTCTCCTATAGAATGGAGAAAACGTCTCCTTCACAGGATTGCTGCGAGGATGAGCAGAGAAAATGCCTGCAGAGGACATTCCTGGATGCTTAGTTATGGACAGGGCACCAGGAGAAAGGGTGATGCTGGAGTCTCTCTTTAGTTCTTAGGGATCATCAACAAAGAGGGTGTCTCCTGAATCAAAGATCACAGCAGAGTGTGTCCGAGAGGCCGCCTCTCACCTCCCTCCCTGGCCTCGCACACGCAGTCGGGACTGGACTTCTGATGGCAATTCAGTGACGCACAATCGAAAACCAGCAGCGCGGAACAGGAGATGGGAGCAAACTAAGCTACCGTTTCACTAACTTCACAGAGGAGCCTGACACAGAAAAATGTATACATTGTTTGCCTTAAAGTGAACAATAGGGAATAGCTATCGTATCTTCAAAGCAGCTTTCCAAGATCAAATCCGTCGCATCCGGAATGCGTTTCTTTGACCTTGGAACCTCCAGGAGTGGCCAGGCTCCCCCACAGATCACACGCAGCATTGCCTAGAAGCCGGTAGCTCTCCCGTAGGACGCTGGGAAGCAGCCAGCTGTTCATGTGGGAGTGTCAGCGTGCGTTCCTTTGTCAACGTCCTGCAAGAAAGAAAAGGCAAGAACGTCAGCGATGGCTCCACTGACTGATTAAGGCAAAGGAAGTCGCCACTGTGAGTGATCACCCAGGCTACGCTGGACAGAAACAGGCCATTTGCCCAAGTCCCCCAGCAGCTGTCTTTGTTCCCCACTTCGATTTGCTAATGGGCAGTGGGGCTGGAGCTCACTCTGCTCCTTCAGGGAGTGGCTTGGCGACCAGGTCAGACTTCAGTGTCTCCAGGAGCCTGTGAACCTGGTGCAAGGCTCTTCAGAGTCAGGGAGGGTGGCACACGGTCTTCAGACACGGAACTGAGGCTGTCAGTGGTGGGGAGTAAGTGAAAAATCCCACAGGCCCTGCACTGTGTCCATACGTGTTATTAATCTTAGCAATGTGGCCCAGAGAACGCAAGCTCTTCCAGCCTCTGCCCAGGGGCAGCCCAGGAAGCCGTCAGGGATGAGTGATTCCCTTCCCTTCCCAAGAACCTGAGACAGGCGCAATTACCTCCATGGCTGATAACCACTGTTCTAATCCCATGCTTGACTTAAAATCATCATATTTTAGACTTAAGAAGTCCGGACCCAGCTGATTAATCAGCCTTTCCCAGGAGCCATCTGCGGGGCAGGGTCAGAGGAACCCTGGAAATTTTCTGTTCAGCCTGAATCTCTCTGTCCTGTTTTCCGAAATTACTCCCACTAGAAATAGAAGTTTCCTGATAAAAATGCCTACCCCCTGAGAATAGTGATGCTACGAACAGTGCGTTGATAAACACAGCTTCAGCTGTCTCAGACCCAGCACCCCACTGTAACACATATTTTATAATGCTCCTTTGCTGTCTTCTAATAGGACTCACAGATAACATAACCTTTTAAAGAAAGCAATATAATGTCCCCATTTTTATGTGATGAAGAAGTAAAAAGAAAGTCACTTAATAAAATAATGGATCTTTGTACTATGTACATACTTTGCCTATGTACTATAAGTGAATTCTGATAACTAAGCTAGAGACATTGATAAGACAACAAGTAGAAAAGGGTTTATGTGATAAATATTGTCATTGTTTTCAGTTCATTTGTTTATGTTTTTAATTGCCATAGTCTCAGTATGCTCAAAATCCTTTAGCTAGCACTCTGAGTACTCAAGGAATATGTCTCTTCTGGGCCAGGGAGGGCATGTGTGTACACATAGGTGCTCTGTTGTACTGGTCTTACAGCAGGGAGGTGACCTCTCAACTGTCTGCCAGGGAACTAAAGCTCAAAAAACATTTTTAAAGGTAAAGTACCATAAAATTTACACATCCATTTGCATTTGCATTTCCATCACCAGACAACAATGAGATGATGAATTTTGTCTCATTTAGACGTCAATTTGTTTCTGGACTTTTTATAAGCAAAAATGGAAGTATTTTAAACTAAACAGTAACTTTCTTTAGACAATTAAAATAAAGTACACTATTCAAACTTAATATAAAATAATAAAAAACATAAAAGCAGATAATATTCAAATATGAATTAGCCAGGCACGGTGGCGTATGCATGTTATCCCAGCTACTTGGGAGGCTGAGGCATGAGAATCACTTGAACCTGGGAGGCGGAGGTTGCAGTGAGCCAAGATCACACCACTGCACTCCATCCTGTGTAAAAGAGCGAGACTCTGTCTCAAAAAAGAAAAAAAAATTCAAATATGATTCCTGTTGTCATAAAAGATCTTCAGTAGACAAAAAAATCACTTCGCTCAAACAGGAATAAAACACAGGACACATTTTTCACATATTTGCTTTACACTTACAATCTCATCCAACCACAAAACATCTTAAAACTTGCAGACTGAATTATATATATATATTTGTATATTTTTTTAAATTTTACTTTAAGTTCTGGGATACATGAACAGAATGTGCAGGTTTATTCCATAGGTATACATGTGCTATGGTGGTTTGCTGAACCTATCAACCCGTCATCTAGGTTTTAAGCCCCACACGCATTAGGTATTTGTCCTAATGTTCTCCCTCTCCTTGCCCTCCACCCCTCAACAGGTCCCGGTGTGTGATGTTCCCCTCCCTGTGTCCATGTGTTCCATTATTCAACTCCCACTTATCAATGAGAACATGCGGCGTTTGGTTCTCTGTTCTTGTGTTAGTTTGCTGAGAATGATGGCGTCCAGCTTCATCCATCTCCCTGCAAAGGACATGAACTCAGTCTTTTTTATGGCTGCATAGTATTTCTTGGTGTATAGGTGCCACATTTTCTTGATCCAGTCTATAATTAATGGGTATTTGGGTTGGTTCCAAGTCTTTGCTATTGTAAATAGTGTTGCAATAAACATACATGTGCATACGTCTTTACAGTAGAATGATTTATAATCCTTTGGTTATATACCCAGTAATGGGATTGCTGGGTCAAATGGTATTTCTGGTTCTAGATCCTTGAGGAATCGTTGCAATGTCTTCCACAATGGTTGAACTAATTTACACTCCCACCAACAGTGTAAAAGCATTCCTATTTCTCCACAGCCTCACCAGCATCTGTTGTTTCCTGACTTTAATAACTGCCATTCTAACTGGCGTGAGATGATATCTCATTGTGGTTTTTGATTTGTATTTCACTAATGATGAGTGATGATGAGCTTTTTTAAATATGTTTGTTGGCCGCATAACTGTCTTCTTTTGAGAAGTGTCTATTCATATCATTTGCCTACCTTTTTTGATGGGGTTGTTTGTTTTTGTCTTGTAAATTTGTTTAAGTTCCTTGTAGATTCTGGATATTTGACCTTTGTCAGATGGGTAGATTGCAAAATTTTTCTCCCATTCCTTAGGTTGCCTGTTCACTCTGATGATAGTTTCTTTTGCTGTGCAGAAGCACTTTAGTTTGATTAGATCCCATTTGTCAATTTTGGCTTTTGTTGCCATTGCTTTTGGTGTTTTCGTCATGAAGTCTTTGCCCATGCCTATGTCCTGAATGGTATTGCCTAGGTTTTCTTCTAGGGTTTTTATGGTTTTGGGTTTTACATTTAAGTCTTTAATCCACCTTGAGTTAATTTTTTTATAAGTTGTAAGGAAGGGGTCCAGTTTCTGTTTTCTGCATATGGCTAGCCAGTTTTCCCAGCACCATTTATTAAATAGGGAATCCTTTCTTCATTGCTTATTTTTGTCAGGTTTGTCAAAGATCAGATGGTTGTAGATGTGTGGCATTATTTCTGAGGCCTCTGTTCTGTTCCATTGGTCTATATATCTGTTTTGGCATCAGTACCATGCTGTTTTGGTTACTGTAGCCTTGTAGTATAGTTTGAAGTCAGGTAGCGTGATGCCTTCAGCTTTGTTCTTTTTGCTTAGAATTGTCTTGGCTATATGGGCTCTTTTTTGGTTCCATATGAAATTTCAAGTAGTTTTTTCTAATTCTGAAAAGAAAGTCACTGGTAGCTTGATGGGCATGGCATTGAATCTATAAGTTACTTTGGGCAGTATGGCCATTTTCACTATATTAATTCTTTCCATCCATGAGCATTGAATGTTTTTTCCATTTGTTTGTGTCCTCTCTTATTTCCTTGAGCAGTGGTTTGTAGTTCTCTTTGAAGAGGTCCTTTGCATCTCTTGTAAGTTGTATTCCTAGGTATTTTTTCCTCTTTGTAGCAATTGTGAATGGGAGTTCACTCATAATTTGGCTCTTTGTTTGTCTATTGTTGGTGTATAGGAATGCTTGTGATTTTTGCACACTGACTTTGTATCCTGAAGTCTTTGCTGAAGTTGCTTACCAGCTTAAGGAGTTTTTGAGCTGAGATGATGGGGTTGTCTAAATATACAATCATATCATCTGCAAACAGAGGCAATTTGACTTCCTTTCTTCCTATTTGAATACCCTTATCTCTTTCTCTTGCCTGATTGCCCTGGCCAGAATTTCCAATACTATGTTGAATAGGAAAGGTGAGAAAGATCATCCTTGTCTTGTGCCAGTTTTCAAAGGGAATGCTTCCAGCTTTGGCCCATTCACTGTGACATTGGCTATGGGTTTGGCATAAATACCTCTTATTATTTTGAGATGTGTTCCATCAATACCTAGTGAATTGGGAGTTTTTAGCATGAAGGGATGTTGAATTTTATCGAAGGCCTTTTCTGCATCTATTGAGATAATCATGTGGTTTTTGTCATTGGTTCTGTTTATGTGATGGATTACATTTATTGATTTGTATGTATTGAACCAGCTTTGCATCCCAGGGATGAAGCTGACTTGATCATGGTGGATAAACTTTTGGATGTGCTACTGGACTCAATTTGCCAGTATTTTATTGAGGATTTTTGCAATGATGGTCATCAGGGATACTGGCCTGAAATTTTCTTCTTTTGTTGTGTCTCTGCCAGATTTTGGTATCAGGATGATGCTGGTCTCATAAAATGACTTAGGGAGGAGTCCCTTTTTTGCTATTGTTTGGAATAGTTTCAGAAGGAATGGTACCAGCTCCTGTTTGTACCTCTGGTAGAATTCAGCTGTGAATCTCTGTGGTCCTGGGCTTTTTTTGGTTGGTAGACTATTAATTACTGCCTCAATTTCAGAACTTGTTATTGGTCTATTCAGGGATTCGACTTCTTCCTGGTTTAGTATTGGGAGGGTGTATGTGTCCAGGAATTTATCCATTTCTTTTAGATTTTCTAGTTTATTTGTGTAGAGGTGTTTCTAGCATTCTCTGATGGTAGTTTGTATTTCTGTGGGATCGGTGGTGATATCCCCTTTATCATTTTTTATTGTGTCTATTTGATTCTTCTCTCTTTTCTTCTTTATTAGTCTAGCTAGTGGTCTATTTTGTTAATTTTTTCTTAAAAAAAAAACAAAACAGCTCTTGGATTCATTGATTTTTTTGAAGGGTTTTTCATGGCCCTATCTCCTTCAGTTCAGCTCTGATCTTATTTCTTGTCTTCTGCTAGCTTTTGAATTTGTTTGCTCTTGCTTCTCTAGTTCTTTTAATTGTGATGTTAGTGTGTCAATTTTAGATCTTTCCAGCTTTCTGATGTAAGCATTTAGTGCCATAAATTTTCCTCTTAACACTGCTTTAGCTGTGTTCCAGAGATTCTGGTACGTTGTCTCTTTGTTCTCACTGGTTTCAAAGAACTTCATTATTTCTGCCTTAATTTCGTTATTTACCCAGTGGTCATTCAGGAACATGTTGTTCAATTTCCATGTAGCTGTATGGTTCTGAATGAGTTTTCTAATCCTGGTTTCTAATTTGATTGCACTGTTGTCTGAGAGACTGTTTATTATGATTTCTGTTAGTTTGCATTTGCTGAGGACCATTTTACTTTCAATTATGTGGTCAATTTTAGAATACATACTATGTGACCCTGAGAAGAATGTATATTCTGTTGATTTGGGGTGGAGAATTCTGTAGATTTCCATTAGGTTTGCTTGGTCCAGAGGTGAGTTCAAGTCCTGAATATCTTTGTTAATTTTCTGTCTCGTTGATCTGTCCAACATTGACAGTGGGGTGTTACAGTCTCCCACTATTGTTGTGTGGGAGTCTAAGTCTCTTTGTAGGTCTTTAAGAACTTGTTTTATGAATCTGGAAGCTCCTGTGTTAGGTGCATATATATTTAGGATAGTTAGCTCTTCTTGTTGCATTAATCCCTTTACCATGATGTAATGTCCTTCTTTGTCTTTTTTGATCTTTGTTGGTTTAAAGTCTGTTTTATCAAAGACTAGGATTGCAACCCCTGCTCTTTTTTGCTTTCCATTTGTTTGGTAAATATTCCTCTCTCCCTTTATTTTGAGCTTATGTGTGTCTTTGCACATGAGATGGGTCTCCTGAATACAGCATATCGATGGGTCTTGACTCGTTATCCAATTTGCCAGTCCATGTCTTTTAATTGGGGCATTTAGCCCATTTACATGTAAGGTTAATATTGTTATGTGTGATCCTGTCATCATGATGCTAGTTGGTTATTCTGCACATTAGTTGATGCAGTTTCTTCATAATGTCATTGGTCTTTATATTTTGGTGTGTTTTTGCAGTGGCTAGAACCAGTTTTTCCTTTCCATATTTAGCGCTTCCTTCAGGAGCTCTCATAAGGAAGGCCTGGTGGTGACAAAATCCCTCTGCATTTGCTTGTCTGTAAAGGATTTTATTTCTTCTTTGATTATGAAGCTTAGTTTGGCTGGATATGAAATTCTGGGTTGAAAATTCTTTTCTTTAGCCGGGTACGGTGGCTCATGCCTGTAATCCCAGCACTCTGGGAGGCTGAGGCAGATGAATCACAAGGTCAGGAGTTCGAGACCAGCCTGGTCAACATAGTGAAACTCCGTCTCTTCTAAAAATACAAAAATTAGCCGGGTGTGGTGGCACATGCCTGTAGTCCCAGCTATTCGGATGACTAAGGCAGGAAAATAGCTTGAACCTGGGAGGTGGAGTTTGCAGTAAGCTGAGACTGTGCCGCTGCACTGCAGCCTGGGTGACAGAGTGAGACTCTGTCAAAAAAAAAAAAAAAAAGAAAAGAAAATTCTTTAAGAATGTTGAATATTGGTCCCCACTGTCTTCTGATTTGTAGGGTTTTTGCAGAGAGATCCACTGTTAGTATGATGGACTTCACTTTATAGGTAACCTGACCTTTCTCTCTGGCTGTGCTTAACATTTTTTCCTTCGTTTCAACCTTGGAGAATCTGATGATTATGTGTCTTGTGGTTGCTCTTCTCGAGGAGTATCTTAGTGGTTTTCTCTGTATTTCCTGAATTTGAATGTTGGCCTGTCTTGCTCGGTTTGGGAAGTTCTCCTGGATAATATCCTGAAGTGTGTTTTCCAACTTGGTTCCATTCTCCTCATCACTTTCAGGTACACCAATCAATCATAGGTTTAGTCTTTTCACATAGTTCCTTATTTCTTGGAGGCTTTGTTAGTTCCTTTTCATTCTTTTTCCTCTATTCTTGTCTACACGCCTTATTTCAGTAAGTTGATCTTCAATCTCTGATATCCTTTCTTCTGCTTGATCCATTTGGCTATTGATACTTGTGTGTGCTTCATGAAGTTCTCCTGCTGTGTTTTTCAGCTCCATCAGGTCATTTAAGTTCCCCTCTAAATTGGTTATTGTAGTTAGCAGTTCCTGTAACCTTTTATCAAGGTTCTTAGCTTCCTTGAATTGGGTTAGAACACGCTCCTTTAGCTCAGAGGAGCTTGTTATTACCCACCTTCTGAAGCCTACTTCTGTCAATTCATCAGTCTCATTCTCTGTCCAGTTTTGTGCCCTTGCTGGAGAGGAGTTGTGGTCATTTGGAGAAGAGGCATTCTAGGTTTTGGAATTTCCAGCACTTTGTGCTGCTTTTTCCTCATATTCATGGATTTAGCTACCTTTGATCTGTAAGGCTGATGACCTTTGGGTGGGGTTTTTGTGTGGGGGTCCTTTTTGTTGATATTGATGTTGTTGCTTTCTGTTAGCTTTTCTTCTAACAGTCAGGGCCCTCTTCTGTAGGTCTGCTGCAGTTTGCTGGAGGTCCACTGCAGATCCCAGACCCTGTTTGCCTGGGTGTCACCAGTGGAGGCTGCAGAACAATAAAGATTGCTGCCTGCTTCTTCTTCTGGAAGCTTTGTCCCAGAGGGGCACTGGCCTGATGCCAGCCAGAGCTCTCCTATATGAGGTGTCTGTTGACCCCTGGTGGGAGGTCTCTCCCAGTCAGGAGGCAGGGGGGGTCAGGGACCCACTTAGGAAGTAGTCTGTCCCTTAGCAGAGCTGGTGCGCTGTGCTGGGAGAATCCCTCTTGTCAGGACCAGCTGCTCTCTTCAGAGCAGGCAGGCAGGAATGATTAAATCCACAGAAGCTGCGCTCACAGCTGCCCCTTCCCCCAGGTGCTCTGTCCCCAGAAGATGGGGGTTTTGTCTGTAAGCCCCTGACTGGGGCTGTTAACCTCCTTCAGAGATTCCCTGCCCATTGCGGAAGAATCTAGAGAAGCAGTCTGGCCACAGCTGCTTTGACACACTGTGGTGAATTCTGTCCAGTCCAGACCTCCCAGCCTCAGTACCGTCAGGGGAAAACCACCGACCAAAGCCTCAGTAATGGCGATGCCCCTCCGCCCACAAAGCTTGATTGTCCCAGGTCAACTTCAGATTGCTGTGCTGGCAGCAAGAATTTCAAGCCAATGGTTCTTAGCTTGCGAGGCTCCGTGGGAGTGGGACCTGCTGAGCGAGACCACTTGGCTGTCTGGCTTCAGCCCCCTTTCCAGGAGAGTGAATGATTCTGTCTTGCTGGGGTTCCAGTCACCACTGGGGTATGAAAAAAACTCCTGCAGCTAGCTCAGTGTCTGCCCAAACAGCCACTTGAAACCCAGGGCCCTTGTGGTGTAGGCACAAGAGGGAAGCTCCTGATCTGCAGATTGCAAAAACCAGGGGAAAAGTGTAGTATCCGGGCTGGGTAGCACAGTCGCTCACAGCTTCCCTTGGCTGGGGGAGGGAGGTCCCCCAGCTCCTTGTAGTTCCCAGGTGAATTGATGTCCCACCCTGCTTCTGCTCCCCCTCTGAGGGTTGGGCCCACTGCCTAAGTCCCAGTGAGATGAACTGGGTACCTCAGTTGAAAATGCAGAAATTACCCACCTTCTGCGTTGTTCTCGTTGGAAGCTACAGACCAGAAGTTTTCCTATTTGGCCATCTTGGCCCCTCCCCTCATATTTTCTTACTTACAAAATCTGATTACCTGGATTCAAGACAGAAATTGATAATACATTAAAGGTAACTATCTAAAAATCCACAGCCAAGAAGAAAAGGAAACCCCATTAATAAAACGGAAGTTTCAGTACTTTAATAGGGATATGTAGGTGCTACAAATTTATTTTTAACCTTTCAAAAGTCAGGTTGAATAAATATACTGTAAGAGGCAGGGTATACGTCTGTGTGTATATTTATACATATATATATATAATTGAATAAAATGATAACCTTCTGCACATCTGATTAGAGAAACATCCTAACCAAATTTAAGATAAAGGGATTACTGGGAATGCAGCATAACACCATTGCTTGAGAACCAGCCCTCTCTCCCCAGCCAGGTGAGCTCACGGCACAGTTCTGAACCACGGCAATTGTACGCCCAGTAAACAGGCTGGTGTGAGAATTAAATGAGACAACATGTTTGCAGCACTGGGAAAGATTCAATAATTTGTTAGTACTACTGGGATGGGTGGGGAGAAGCATCTAGTAAGTGTTTTTATGTATTGCTCAAAAGTGTAAATTGTCACAGCCCATCACAATGGCAGACATACATCTGTCCCTATGTGATGTATACAGTTTCATGTGGCATTCACTACAGCACGGTGTGTAATAGCAAGATCGGAAACAACAGGTATACCCTTCAGTTGGGGATAGGTTAAATAAACGTCACTTCCTTACAGAAGAACATTATACAATTGTTGTTGTTTTTTTTAAAGAAAAACAAACAAACAAACAAAAACAACCCTGACTGGGCACAGTGGTTCACACCTGTAATCCCAGCACTTTGGGAGACCGAGGTGGGTGGATCACCTGAGGTCAGGAGGTCGAGACCAGCCTGACCAACATGGTGAAACCTCATCTCTACTAAAAATACAAAAATTAGCCAGGCATGCCTGCGATCCCAGCTACTTGGGTGGCTGAGGCAGGAGAACCATTCGAACCTGGGAGGCAGAGGTTGCAGTGAACCGAGATTGCACCACTGCCTTCTGGCCTGGGCAACAGAGACTTGGTCTCAAAAGAAAAAAAAAAAACCCCTCCTTATATATTAATGAGAAAAGTACTCCATGGTAAATTATTGAGAAAAAAGCAAGGTATGGAACAGTGTATATAGTATGCTACCATTTAAGTAAAAGAGGAGTAGAAATGTGTATTTATTTGAATATATTAAAGCAAACCCTCTAGAAAGTCATACAAACAATTACTAGTAATAATTAACTACTGATGATGAAAGCAAAACAGCACCTGATGTATGGTCAACCCTCAATAAATGGAAGCTGTAATTGTTCCCTCCATCAGTAACATCATCATCAAGAAAACATATCCTTAGACTACAGACAACATATCCTTAGACTCCGGAAGACATTCAGGCTAAATCCATAAGGGGGCAAAAAGCCAAATTTCAGTTTTCAAGGGCTATGTCGCAGATCTGAGCCCTGATTCCTCTTCAGAGGAAAGGAGCTTTTAGTCATTGTGCGGTTGGCCATCACCTCCGGAAAGCAAGACAAAGGCTCTTCAGAGGCAAGCTGAATACTCGCCACCTTGCAGCTGGTAACCCCAGAAAGCTGGGCCCACCAAGGACACACTGCAAGCTGCTCACGGTTCTAATGGCTCAAAGTCCAACACCAGGAAATGAAAGACACTCAGGCCCAGCGTGGCACTGCCTCAGTCTCAGGTGAGTGTGGACAAGTGACCTACTGTTTTACATTTAGCAGCATCAGAATAACTTCATGTTCTTGAGATATATTCTCATTAAAAGAGGGTAGTTAGATGTAAGTGTAACTGGATTTCCTGGTGGTAACAATGCCTATGGAGAAATAGCTGCCTGGACTATAACGCCCCCTGGTGAGAGTGTATCTTAATTGCAGGCAAAGTATCTAGGTGATGAACGATCCCCTGAGGGGCACACTTACGAGTTTCTTTCTCCACTAAAGAAAAATGACTGCTGTGGTCTGAATGTCTATGTCCCCTCAAAGTGTGTATATTGAAATCTGATACCCAATGTGATGGTGTGGAAAGGTGGGCGTTTTGGGAGGTAATTCGGTGATGAGGGAAGAGCCTCATGAGTGGAATTAGTTCCCTTATAAAAGAGACTGGAGGGAGGCCTTTTGTCCCTTCTGCCATGTGAGGACACAGCAAAAAGGCTACATGCACAAGTCAGAAAATGGGGCCTTATTAGACACCAATTATTCCTTGACCTTGGACTTCTCAGCCTCCAGAACTGTGAGAAATAAATTCCTTCTCTTTATAATGCACTCAGCTTATGGTATATTATTACAGAAGCCCAAACAGACTAAGGAAATTGGTATTGAGGACTGGGGTACTGCTGTAACCAATACCTAAAAGATGGAAGTGGAAGCGGGTGATGGGGAAAGCCTAGAAGAGTTTTGCTGGAAAAAAGCCTGCATGGCCACAAAGAGATCACTAAAGGGGATTCTGGGTGGGCTCTGAGGAGATAAGGAGAGCTGTAGAGAAAGCCTGAGTCTTCTGAGAGCTGGTCCAAGTGGTTGTCATCAGAATGTTCATAGAAATGGACAGTTAAAGCCATTCCAAGGAGGTCTCAGATGGAAATGAGTAACATACTATTGGATACTGGAGGAATGGCAATGCCTGTTATAAAGTGGCAATGAGCTTGGCTAAATTGTGTTTGTGTCCCAGTGTTTTGCGGAAGGTAGAACATGAGAGGAATTAAATAGAATACTTGGCTGAAGAAATTTCTAAGCTAAGGGTTAAAGGCATGCCTTGGCTTCTCCTGAAATCTTATATAGTAAAATGTAAAAAGAGAGAAATGACTTAAGGACAGATTTTTTCTCATCAAAAGGGAAGCAGAACTTAAAATTTGGAAAATTCTCAGCCTTTTCATATTGTAAAAAAATGAGAAAGTGTGTTTGGGAGAGAGCACAAAGAGTGTAGCAAAGCAATCATTAGATAAGAAGATTGGTGTGGATCAACCAGGAGATATTCACGAAGAGAGTGGAAGAATGATCCTAGCAGCATTTCAGATTCCTGGCACTTCCCCTCCCATTACAGACTCAGTGTCAGGGCCTGAGGGGCAGAATAACCTCAAAGCTCTGCTCCCTACATCCCAGCACAATGCTCTTTGATGCCCCAGGTGGTATGGGAGCCGGTGCCTCTCCTCTAGGGGTCAAAGGCTATAAAGCTTGGCAGTGTCCATATGGTGCTATCTCTGCTGGTGCACAGAGCACATGAGTTACAGTGGCATGGCTACCTCCACCTCAATTTCAAAAGCTGGAGCCACCCAGAGCCTCAGACACATGACACAGGCAGAGGGTCACCTCAAGGGTGAATCGACTGCAGATGTCCACAATAGGGAAATGCCAAAAGGAGTGGGGCTGCCCCATGACCCTAGCCTAGTAGAGCCACCAGCATGGAATTCCAGTCTGGAAGAGCCACAGGCATTTGACTCCAACCCATGAGAGTTGCCAGTGCCTAACAAAGCCATGGGATGGAGCTTCCCAGAGACTTGGGGGCCCAGCCACCAACGAAGTGTGTCCAGAAGGCAGAACATTGAGTCAAAAAGATTTTTCTTCAGCCTTCAGGTTTTGAACTTAGGACCCATTCCCCTTCCTTCTTTCCTATTGTTTCTTTTGGAATGGGAATGTCTATCCTGTGCCTATCCTGCTGTATTAGTTCATTCTCACACTGCTGCAAAGAAATACCTGAGACTGGGTAATTTATAAGGAAAGTATTTTTTAATTGGCTCATAGTTCCATTGGTTGTATAGGAAGCATGATGCTGGCATCTGCTCAGCTTCTGGGGAGGCCTCAGGAAACTTACAATCATGGTGAAAAGCAAAGGGGAAGCAGGCATCTTACATGGCTGGAGCAGGAGGGAGAGAGAAGGACAAGTGCTATACACTTTTAAACAACTGGATTTTATGAGAACTCACGCACTATGCAGTACCAAGGGAGATGGTACCAAACCATTCTTAAGAACTCCGGCCCATGATCCAATCACTTCCCACCAGGCCTCACCTCCAACACCGGGGATTATAATTGAATGAGATTTGGGTGGGGACACAAGTCCAAACCATAACACCTACCATTGAATTTGGAAACACATAACATGTTTGATTTTACAGGCTCACAGCTGGAAAGCAGTTTGTCTCACAATGAATTTTACCTTAAATCACACACGTATTTGATTTAGACGATGTTTAAATGAGACTCTGGACTTCACACTTTTGAGTTGATGCTGGAACGAGTTAAGACTTGTAGGGCTGTTGGGATGGAATGAATGTACTTGTCACGTGAGGAAGATGTGAACTTTGGGAAACCAGGGACAGGGCGCTGTGATCTAAATGTTTGTGCTTCCTCCCCACACATTCAGATGCTGAAGGCTAATCCTTATGGTGATAGTGTTGAGAGGTGGGGTCTCAAGGGGGTGATTTGGTCCTGAGAGTGGACCTCTCATGTATGGGATCAGTGCCCATATAAAAGAGAGAGAGGGAGCCTGTTTGTCCCTCTGCCATGTGAGGACACAGCGAGAGGCCCCATCTGTGAATCAGGAAACTGGCCCTAATCAGTCTTCATTGTAAATGTCCACGTCTCCAGAACTGTGAGCAGTAAAAGCCACCCAGTGAGTGGCACTGTGTTATAGCAGCCCAGCTAGGAAATAAGCAGGTAGGGATTTAGTGTATTTCACAAACGTAATTGAATATTTATCATGTGTTTCTTACATTATTTTTCAAATTAACTAAAATACATTTTTTGAATCTATAAACCTTCAACATATTATCATCCTGTATTATGCCATTCTTGCATTACTATAAAGAAATAGCTGAGACTGGGTAATTCATTTAAAAAAAGTTTAATTGGCTTGTGGTTCTACAGGCTATACAGGAAGCATGGCGGCTTCTACTTCTGGGAGGCCTCAGGAAGCTTCAATCATGGCGGAAGGCAAAGGGGGAGCAGGCACATCACATGGCAGGAGCAGGAGCAGGAACAAGTGAGAGACAGTGGGCAGGGAGGTGCCACCCACTTTTAAATAACCAGATCTCATGAGAACTCACTCTCAAGAAGACAGCATCAAGCCATGAGGGACCCACCCCCAGAACCCAAACATCTCCCACCAGGCCCCACCTCTGGCATTGGGGATTACAACTCAGCATGAGATGTGGGTAGGGACAAATATCCAAACTATATCACATCCTAATGGATTAGCACATAAACAAAAATAAACTTTTATTACAAATAATCAACTAAGCATTATATTGAAATAAGAAATTAATCGTTCATAAACATTTAAAATGACATATTATTTGGTGTTTTTAACAAAAGTCATCAATGCTTCTTTTTTTGTGTGTGTATGTACAAAATTTTCCAGAATAATCCTATCAGTTTTGAAGACTGCACATTAGTTCATCTTTTTTTTGGCACAAAATTGAATAGTTTAGTCAATGACTTTCATTTTAAGAGATAAATAAAGGCTGGGCATGGTGACTCACACCTGTAATCCTAGCAGTTTGGGAGGCCAAGGTAGGAGGATTGCTTGATGTTAGGAGCTTGAGACCAGCCTGGGCAACAAAGCAAAGCCCTGTCTCTACAAACCATTAAAAAATCAGCTGGGTACAGTGCCATGCTCACAGGATTTCTTTGAGCCCAGGGATCTGAGGCTGCAGGGAGCCGTGATTGCACCACTGCACTCCAGCCTGAACAACAACAGATGACACCTCATCTCAAAAAAAAGAAGTTAATAATTCAGACCTTAGTTTCCAAAAATAGTGGTATAATTGTAGTATACCAATAAAAAAATACTGGTATTTCAGGACTTTAAAATAGAACTATGTATCAGAATTCAAGAATTTTAAAAATGAGTATTTCTATCATTACTGTCAACGTTTTTAGGATAAATAAATGTATTTGATAGTTATTTGAAACTCGTCGATCACCATGCCTTCCTTGGACGACTCTTTGAAGTAGATTACAACCTTCAGTTTGAGAAATATTAGGGAAGGGAATTGTCCATAACAAAAAAAAAATTATAATCTGATGGGTTTCATTATCTTCGAGGTAAAGGGTCTATCCCTGAAATCTTAGGTGTGATTTGAAGGTAGATACAGTTAGAATAATGGAAGAGGGGAATGTACAAAAAGGACTATATTTTTTTATACATCATGCCGTTCCTGCTGGATATTCTATTTCTGGTTCCTACTGATAAATTCTGGAATTTCTAAAATATACAAAATCCAAAAGATTCATGAACCTTTGAATAGCATAGCCGGGGAAGAAATGACTTCTTGCTTGACAATCTTTAAGTAACTAGAATATCAAGAACCTAGACTTGATTGCATGTGACTGGGGCTGCATCATCTGACTGCCTGACAGGGGCTAGAGAACCCACCTCCAAGATCGCGCACTCACATGGCTCATGGCAGGAGACCTCAGTTCCTCACTGACTGTTGGTAAGAGGCGTCTGTTTCTTACGCCTGGGCCTCTCCACAGGGCTGCTCGAGTGTCTTCATGACACAGGCCTGGCTTGCCCCAGAGTGAGTGCTCCCTTTGCAGATACGTGCAGTAGTGAAATATCATTACTTTTGCCATATGCTACTTGGCATAAGCAAGTCGCTAAATCCACCTCTCACATCAGGGTGACTTATCAAAGGATTAGTAAAAATGCTTCGAAACCACTCACCTTCCCTGTAAGCTCTGTTAATGAATTCCAGGCTTTGTTCATTCTGGTTATAACTGTCCCTTGAGAAAAAATGAATAAGATTGGCTGTACCACATGAATTTATGCACTAGCCTCTCTCCACTTTATGGATAAACCAGGTTAGGGCATTAAAACTAGAACTCGAGACTAAATGTCCCTGTTTAAAGCATAAAATAGTATTTCCTACATTTGAAATGTTAGTATTGTCTTCAAAAAATAAATCTCTGCGTGATCCTTATTGATCAATTTTGGGTATTTTTGCATCTTTGTTTTATAGTATTCTCAATTCTTAAAAAAGGGATCCATTTGGTTACCTTGGAATGGAGGCCAATTTATCTTCTAAATGTTTGCACTAATTGTATCGGAATCTCAAAGCCTATGTGTCCCACATCTATAAATTATGATTTACTTTAGGAAATGAGCCTGAGTAATAACAGCCTATTCCATCTCTCAATCTTGAATCAACTCTCATAACTATCAAATAACATGATTGATTATGGAAAGAGAAACTGCTGGCTCTAGCGGTCATCCTCTGAAGCCTTGGGCGTTTTCAGGGGTCCATCCTTGCAGTCAAAACTGGAGCCACCACGCCTGGCTAATTTTTGTATTTTTTTGTAGAGACAAAGTTTCACTACATTGCCTGGGATGGTCTCAAACTCCTGGGCTCAAGCTATCTGCCCTCCTCAACCTCTCAAAGTGCTGGGATTACAGGTGTGAGCCACTGCACCCGGACAATTTTCATGTTTATTAATAGAACCAAATACATTTAGCTTCTCTATACTATGTAAAAACACGATGTCAAAGGATATAAACTTTAAACTCATGCTTAGTAATTCATGTTTCAGTTTTTAAACTTATTTAGAAATGACCTGCTCCTGTCTGCTGTACTGCCTTTGAGCACCTGCTGCTCCCTGAGCACCTGCTGCCCCCTGAACACCTACTACCTCCTGGCACCTTCTGTCCCCTGAGTACTTGTTGTCCCTGAGCACCTGCTCCTGTCTTCTGTGTTGCCCCTGAGCACCTGCTCCTGTTGCTCTTCTGCCCAGCCTCCCTGGAAGGAGGAGCCGCAGGGATTGACAATGATGACAGGGTTGAGGCCAGACCTCGAGCATCCTGGGGACAGAGAAGAAAGGTGATCCACATGAAAGTCTGGGGCTTTGGAAGAGGAGCCACCAGCTCCCGCGGATCTATTAGGACGATCCCGCAGGAAAGTTTGGCATGGGCAGCTGTGGTCACAGGTGTGGGCAGAACAAATCAAAGCCCTTGAGACTGGACAAACAGCAGTGAGACAATGCACCCGGAGCTCTTGGGTGCAGAGATGCCCCCCAGGCCTAAGCTGCTGTTTATCTCCAAGTGGAGACATGTCGAGGCTGCAGTGGCAGCTCAGGGACCACCCCTCACCAGCAGGCCATGTCCCATCTTGCGGCCCGGTGCCAGCACCTCCTGGGCAGAAGCTGGCTTGCCATGGGGCGTCCTGGGTCCCAGTCACCTTCCCAACCTACACAGAACTGGCCCACCCTTTCCAAAGGGAACAAGGGTGTTTTAGGACAATGGTGGCTGCTCATCTGGATTCATTCAAGGCATCAGTTCTCTTGACTCCTCCAGCCGGTCCACGCACCTGCTCTTTCACGGAGCCTCTCCTGGTTCGAAGGCTGCAGGTGAGCTGAGACTTCCTGGGAAGCTCCCTGCACCGTGAGTGAGGGTTAGGGCAGTCCCCATGCTCCGGCCTTCAGCCGAGCAGCCTCAGGTTGTTCTTTTCCACGTTTATTTCCCTCTGGCAGCTGCTGGAGCCCCCTGCAGAGCCCAGATCATTGCCCACAGAGAGCTTCTCATTAAGAGCTTTCAGTTTATAATTTCTTGGTTCCTAGAATTTTGTAGAGACTTAGATTGACAGGATTCTGGCATGAAGTTGTTTCTCAGCCATTCCCCGGCGTGGACTCAGCAGAGGTGACATTAGGGTAAGTCCTGTATTGCTTCTGAGGGGCAGTTGCTAAGGAAGAAAACACGCAAGCCGGCGGGGGCTCCCCCACCTCCCGACAACAACGCGCCTGTGTCTGCTGCTCCAGCACCACTCACACCACAGTGGTTTCTGTGTGCCCTGGGGGTGCTGGGCACCGAGCCTGGAGAAGTTAGCAAGGCTGGGTTCCATTTGTGGCACGGAGACCTCTGCTACGGTCATCCTGAACACCCTCCAGGGCACTGACCTATGCTCTTGATCTGCACTAACGAAGCCAGACAGCAGGAAGGAGGTGGAACAGATGACGGCCACGATATTTACCTTACTGCAGAAAAGAGCAGAATGCTTCTCCTGCACCACCCTGCCTGCCCTGCATTACCCCCACCCATAGCCTGGTGCATGTCTGTCTGAGGTCTCAGAGGGATGAGTTCCCCCAAAAGGAAGAGGAAGAAAACAGGGGAGTTTGAATTAGAATAAGCCACTCCACACAGGACGGCCTGCTCTGCCTCCTTCGCCTGGTGTCTCACAGGCCTGCACCTGCCCTGACTAAGAACCTGGGGTCACCCTCCCTACCCCACGCCATGAGGAGCTGCCCCACCCGAGCCCCTGAGCCCCGGGGAGCATGCGAAGCCCTGGAGGAGGGGCGTCCAGATGTCCACTTCATCTTGCATTGCATTCAGGTAGACCCCACTTCTCTCTGGGGTTGTTTTATTTTTAACATTTTTACTTATTTTTTATTTTTAGCTGGACTTTCTTTAAAGATAATGTAAATATTGAAATGCAATTCTATGAAAATGCTTTTGGCTTGGGAAATCCCAAATCTGAAGACTTGGCCGTTTTGATGTGGGGCATGAGCAGAACCAGAGTTCTTCAGAACCGGCCATGAGCTCAGCGCCCGAGTGCGGGAGTCAGCCTGGGCGCCCGGGGCCGTCGCCTGGGTGCAGTGCTCGTGTCAGCAGCAGAGGGAACCAGAGGGAGGAAGATCCGTGGGGGAAGGGGAAGGTCATCTCATTCTCATTCAATCACTTCCTTTTCATAATTTGAATGGAAACTTGATTGTGGGCAAAGACTTAGTTTCTACACGTCCTAAATTTTCTTTTCCCTCTGGAAAGCTGTAATGGCTTAATCGGATCCACTGTGCTGCAGAATCTCCTCGTGTGCATCCGGAGACAAAGCTCGTGTGGGGACACTCGGTTCCACTGAAAAGCCCTGCTGGGGCAATGGTTCTGTGCTCTGGGTCGGACACACGGCTGGCATAGCCCTCCACGAGGAGCCACATCCTGGCTCCTGCCAGGCCCTGGAGTCATCGGTGGCCCTGGAGGCCGGGTGCCTGCTCTGCACCTACTGCACAGGGCCAGCCTCTTCTTCTGTCCTGAAAATTTCCCAGGACACAGGCAGCCCCTCTCCTGCTCTTTTAATCCTCTCCAACAACAGAGACGAGTGGAAGTGGAGACTCACTCTGCAATCCCTTTACCCTCCATGTTGTGCTGCAGAAATGCAAACACGGCACCCTGGGGAAGGAAGAAATAAGTGCTTGGGGAGGGCGCAGAATGCTAGTTTCTGGAAAACTCCCAAAGCTTTTGTCAGAGGTGCTGCACAAAGTAGCCATGGGCAAAACTGGAAAATCCATTTCTTAGCTCTCCCACCCCTCACCTCTTGTTCTCTACAATTTCTATAATTACTCCAGGTATCTGGCAGTAATTATCATGAACCAAAAGTATTGTGATAAACAATACAGCATTTTAGCTTTCTCGGGGGGTATCTGTACTTAAGAGAAATTAGTAGTTTCAACCCAAGGAAAAATGCCTATGATAGAAGTTCCAAGGTTAAAATATATATATATATATATATATATATCCATCCATCCATCCAATTCAATTAATATGGTATTTATTGAGCTACTATTTTATTCCAGGAACTCATCTAGTTACAGTAGCAAAACAATTTCTGCCTTTGTAGAGCTTTCACTCCAGCTAAGTACCTTTTTTAAAAGCAGCTTACAATGCAATTTCACATTCATCATTTTATGAGAACCTCACAACAAATCTTCCAGGAGCCTGGTATATTAGTCAGCAATTGTCATAATAGTGCTAAGTAACAAGTCATCCCAAAACTCAGTGGTGTATAGGACCATGCATGTTTTTCACTCTCAGGATCTCTGGGTCACTAGTGGCTCAGGTGATCCACGCAGGTTCATCTGGGTCGGATGGTGTCTTGGCTCCAGGCTGTGGGCTGAATCCTGGTCTGTCACACGTATGTTATTCTGGGGCTGAAGGAGCACAGCTGCTTGGGTCATCTTATTTTCTTGAAGGACCCACCCACACACAAGAGAGTTAGCAAAAGCATGCAGGGACCCAGAGCTGGCGCATGGATACTTCTGCCCTCATCCCACTAGCAAGGCAAGTCCCACGGCCGTGGCTAATATCAATAGTGGGGATACAGAATCTGAGGTTGTGGGGAGGACTCTGCAAGTCACATGGCAAGGGTGGATGTACAACCCTTTCTAAGGGGTTGGAAGAATTGGGATCAATAATCTAATCTATCACACCTGGAAAAGTAGCACCATCCCTGCTTCACAGATGGGGAAGCTGAGTTTCAGAGAGAAATGATTTGTTCAAGCGTGCATGGTTATTAGTGTTGGAGCCAGGCCTTATGTCTGAGTTTCAGAGAGAAATGATTTGTTAAAGCGCACATGGTTATCAGTGTTGGGGCCAGGCCTTATGGCTTCCAGCTCAGTGCTCTTTCTTCATTGCACTATTTCAGCTAAGCACCTACCTTGAAGAGATAGAAGGTATCACCTGAGTGTCTTTCATTCACACCAAATAGGCTAGGCTCTTCTGCCATCTAGAAAGCTTGTCCTGGCATTATGGGTTCTAGAAGGCCTGCTTCAAGCTGACAAAGTTGATGCCAACAGTACTTGTTTCTTCCAACCTGTGGCTACATGGAACCTTCGCCTCACTGCACCTCCGTGAATCACTTAATTGCTGCATATCCAGGAGGTGGAGGTAAAAAGGGATTTGGGTCCCATGGAGAATAGGATTTTTTTTTTTTTTGAGACAGAGTTTCGTTCTTATTGACCAGTGCAATGGCGTGGTCTCGGCTCACTGCAACCTCCCCCTCCCGGGTTCAAGTGATTCTCTTGCCTCAGCTCCAAAGTAGCTGAAATTACAGGCACCTGCCACTACACCCCGCTAACTTTTTGTTGTATTTTTAGTAGGGATCGGTTTCACCGTGTTGGCCAGGCTGGTCTCAAACTCCCGACCTCAGGTGATCCACCCGCCTTGGCCTCCCAAAGTGCTGGGATTATAGGCGTGAGCCACTGCGCCTGGCTGGAGAATAGGAATTTTTTGTTAATCCCAGCTCCACCTCATCCCCAGGGCAGGATGGTAGAAATCGGCATAAAAACCAGAGACCCAAACATTCCAACACATTTGTTCATTAAAAGACCAACTGAAAACCAAAATGAGGTGCTCGTGTTGCTAAGATGAAGCCCGGCTACCCACATTATTTTTCTTCATGCTGTAATCCTTCAGGAACAGATCCAGGGCATCTGTCAAGAGACATTAAAACACAGCAGGTTTGAGGAACTTATGACTGCCTCATTATTTTCATGAAAGTGTTTATCTTCCAACAGCCACACTGATACATTGGGTGTCTAGAGAAAGGGGAAAGGTGTTTCTGCCATGCTGATGAAAAAGCCAAACTCTGTAAAATATTTTAAAAGGTTTACTCTTAGCCAGCATGAATGACTGTGGCCTGGATACAGTCTCAAGAGGTCCTGAGAAAGTGCGCCCAAGGTGGTCAGGTGGCAGTTTGGTTTTATAAATTTAGAGAGGCAGAAGTTACAAGCAAGGACATAACATAAGTCAATACATGGAAGGTGTATGTTGGTTTAGCCTAAAGAGGTGGGATATCTCGAAGCAGTGGATGCTCACAGGTCATAGGTGGATTCAAAGGTTTTCCTGATTGGCAGTGGTTGAAAGAGTTAAGCTTTGTCTAAAGATTTAAGAAGTCAGTTGAAACGCTTGAGCAAGAAAAGGGGGGGTTGTAGAAGCCAAGGTTCTTGCTATATAGATGAAGTCTCACAAGGGGCAGCGCTCAGAGCACTACACCACAGTCAGGTTGGAATCTGGCATCTTATTACCACTAAGAGTGGGTTTTGTCAGTCTAATGGTCTCTATTTTCATGTTAATATTGGTCAGTTGTTTCTAAACTTCAAAAGTGGCGGGGGAGGCATAACGAGGTGTGTCTGACTCCCCTTCCCATCATGGCCAGGAATTCAGTGTTTCAGATTTCTGTGGGGTCCCTTTGGCACAGATGGGGCTCCACTCAGACAGTTGAGAGGCTTAGATTTTACTTTTTGTTTCTAGCATCTTATTTTCCTGCCCTGGGCTCGGAGATCTCCCTTTGTCTGCCTTCTGCTTGCTGCTGGTTGACAGACACAGCACAGGTCTCTGATGTCATGGACACTATTTTCTAAGATGGGGTTGTCTAGTCTTTACACAAGGGATTACATTTAGCTACACTTCAAGTATTTTCCTTCCTCCCTCCCTTCCACCCTCATTTCCTGCCTTTATTAGATGAGGCTGTCAGGCTGAATTCTGAATACTTGTCAAGATCTTTTCTGTTATATTGCTAATGATGAGCAACTTTACAAATGCCTTTCAATGTAAATCCATCCCAGCTAATGAGGAAGATCTCACCCATCTGTTCTCCGGGCACATTTTCAGCCTCAGAAGGGAGGCCAAAAATACCACTCTAAAAACTGCAACGAGACCCAGAAGCCTGTTGGAATCAGGTTTCTTTGGAAGCAGTGAGCTTCAGGCATATGTACTATGCAGGCACAGTACCCAAGGCTCAGCTCACAGGGAGGGCAAACCAGCACCCCTCCTCCGTCAGCAGCCTCATACAAAGCAGGATGGTGCAGTACCCAAAGCTCAGCTCACAGAGAAGGCAGACCAGCACCCCTCCTCCGTCAGCAGCCCTGCACGCAAAGGATGGCATGGTACCCAAAGCTCAGCTCACAGAAAAGGGAGACCAGCACCCCTCCTCCGTCACAAGCCTCACAAAAAGCAGGATGGTGCAGTACCCAAGGCACAGCTCACAGAGAAGGCAGACCAGCACTCCTCCTCCGTCAGCAGCCTCACGCAAAGCAGGATGGTGCAGTACCCAAGGCACAGCTCACAGAGAAGGCAGACCAGCACCCCTCCTCCGTCAGCAGCCTCACGCAAAGCAGGATGGTGCAGTACCCAAGGCACAGCTCACAGAGAAGGCAGACCAGCACCCCTCCTCTGTCAGCGGTCCCACAGAAAGCAGGATGGCGTTTTCTCCATTCCTCTGTGTTGTACAATTTTTTTTTGGTGTCCGCACAAACTACCTTTACACTGGATTTCAGGAGACGTGGGAATTAAAATAATTAGCATATTGAAAAGCTTTCATTCAAATTTCAACTCAGTTGACTTTCACATTTACCTTTTAAATATGACTATTCCCTGATCAGATCATTGCAGGGGGTCACATTTTAGGCCTCTATGTTTTTCCTTGGTAGGTTGGCAAATGCACTGAGTTACATTTTATTTTTTTGTAGGAAGACATACAAGAGGACTTCAAAAAATTCATGGAAAATACATATTATAAAAAAATAGTTCATGGAAGTCTGGGTGCAGGGGCTCACGCCTGTAATCCCAGCACTTTGGGAGGCTGAGGCGGGCAGATCACGAGGTCAGGAAATCGAGACCATCCTGGCTAACACGGTGAAACCCCTGTCTACTAAAAATACAAAAAAATTATTAGCCAGGCGTGGTGGCGGGGTACCTGTAGTCCCAGCTACTCAGGAGGCTGAGGCAGGAGAATGGCATGAACCCGGGAGGCGGAGCTTGCAGTGAGCCGAGATCGCGCCACTGCACTCCAGCCTGGGCGACAGAGCGAGACTGTCTCAAAAAAAAAAAAAATGCATGGATATCAACTTTTTTGCAGAAAAATAAATTCATACTAACTTGTTATAACACGTCTGAATAGGATCTAATTTGAAGTACTAAGAAGGATAAGACATCAGTTTGAAAAAAGCCTCTATCAGAGCAACACGAACTCTGCTAAAATGAAAGCAAGAAAAAGCATTAGATTTATGGTGAAGCTTGGGTGGAATAACGGTGACATCATTAATGCTTTATAAAAAGTTGATGGGGACAATTCCCCACAGAATTTAGTGGGTTACAAATGGACAACTCATTTTGAGAAGGTGTGGATTATGGAGGCAAGACACTTCTCATTTGGGTTTGTCACTCTGGGCCAGGGCCCTGCCATCTTCTGCAGATAACTGCTCTCCTTTTGAGAGACAGCTCTTGGCCTGTTACTGGGCTTTGGTGGAAACTGAACATTGGACTATGGGTCAGCAAGTCACCATGCGACCTGAACTGCCTATCATTAACTGGGTGCTTTCTGACCCATCGCCATAAAGTGGGTTGTGCACAGCAGTGTTCCAGCATCAAATGGAAGTGGTATATATGTGATCGGGCTCAAGCAGGTCCTGAAGGCACAAGTAAGTTACACGAGGAAGTGGCTAAAATGCTCATGGTCTCCACTCCTGCCACCCTGCCTTCTCTCCCCCAGCCTGCACTGTTGGCCTCATGGGGAGTTCCCTGTGATCAGTTGACAGAGGAACATAAGGCTAGGGCCTGGTTCACAGATGGTTCTGCATGATATGCAGGCACCACCCAAAAGTGGACAGCTGCAGCACTACGGCCCCTCTCTAGGACATCCCTGAAAGATAGCAGTGAAATGAAATCTTCCCAGTGGGCAGAAAATTTCCGGGGTTCTTCTGATCCTACCCCACAGATGGCTCCTGGGAAAGGCTGATTAATCAGCTGGGTCTAGACTTCTTAAGTCTGAAATACGATGATTTTAAGTCAAGCATGGGATTAGAACAGTGGTTATCAGCCATGGAGGTAATTGCGCCTGTCTCAGGTTCTTGGGAAGGGAAGGGAATCACTCATCCCTGACGGCTTCCTGGGCTGCCCCTGGGCAGAGGCTGGAAGAGCTTGCGTTCTCTGGGCCACATTGCTAAGATTAATAACACGTATGGACACAGTGCAGGGCCTGTGGGATTTTTCACTTACTCCCCACCACTGACAGCCTCAGTTCCGTGTCTGAAGACCGTGTGCCACCCTCCCTGACTCTGAAGAGCCTTGCACCAGGTTCACAGGCTCCTGGAGACACTGAAGTCTGACCTGGTCGCCAAGCCACTCCCTGAAGGAGCAGAGTGAGCTCCAGCCCCATTGCCCATTAGCAAATCGAAGTGGGAAACAAAGACAGCTGCTGGGGGACTTGGCAAATGGCCTGTTTCTGTCCAGCGTAGCCTGGGTGATCACTCACAGTGGCGACTTCCTTTGCCTTAATCAGTCAGTGGAGCCATCGCTGACGTTCTTGCCTTTTCTTTCTTGCAGGACGTTGACAAAGGAACGCACGCCGACACTCCCACATGAACAGCTGGCTGCTTCCCAGCGTCCTACGGGAGAGCTACCGGCTTCTAGGCAACGCTGCGTGTGATCTGTGGGGGAGCCTGGCCACTCCTGGAGGTTCCAAGGTCAAAGAAACGCATTCCGGATGCGACGGATTTGATCTTGGAAAGCTGCTTTGAAGATACGATAGCTATTCCCTATTGTTCACTTTAAGGCAAACAATGTATACATTTTTCTGTGTCAGGCTCCTCTGTGAAGTTAGTGAAACGGTAGCTTAGTTTGCTCCCATCTCCTGTTCCGCCCTGCTGGTTTTCGATTGTGCGTCACTGAATTGCCATCAGAAATCCAGTCCCGACTGCGTGTGCGAGGCCAGGGAGGGAGGTGAGAGGCGGCCTCTCGGACACACTCTGCCATGGGCCGGAAGCAGGAGGCACCCTCTTTGTGATGATCTCTGAGAGCTAAGGAGAGACTCCAGCACCACCCTTTCTCCTGGTGCCCTGTCCATAACTAAGTGTCCAGAAGTCTCCTCCACAGGCATTTTCTCTGCTCATTCTCCTAGTAATCCTGTGAAGGAGACGTGTTCTCCATTCTATAGGAGAGGACTCTGAGGTTCAGAAAACTCAAGTCAGAGAAAGCATGAGGTTGGACTTCGCTTCTTGGCCCGGGTCGGACTGTAGGCTGCTGCTGGAGCTGTGCGGCTTTGGGTAGGTGGCCTGGGCACTATGTGTTCACCAAACGCACTTCCCTTCCATCCTGGGTGCAAGGCGACCTCCGATCCCAGCCTTTCCTGTTGGGCTCAGCAATGGAAACAAGCAGTGGGGCCCTGCGCTCCATGCAGGGTGGATCTAGAACCTTCCGAGGACTTGAAACCCTCAGAGGGGGACAGGGTGGGGAGACACAGAGAAGGCCCAGGAATGACCTTGTGGGAAGTCGCTTATCCACCAGGAACTCTGGTGCTGAACTTTTTCTAAGCGAAAGTTAACTTCTGTTGGATTAAGACCCTGAAGATTGGGCTTTAACACCTGTTGTGTTACCTGCACTCAAACAAACCAGGGCTCCTTACTCAGCCCTCGGGAGCCTTGGCATTCTCACCTCTAAAGCAGGAGGAGTCGTGATACCTGCCTTGAGGAATTTGAGCAAAGTTAAACGACCTGAACTATTTGGGCGTTTCTTGACCAATGTCCGACCTTGGGAGGTGCTGGATGAATTTTTATTTCTCTACTTTAAGTCAGCCTTTCTACCTTGTTGCTCTTCTCAGCTGCCTTTCTCTGAGCCTCCTTCATCACTCTGTTCATTTCTGTGAGACAAAGATCATTACAACTGCCTTAATATTTCGGTGCAAGACGCACCGTGACCTGACATTGCTCTACCCCGCCTCCTGCCACGATCATTCTTTTGTAGCAATATTCCGCCAGCTTCATTTCATGCAGTGAGTGGAACAAGAGTCAGAACACCAGGGCGGCTGAGCCTATCGATCAAGCCTCCACCTAATGACAGACATACTTGAGTCCCACAGTCATAAGGAGGATGAAGTCTCTCTCTGGCTGGACCTGGACTGCAGTCACACTCTAAGAGCTCCTCTTTCTACACCTCTGCCAGTGGGCGTTCGGTCAGAGACAAGCTATGGCACCGGCTCCCGGACGCACGGGAGGACTCCTACCAGGGACAGAGTCCGCACAGGTGACCTGAGTGGCTGTGCACAGCCTTTGCTTCTGAGACGTGCCGGGAGCAGGTATCTCCGCAGGCCCAGGCGCCTCTGGCAGCCTTCAGAGCAGGGCCCTCTTCAACAAGGTGATAGCAGAAGGGAAGAAAAGCAGAGGTCTGTCTCAGAGCTTAGAGTAACCCAGAAGCTGGTTGCCCCCTTTCAAGGGAGAAACGCGGGGTTTCGCATCAGGAACCTGTTGAGGAAGTTCTCATCAGGCCCAGCAACACACCCAGGACCAAACTCCATCAGTGATGACTAAAAAATGTGTGTGGGGGCTGGGCACAGTGGTTCCTGCCTGTCAATCCAGCACTTTGGGAGGCCAAGGAGTGAGGCTCACTTTAGCTCAGGAGTTGGAGACTGGCCTAGGCAGCATAGTGAGGACCTATTTCTACAAAATAGTAATAATAATAATAAAGCCAGATATAGTGTTGCATGCCTGTAGTCCAAGCTACTTGGGAGGCTGAGGTCAGAGGATCTCTTGAGCCCAGGAGGTTGAGGCTGCAGTGAGCCATGATTGCACCACTGCATTCCAGCCTGTCTGACACAGGGAGACCCTGTGAAGGAAAGAAGAGAATGAGAGAGAGAAGAGAGAGCGAGAGAGAGAGAGACAGAGAGAGAGAGAGGAGAGAGAAAGAAAGCACTTTTTCCTAAATTAAAATAAGTGTATGTGTACGTATATGGATCACACACACACACCCCCTTTTATTAATCACTCGCTGCTCACCAGGCACTTGCTGTCTGGTTTACATCACCCTCTTGGTACAC
This sequence comes from Homo sapiens, assembly GCF_000001405.40. NCBI lineage: Eukaryota > Metazoa > Chordata > Mammalia > Primates > Hominidae > Homo > Homo sapiens. Next base: position 167,239,409 of record NC_000006.12, on the reverse strand, counting down.
ACAACCATAAGCATGTTTGAGGTAAAAACCTTAGTCAGCCTCAGTGTCCGGTCCCAGGTCCCACAGCCAGTAGCCAGGGAAGCCACAGGCTGAAGCTGGACCTGACCACTAGGCCAATGGTAACCACCATGCCACATGGCCCCCAAAGGGTCGTGTCCAGCTCTGGATAAACTTGTCCGGTTAGTTCAGGTTTCATGGCGTGGCATAGAGGACCCCGACCGTTCATCACTCATTGCTGTCTCCCCAGTTGGCTGTGGCCTGAAACTGCCTGAATTCAGTCAACACTGTTGCCGTCTTGCATCCGCCGTTCAGGGGGTGGGTACCCATGGGAGGGCCTCAGCTGGGACAAAGGTCCACTTCTGTCTAATCAGTGTAACTTTGGAAACAACCCTTTTGTGCCGGGACAGAGTAAACTAACTTTAAATGTGAATTTGCATCAATTGAACATTTTTAAGGGTGACACTTTTACCTGGTGGCCCACTGGGACCAGGACAAGGCAGCAGGAGGGGCCCGATGTGTGACTGAGAGGAATGTGTGGGCAGCCCTGCATTTGTGTTTTGCCCTGGGCCCCTAAATCCTGCAGCTGGCCCTGGTAGAGAGCTGAGAAGTTAGAACAAAGGACACCTGCCTAGAGGCTGCTTGGAGGTGGGGGTGGGGGGTCTGTGTTGATGTTGATGCTGGAGAGGTATATGACACCTGTCTTACTCCACTTTCTGTCATGGCCTGAAGCAGTCTTTTAGGTTAAATTTTACGAGTGTCCTGGCCATGGAGGAAATGCATTCAGAAATGCATTGTGAGACAGGATTTTTCCTTTGACCTTGACCCCCTTTGTGGGAAGGAACTGTAGTGGCTCATTTCACTCAGCGTGCGGTCCGTGGACAGCCAAGTGTTAATGGCCCAGCAAAGGGTCAAGGTCACAGCCTTCTGCACCCACCCTTTTTGACACCCAAGTTCTTGTTCAGTGTCCAGGAAGAATCAGGTCACACAGACTGTTTGAATGATGACAAAGGCAGAACTGGAAAGGGGGTGGTGTGGAAAGAAGGTGATCTTGCCGTGAAGCACCGTCCTCCCCGGCCGGGTTCCCCATGGAAAACGACACCATCTGAAGTCAGCGCTGTCAATCGGGAGTCTCTGACACTCGGCCACTTGCATCCCCACCGCTCAGCAGCTTGCATCGCTGACTGCTTACCTCAGCAGCTTCTTTGCTCTGCCAGCTGAAGTCTTTTTATGAGCACAGGATAGGATACAGGGAGGGCCAAAAAGGCAAACAGGTCAGCTGTTTTCACTTAAGGCCAAGGTTCTAGGCTTGAGGGTGGAGTTTAGTCAGGAGCCCATCCATTCTCTATCAGCTGGGGGGCCTTAGAAATGTATTTTTGGTTTACAGGCTCATCTGCCTGTGGGGCCCTTTGTGACTGCCCAGGCAAGCCCCTAACGCTAACCCGCTCCTCTCTACTTCCTCCTTCTAACCCAGGCGACATCAATCACTTACTCTCTTTCTGCTCTTTGCTCTGGTCCCAGGGAAGCAGGTCCTTTCACTCCTTTCCTTCCCGGGCTTGTGCATGCTGGGTCAGGCCCCATCTCACGGAGACTGCTTATCTTTTCAGGTACCAGAGCAATGAGGAAGCAGGACCCAGACCCCTGACTCCTAACTCCAGGTGAAGTCCACCCTGAGCTCAGGAGCAGAGCTGCCTCCATCGGGTGTGGAGAGACAGAGCCTCCTCCCCAGCCATGCCTCCTCATCGGCCCACGGGAGCTGCTGTGACTCTGACCCCTGTACCTGGCTCTGTCGACCGGAATAGTCAGTGGGCAGCCAGCACACCTTTGGGTGCTCTGTATGAGTGGGATTTTCTCCTGATTAGACATTTTAAAAGATTGTCAACAAAAAGAACAAACTCTGTAAAATATTGGAGAGATTTATTTCGAGCCAAACGTGAGTGACCACAGCCCGTGACACAGTCCTCAGGAGACCCGGAGAACGTGTGACCCAGGTGATCAGGGCACAGCTAGGTTTTATACATGCTATAGGGCATAAGGCATCAATCAATACATTTAAGCTGTACATCAGTTCAGACGGGAAAGGTGGCACACCAGGAAGCAGAGGCTTCCAGATCACAGGCAGATTCACAGATTTTCTGATTGGCAGTTGGTTGAAAGAGTTTATCTAAAGACCTGGAACCAATAGAAAGGAAATATCTGGGTAGGATAAGGGGTTGTGGAGACCAAGGTTCTTATTACGCTGATGCAGCCTCCAGGTAGAAGACTTACAGAGAATCGATGGTAAATGTTTCTTATCAGACTTAAAAGGTGCCAGAAACTTAGTGGAGTATTTCCTGGATGAGGAAAAAGGCCTGGAAAGGGAACAGGATTTTCTACAGAATATAGACTTTCCCCACATGAGACAGCTCTGCAGGGACATTTCAAGATATGGCCAAGAAACATATTTAGGGTTAAAATATTTGGATTTTCTTCCTTATCTGTCATGTGAGGTTACACCAGAGTAAGGTTGGAAAGAGCCGAGTTACACAGGGTTAATAAGACCCCTCCAATGAGGCTTTGTGGTTTGTAGGGTGACCTCCCCAGGCCCCTTAGGTAGGAATTTGGGCAGGAGAGAAAAAAGGTCAGAGTTTAGTCCTCAAGGCACAGACTTATGTTCTTGACCCTCCTTCCATCTGGTGGTACATTCAGGCTAACGGAAAAATCCTACATATTCCACGTTGGATCCGTCCTCCCTCCTCCTGACTAAAGGGTTCTAGGTGTGTGTGGTGATACAGCTGGGATGGTTATTCCTTCCGGAAGCTTCATCCTGTTTTTCCTCCTTCTGATGTCCAAATTCCTGCCTCACACACTGGGGTCTTTTGCTTTGTCATTCACACATTAACACAAGGCCTGGATGCAGAAGGCTGATTCCTGTTAGTGCCTGTGATGGCAGCAGTGGGCCATCTGGTGCGGCCTGGCCCCTGCCCGCACGCAGACTGCTGCGGGGCGTGTGCAGGGAGGAGGTGGACAGCCCCCTCCCTCCACCCGCTGCCCTGGGGGCCGCCGGGATGGAGCTAGGCGGGGTCCAGTTCACCCACCGGCGGGGCAGCCGTGCAGTGGGGCAGTAGCTCCTCCGACAGAAAGGGGCCTGATGAGGGCTGGGCCGCACTTCGGGGATCCGGGGCAGGAAGGGATAGTGACACCTACTCAGGGGACCTGGCCAGCTGGGCACCCACTGTGCCCACCCCACAGAGGGTGCCGGGTTCCTGGGTCGCGGGAGGAGGCTCTGCGTGGGGGCTGCCCAGACCGTATCCTTGGAGTCCGCCTGGCGTCGGGGTGACCACCAAGCCTGCCATTCCTGAGGGCGGGGCCTGAGGCCCACGATCCACTCTGCCCTGGGCCACCCCTGAGTACGGGGGCAACAGGGGGAGCTCGTGGTAATGTTGCCCCTGCCCTGGACGCTGGCCTGAGCCCAGCAAGGATCAGGAGCCCCTGCCTCAGGCTGCAAGGGGTCACAGTTGGGGCTGTGTGCCCCACGGAGTGGGTGGGAGCCAGGAGCAGGCAGCAGCACCGCCAATCTCTCCCGCGCGGCTGCAGCCGCCCGAGTTGGGGCGGTAGACACGAGCCTCTGTGTGCTCTTGGAGGGCTGAGGGTAGGCAGGAGCCGTGCGCTCCTGGGTGCTGTGGCACTCCAGGGTGCCGCCCAAACTGGGGATGCTGACCTGACCTCCTAATCCAGGCGGGTAGGAGCCCCACCCTCCTGGACAGGGCTGCAGCCGCCCATGTTGCGGCTGCAGATCTGAGCCTCCCTTTGCTCTTGGGTGGGTGGGGGCAGGCAGGAGCCCTGCATGCTCCTAGGCACTGCTGCGCTCGCGGAAGCCGCCCGAACTGGGGCTGCAGACAGGGGCCTCCAGCTCCATGGCGCAGGCAGGAGCCCCCACCCTGCACACCCGCAGTCGCCCAAATCTGCCGCTGCAGCCTCTGGCATCCCTGCACTCTTGGGGGCCGGGAAGGCCACGCCTACCCTTGGGGGCTTGGAAGTGCCTCCTCCCGCTGCCTGGGTTCTCCCTACTATAAGCCCCTCTCTGATCTTGGTACAAAGTCAGGGCAAGCCCCAACACCATGAATGGCAGGGATGTGAGACCCAGGCAGTTTAGGTGACCTGCTCAAGGACGCACGCTGTGCACAGTGGCTGAGCCTGCTCCTGTCACGTCCCAGGAGACTTCAGAGTCCTCGTGATCCCAGCTGTGCTGTGCTCCTCCTTCCGCTGTGGGTCCAAGGCATGGTTTATACCAGGACTCCTCCATGTTTGGGAAACCTTCACGGGGCACCGCTGCTGTTATTTCTCCTCCCTTTCTTAAGTTTAAGCAAAAAGTTCCATCCATGGGTAGCATTCTTTACAACTTAGACTCGTCAATGATCAGCAAGAATTTAGACTTTGTCAATCTCAAGAAAATGATTATAAAATCCAGACAGTGTTCCAGGGCTATCTGACAAGCAAGAACACCAGTAACTTAGTTCATTAGATGCCTTCCAGCGACAGGATGCTACTTAGACAAGTTCCCCTGAAACTCAGGGCTGCAAGTCTCTAGATTGATTATCTGCAAATGCAGCCATCTGCTTCCTGCTGTGACACTTCATTCCTCCGCCCTGGCTGCACTGCAGACAGACGCTGGGGAGACCTCGCCTTCTCAGGGTGGCACTGTGTGGAAGCCAGGGCTCACCCGGCTCTGTTCCCACAGGGTGGGAGTTTTTCATTTTAACAGTTACAGAATCATCTACACGGATGTCACCCTGAGAGTTGTAATCCCCAGGAGAAGTTGTCATCCATGTCACTAGCACAGCTTGCTGTGTATTCTGTTTTGATTTGGGCTTTGATTTTTAATTAATTCTAGTGAAAATCTTTTAATGAAAATCTTTGCTTCAAATTTGAAAAAGGTAGACAGCAACCTGCAACACACAGGCAGATGATCAATAAATAGTCCTCTCACTGAAGAGTGGTGTGAATTCGCTAGTTAAGACATACCTATTAGATATGTTTAAAAAATGTGTTTCAATGGAAAACTGTAACACATACTTCTGGGTTGTTCATTGTCTTTGAACTATTTTACAATTCTTTGCAAATTGCAGGTAACTGATGGAGATATATAGACATAGATCGATCTATCTATCTATCTATCTATCTATCTATCTATCTATCTTCTGCCCTGTCTAGTAGTGATTTTTACTGGCTTCTTTCTCCTGTAAAAAATTTGAAAATAAATAAATAAAAAAGTTTTCTTTCCATTTGCAACTCATTTCAAAATTCCTTTACTCCATATAAATTTGTATTGTTTTCACTTTTCCTTTAAACTATTTCTAACATCTGCCTAGTTCCCTTCTATCATATGTGTAAAATAAAATCTTTAAGAGTTGTGTATTTTAATATCTTGGTGCAAGTCATTGTTTTACCTTTTTCTGAAAATTATCTTTCAGATAATATATAAAGAACATGCTGTACTGTTTAGATTTTTTTTTAATTTTGCAAGCGACCGGAATTGTGTTATTACCCAAATCAATGTTCCTGAGCATTTGGTGAGCAGAATTTTTAAGGAAAACTTGGTGGGTGCGGGGGAAGCCAGTGAGCTGGGAGCGCTGATTGGTCAGGGGTGAAATCACAGGGAGTCAAAGCTGTCTTCTTTCACCGAGTCAGATCCTGGGTGGGGGCCGCAAGTCAGATGAGCCAGTTTATCCATCTGGGTGGTGTCAGCTGATCTATCAAGTGCAGGGTCGGCAAAATAGCTCAAGCACTAATCTTAGGAGCAGTTTAGGGAGGGTCAGAATCTTGTACCCTCCAGCTACATGACTCCTCCACCATGATTTCTTATCTCGTGGTTATTGTTAGCCCTACAAAGGCAATTTAGTCTTCAGGCAAGAAGGAGGTCTGCTTTGGGAAAGGGCTGTTACCGTCTTTGATTTAAACTATAAACTAAGTTCCTCCCAAAGTTAATTCAGCCTCGGTCCAAGAATGGACAAGGACAGCTTGCAGGTTAGAAGCAAGATGGAGTCGATCAAGTTAGATTTCTTTCACTGTCTCAGTCATAATTTTGCAAAGGTAGTTTCAATCCCTCCCTTTGTGTTTTATAACACCTTAATCTTGAGGTTAGCCTATGAAGATGGGAAAAGACTGCGGATCGCTCTGGCGTCTTCCTGCTGACAGAGGGCGTAGTGGGAATGGGAGTGAACCCCAAGGTGAGAGGAGTGAACCCCAAGGTGAGAGGAGTGAACCAATTTACTGCTGTCTGGGCGACGCATGCAGGTCTGACTGGGCTTCCAAACCTTGCATGGCAAAAGCATTAGTACCCTCATCTATACTTTCAGTACAGTATTTAACTGAACAGTGTACCATAAGGTAAATAACGAGTCCTAGGATGAGCAGTACAATTCCCAGTTTTAAAAGCAATGATTAGAAAGCATGAGTTTGGGGACTTCTAACCCACAAAGAATTTAGGAATTAATCCAAACTGCAGAAAAAAACCTCAATAACAGCTAACAACAGGTGTACTATAGCTTTCTTTTGAAATATAATTTTTCTCTCTTCAGTCCCCATTTTTATTAAAAACAAATCATGATAGAACGGATTTGTTTACAAAATCAACTTTAGTCTTCCCGTACTTGGCCTGATCATTTGCAGCAAGAATAATTATTTTTCACTTAGGCTCTTTTTAATGGGCTTTGATGGAATTCTGTTCCATGAGGAATCCCACATATGACTTTTTAAAAGCCGAGCCCAGCCATCGGTTTGTACCCTCAAATAACTATGAGTTGGGTAAATTCCTCTCCTCTTGAGGCCCAAAGGTAACTTGGGGTTATCTAAGTGACATTCATTACTTACCACAGGTCAGGAACCTTGTACAGGAACTGCATAGATGAGGTATGAGGTCAGATTCCCCAAGAGACTTATACCTGATTATAAACTGCCAAAGCAAGACGAAATGTCTGTGTATGATAGAAGTCTTAAGATAGCCACTACTAAAGCTACAATTGACTAGAATTTTGTTTACTTCTGTGGCATACAACAATTTTGTATAAAAATTATAATTATTAATAACACTAAATTATATCAGAATTATAGAAGTTTCCCATAATTTTGAAACACATACTAATAACATATCTATACAGATACAGTCCAAAGACAACCAAACACTATTCACTCTTCTATTTGAAAGTTTTTTTCTCTATTCTAACGTCACAATCTCCAGGTTATTAATCAGAAATCTGCACTGAAGAGCCCCTGTTAAATTTTATAGCTGATTATAAAACCATCCTTTAAAGAGGACTGGCCAGGCACAGTGGCTCACACCTGTAATCCCAGCACTTTGGGGGACCGAGGTGAGTGGATCACCTGAGGTGAGGAGTTCGAGACCAGCCTAGCCACCATGGTGAAACCCCGTCTCTACTAATAATACAAAAATTAGCCGAGCATGGTGGCACACACCTGTAATCCCATCTGCTCAGGAGGCTGAGGCAGGAGAATTGCTTGAACCCGGGAGGCAGAGGTTGCAGTCAGCCAAGATCGTGTCATTGCACTCCAGCCTGGGCGACAAGAGTACAAGAGTGAAACTCCATCTCCAAAAAAAAAAAAAAAGAAAAAAAGAGGACCAAAATGAGACAACAATTGCCTGTGGATGACAAAACATTTTAGGGCAGCCACAGTTAAAGACACAATTGGCAAGGAAATTTGTTACCTCTGTGGCACACAGTCATTTAACATAATAATTATAATTATTACTGATAACTTATACTAAGTCATATTAGAATTATAGGTGTTTTACATAATTTTGAAATATGTGTCAATAACATATTTGCACAAATATAGCCCAAAGAAAGCCAAACACCATGTCATATTTGACAATGCTTTCTGTATGATTTTTATACCAAATAAGCCAAATGTCATTTTTGGACTTTAAAGAACCTAATATCTAAAAGGTTAAAAAGAGACATAATTTATAATTTGGTTTTGGAACGTTTGTCAAATATCAAAGGTTTAAAACACTGAATATCACAAAATAGCATCCCAGGTCACCATAAGTCATCCATTTGGCCAAAATGATAGCTCCAAAAATTTTAAAAAGGAAAAATCTTTACTCTGATAGAGGAGACTTAGCTTTCCAACAAGACCCAGTGAAGATAGCATGAGGCCAACTGAGTCTGTCTTTTCTCTCTCCTCCCCTTTTTCCCTGCCACTTACCTAAAAGAGGAAAGAAAACCCTTTCATTATCCTTTAATATTACATAAAAATCATCTTCAAAAGAGAAAACCAAATTTCATGTTTGCATTAGTGCATCTTTAATGCTAAAGCTAGTTTTTAAATAAAATTTTATATATCTGTCCAGTTTTAATTAGTTTGACCATAAGGTAAGATTTTCATGAACTTTTTAGAACCCTTTCCAATTTTCCATCAAACAGCAGATCAATTTTCTAAGCAAACCCTATTATTCGGACACGTGGGCCCAGACGCTGGCCCTGTATCAGTATGGTTTTAGTGTTTTAACTTATGGAGAAAAGCTAAATAATTTCTTTCAAATCTTAGCCAACTTGTTTATACCCACAGAATTTTTTTTTTTTTTTTTTTTACAAATCAACCCTTTACAAACCCTTTTCACTTTGAGTAAGCCTTCGGTTTTATCCCATTACTCTTTTAGGTTAACACAATCTTTAAAACCCTCTGAACTAGACAAAATTACATTCCCTTTAACAGAAGCCATATTCCCATACCTTCTTATAATCTTTTATCAAAAACACATTCCCTACACACCATGTATGTAAAGCTGTTTCTCCAGTGGTCTCAATGTTACATTGTTAATTCTTAGCAGCTTTTGTTTTTAGTGAAAACCCTGATGAGTAAGTGATTTTAATTATGTACTGGGTGGAGCCCAGGACATCAGGCAGAAGTGAAGATGAGGTCTGACTCTTTTCAGCATGGCCAGGGGCATGGCTCTCCACAGCTCCCCAGGCCTCCTCTGTCATCTAATCCTCCAAAGCAGGTAAACTGAACAATTTTTCCAAAGGAAACAGTTTGACCTTAAAGCATTTAGCAAATCTGATATCTGACCTTAATTTAGACCAAATACCTACATTTTCAAGACATGTTATTTTACCAGTAATCTTTAAAACTGTCTTTATTTGCAAAAGATTACTAAAGCCATTTGAAGAAAAAGGCATTAAAGATTTTTTCTGTCAAAATATTTCATTTACATGCTTATTTTTCTAAGCCAATTATCAGAGCTCTTTTACATACAAACATCACACACCCAACACATATAAATACGCAGACAGAAATACAGAAGATTTAGCACTTGTAACATTTTTCATTTGCCAGTTTTCTTAATTGGATTACTGACTTCAGGGTGGAGCCCTTGAAGGAACAGAGTCAGGAAAGCATGCAATTCTTGGGCCAAATAAGCAGGAACAGGTGAAGGCAAAGACAGATCCCCAAAGTTAAGGGTGCCATTTTATACTGGATCTTGAATCCTCAAAAGGAGGAAAATCCTACAGGAGAAGAGACAGTGCAATGCTTCTACGTGCATTTCATGGCAAGGCCACCCAAAGCCAATCAGCCCATCCCCCACGGGAGCTTCATCTCTCAGCTGAGGGTGGGGACCTTTCCATGTCTTCCAGGTGTCCACGAGCATTTGCTTCTCTGATCCAAGTGTGCAGTCAAGTATCCCTCCATAACTACTGCTAGCCATCCCCTAAAGTATTTCCTACCTTGTTATTACACACCCAAGCTCTCTCGTAATGTGAAGTAATTTCTTAAAACCCCAAGAACTCAAAACTGTCAGATAACACAATGCAAAACAGAGCAGAGCTTTTGATTTTGAGAGGGATCTATCCGCTTTTAGTTCCTAGGGTTTCATGAGGAAAACAGAGCTTTTTTCCAAAACAGGGTCTATGGTGCCTCCTGTTTTTTTCAAGGAGTACCAGGCTACCAGAAGAGGACCTCTCATGTATGCATTAAGATTAGCAAGACAAAAAAATTGAGAAAAATAATTAAGTCGACTGAGAAGAAAAAAACCTTTTTTCCAGAAAAACAAGATCCAAGAAGGGAACAACATAAATGCCTTTTAAATATATCTATAGCTTGTTTATCCACTTTTAATCAAGCTGACTTTTAACCAGAGCGCTCTTAAAAAAAAGTCCTTTTAAATTTCTTATTACCCGACTTTAGCCAGGCGGCCAATATTTCTGGCTTTTGAACTTTACCAAAGGTGACCTCCCAGATGCTTCAAAGACATGGTAAGCAGTTTCTTTTTTACAAGATTTAGAATCTTCCCAAGGTAGTTCAGAGAAAGGAAAATTCAAGAGAAGAAATCAGAAACTCCCTGGGGGGGGGAAAAACAACTCAATAAATGGCAAAATTACACAACTAACAAATCAGAAAGGAATAATTCCAGAAAGCAAGAATTGAACCCAGGCCACCATCATCAAAAGGCAAAGCCTTAGCTACTGTATTATGGCATTGAGCAGTTTTTATTGCTTTTCCCAGAAGGGTCCTAGAGAAGCCAATTTCAAGCTTGCCAAGGCTTTTAACTGGTCAAGAAAATTTTTAGGGCTATGACATGAACTCTAAAATTCCTGTCCTCTAAGACCGAATCTAAGAGAATCTAAGGCCGAATCTAAGAGAAAGTGTCTGCACATGGTCACAAGGTTAAGCTCTTAAGGACACAAAACAAGACAGAGATATTTCATCTGGTATTGGTTTCAGGAACCCACAGCAAAATTTGTAACTGACCAGTCTGCTGGGCTGGCTTGTAATGCAGGTTATGGGGTCCTAAACCCACGTTCTAGCCTGTGCTATCCCTCTGTCCATTACAGAACACAGAAAGACAAATTCTCAGCACAAAGTACACCAGATTTGCTATAACCTAAGAGTAGTCTCACAAATCCCTTGTCTATTAATCAAACCCTTGCAGAGAGACAAATAGTGACGATTACCGTTTACACAGACAGAGGAAGAGAGAGAGACCAGAAACTTGGCTGGTAAGAATTTCTTACCCTTTTTGCCGGCATACCAGGTTTCCGGGCTCCCTTTCTCTGCAGCTTCCAGAAGAATGGAGCAGCTCTGATGACCCTGCTCGCTAGTGCCATGGCTGTGGGGTTCAAACCACTTTACAAGAGAAAATCACCCCTTTCTGTGTTATGGAACCACAGACAAGATTCTTAATTTGCAAGATGCTGCCCAACAGGCTGCCTGGGGAACCCAATTAACATTTTCCATCCCAGCGAAATACACATAACAAAACAGACATGAATCACCTCATTCAGCACCCACTATCAGCCTGGCAAAGCCCAAACTTTCTCCCGTTGGTCTCTGTTGTCTTTGATCCACCCCAGCTGGGGCGGGATGACCTCCAAAGGGTAATTCACAATGGGGTCTCTGGGCAAGGCGAAGAGCACATAGTCACCCCGAGACAGGCCTGCTGAGCATTTTTCAGGGCTCACCGAATGTGACCAGACAAATAAGGAGGGTTCTCTGAGTTAGGCCTGCTGAACGTCCATCAGCAATTCCCTCTGAGATCCCCTCCACATATACAAACACACATAAAGACAAGATGAACACAGCGTTTTCCAAATCAGATCCCTAACCAAGAACTCCAAGAGTGTCCCTTCCAAACTGTCCTTCTATTCTCCATCTGAGAAATCTCCTCGAAATCTTCCTGATTGAGGAGAAGTCTCCCAAACCAAGACTCTTTCTACTAGTTAGAAAGAGCCAACTGAGGCTGGGCGCAGTGGCTCGCGCCTGTAATCCCAGCACTTTAAGAGGCCAAGGCAGGAGGATCACTTGAGGACAGAAGTTCGAGACCAGCCTGGCCAGTGTGGTAAAATCCCATCTCTACAAAAAATGCAAAAATTAGCCGGGCATGCTGGTGCACACCTGTAGTGCCAGCTACTCAGGAGGCTGAGGCAGCAGAATCACTTGATCCCAACTCAGGAGGCAGAGGTTGCAGTGAGCCAAGATTGTGCCACTGCACTCCAGCCTGGGTGACAGAGGGAGACTCTGTCTCAAAAAATAAATATAAAAGAAAGAGCCAACTGAGACCCCCAGGAGACAAACTGAGACAGACACCCCGAATTGGGTTACAGACACAGACACCCCATGGTGGAGCTACAAGCCAACATCCCTCAGTGGGGCTACAGACACCCCACCGGAGGGTACAGAACCAGTCAGCAGAAGGAAGGAGGCATTGGCAATGCCTAGGATACTCACCAACCCAGATATCCTGCAATGGGGTTACAAACATATACCCCACCATGGGGCTACAGACAGACATCCTGTGATAGGGTTACAGTTAAGAGATGCCTCCCCAGGACTATAATTCTATTGCAATTAAATCCATGCATATTGCGTCGGCAGCGCCCCACCAGCAGAGAGAATACCACAATTAGCCCCTAGTCCGAGAGAACTACGTGGCCGCTTGGTCTGGCCTCTGGATCCATCGCTGGAGAGGGGGCTACTGAACCATGGGCAGGCAGCCACAAGGGCAATCCCGGATGAGCCCACACATTTGTAACTGCCCAAGGGGTTCACCTTGCCCACTGCCTAGACAGAGCTGATTTATCAAGACAGGGGAATTGCAATAGAGAAAAAGTAATTTACGCAGAGCCAGCTGTGCGGGAGAAGAGAGTTTTATTATTACTTAAATCAGTCTCTCTGTTTAGATTTTTAACCCATTGCTTATATTTTGTTCTATGTGAGTGAGAATGGGCTACTAGGAATAAGAAAATATATTCTTTCTTTGATTCAGTTGAGTATGACCGTAAACGAAGGGTGCAATACTCATGGAATTTTCCACCGAAAATTATGTGTATATTTGAAATCAAGCAGAGCAGTGCAACAGAAAAATCAACAAAGATGCCAGATCCTTATCCTTGGAGGATAAAAAAAGTAGGCATGTGTGAAAGAGATTAGGACTGCCTGACATATGATGGTTAGTTGAATTTAGTCTGAATTTCAGTGGAGTCCAGCTGGGAAAACAAGACTGCATGAAATACCTAGAAAACAATACCAGGCAATCCACAATTCACTGTGAGATTGTGTAATAAGCGATGTTCTTAAGGAAGTCCATGAGCGCAGGAAGGTATTTGCTTTGAGAGGATTCCAGTGCCCTTACTTCCTCTTCAGTTCCCGTCACTGGCCTTTTATTGATGTGTATTAGTTTGAGACTTCAAAACCCAATCTCATGTTTCAAGGTACAGATGTAACTGTACATTAGATACTCAAAAGCCGAGGATGAGGTCTCGGGATCAGCAAAGCTGGCCACCTGCCTTGAGAGCGGCTCCTACCCCCTGCAGGCGCCCCCTGATCTCAGGTGGTGCCTTCAAATCCTTTGTAGAGGCTGGGGGAGGGGAAGGAGGAGCACATTTGTTAATGAGGGGGAAAATGCTGTGTGCTTTCAAGGGAAAATGCTAAATTCATTTCAATAGCATATGAATTACTTGCTGTTAAGGAATAGGCACCCTTCATCTCAATAGAACCCTGTCTTTCAAAGCCTTCACTTCCGTATCCTTGAGGTTTCTCTTCAAAGAGGGCTGAGCACATTCACCCAGGCACTAGGAGGCCCTGTGCATTTTTTGTCCTGCTGTTTCCATGGATAATTTAAAAAGAATTATGAATATCTCAGTCCTTAGAGAGTCAAAGAGCCCCGAGACCGCTCAGTCTAGGTCTGCTGGAGTGGCTCCCTTTGTGGGTCCCTTTGCTGGCTGAAACCTGGCCAGAGGTCGCGGGGGACAGCACCCTGTCTTATCATAAGTTCCTCAAATGATTGTTGTATAGTATAGACCAATGTATCACCTGCTGACGCTGGAGAGGGCACTGTGATTTTAAGATGAGCTGAAGCATGAAGTTTTACTGATTTGTTTTCATGTGGACATTGTTAGCCTGCAGGTCGTAATCTGTAGTAATGATTGTGACCTCTGAGTTGCATCCTCCAAAAGAAAGAAGACTACTCATTTAAACTCTCCTACAAAAACCTTTGGCCTTGTGACAGACTCCAGAATGCTGTCAACTCCGTGGGTATGTCTTCCCAGGTCCAACCTCACATTTGGCTTTCAATAAACTGTGATAAAATTATTTCTGCCTCAACAGTCTTAATTTCAGCTGACAATCTCAAGTCCACCAGTGATGAGGGGAGCAAAGCAAAGGACACAATTTGCACAGCATCTTATTGTTATGGGAGGAGAAGTGGCTGCCAACAGGACCCCAGGACAATGGGAATGCAGTTGGCTTCAGATAAGAGACAAAAATGAGGCTTCAGATGAAAGTTAACGCCTAGGATAACAGGCTGTGTGAGCGGGTTGTATTTGATGGGAATATTGAGTATGGGCCCGTGATTGAGAACTCACAATTACAAGAAAAACTTTTTTTATAATGTACATTTGCTCTTTGTCAAAGTTATACTGCAAGGAAGCTGACATGATTTCAGAGTTCAAAAATATAAAACAAACTGGACTCAGTCATCTCTCTCACTGTATGTGAATAACAAAGAAAGAAAGAATTGGTGTAACAAACTATGACTCCACAGAGATCCAACAGTACCGTTTCTTAGGAAGTCTAAACCAAAAAGTGTCTGAGGCTGGTCCCAATCAGTGTAAAGGTTTATTCTGTCAAGTTTGAGGATGTGCCTGGGAACAGGGAACACAAAAGCACAGGAACATCTGTGATCTGTGCTTTTTCTTTTTCTCTTTTTCTTTTTCGAGATGGAGTTTTGCTCTTTTTGCCCAGGCTGGAGTGCAATGGCACAATCTCAGCTCACCGCGTCCTCCTCCTCCCGGATTCAAGTAATTCTCCTGCCTCAGCCTCCCGAGTAGCTGGGATTACAGGCATGCGCCACCACGCCCAGCTAATTTTGTATTTTAGTAGAGACGGAGTTTCTCCATGTTGGTGAGACTGGTCTCGAACTCCCGATCTCAGGTGATCCGCCCGCCTCGGCCTTCCAAAGTGCTGGGATTACAGGCATGAGTCACCGCGTTGCCCAGATCTGTGCTTTTTCTAAGAGCATTTTGGGCCTTCAATATTTAAAGAGGAAAAGTGAGCAGGAAGGGAAAGAGGGAGCATAGGGTCACATTCTTGTGAGTCTTTGATTAGACTTACTGAATCCACGTGTTGTGTGTGAAAAGGAGGGGAAGAGGGAACACTCAGTTATGTATTCATGTCATGCTCAGTAAGTTGGCACTTATCTAAGATAAGGTGACCACAGAGCAGCTGCCTGTGGAGACACCTGGCCTTCTATGTGAGGCTATCTGCTTAGGAACAAAAGGAAAGGCAGTTTCTTGCATGACTCAGCTTCCAGCCTTAACTTTTCCTTTTGGCATAGTGAATGGGTTCCCGAGATTTTATTTTCCTTTCACAGAAGGAAGCTGATCCCTGCTGGCCTCACACAGAAAGGGGAATAGCCACAGGGCCCAGGGTGGAATTTTCACCAAGTCCATTTGCAGAGGGTGTCCTTGCGGTGGGTCCAAGACAATGCCCCCTTGTTCTGCACACTGTTCCTACCCCATCCACAAAGATGGACCTTGTGGCAATGTTGGTGGCCTCTGAGCACCTCCTACGCCAGGTGAATTAGCCTGGGGGGATGTACAACTCAAACAGATCACGATCTGCCTCTTTTACTAAGAATTGTGTTTTGGAACTGTCAGAGAATTGAGGCACTTTTTCCTTATGAATGAAATTAGGGGAAAAAAATGCATGCTTCATTGTTAAGGAAATACAGCAATATTGAATCAGGTACCTGATTGGATCAAGGTTGATACTGGAAATGCCCATCAACAAGCCCTTAACTTGAACTTACTGTGTCGGTAACAAAAAGGGGTACAAACTTATCTCTCTCCTGAGAAGCTTCAAGTTGTCCCCGCTTTCCAGACTGAATCAATGTACTTCTTGCATATATTGATTGATGTCTCACATCTCCCTAAAATGTAGAAAACTAAGCTGTGCCCCGGCCACCTTGGGCACATGTCGTCAGTACCTCCTGAGGCTGTGTCACGGGTGCGTTCTCAACCTGGGCAAAATAAGCTTTCTAAGTTAACTGAGACCTGTCTCAGATTTTCAGGGCTCACAGATGGTAAAAGGAAAGAAATCTGTAGACATATGAAAGATAAATTGAGTCTTCCTGACATGAGGGCATTTCAGTAAACACTTTCCTAGAGTCAGGGGCTCACAGCATGTTAAATCTCCTCTCGGAAAGTTCATACTTCTCTTATTTTGGCAGACTCTGTACATTCTACTAAAATCCAACAAATATTTGCTGAATGCAAACGAAGTACAAAACCCAGGGCAAAATGCTCTCTGGCTTCTGCTCACTTCTGGGCCTGGGGCAGTCCCGCAGAACAAGCCTTGTTCCATCTTCAAAACACTAGGGATGGGGCAGATTTTACCAGAACCCCCATGGGCACAGGAGCACTTACAGACCCTCTACTGCAGCATGGAATCTTTCTTCTACGTATTTATTTTTTTTTTAACTTTATGTGATATTTTTCTTCATAGATCACAAGGATAACAGTTGCGTGAGCTTCTAGAGACTGTCTGGCCCAGTGCATGACATGCAGTTGGTGTTAACTAATAGCTGATGAGCAGATAAATCAAGACACTCAGTTCCTACAAAATAAGAGACACAGTGTGAAGGCAGTGGGGTAAAGGGGTTTAAAAACAACTTCCGAACATCCGGGCTGGGGAGGGATGGGGGACAGAGGAGAGGAGGACTAGAAAGCGAAGGCCAGGCATGCCCATCCTCTCCGCTAAGCCCTGTTCATTAGGTTTATCCACACAGAGCTCATGTTGCCCACTTGAGTAGATACTGATCATGGCTTTCGGGCCACTGGAAATACACAGCTCAATATCATTCATTAACTGAACACACTGGGTAAGAAAAACACAGGATATTGGGGATTCCTTGGAAAAACAGAGTCTTGCCTTTAGTGCCCACACACAGCCCATTTTCCTGAGAAGGGCCCTGGTCCCGTGTCCGGGGTGCAGACCCACAGTCTGGGACTCTGAGGGCGGTCGCCACAGGTGGGTGCGTTGACAAATCGTGGCTGCTTGAGAACATTGGGAGATCTTGCTACAGAGGTCCGTGGGTCCTTACCTTGGGAACGCCGGACACAGCGCACACAGCCCACCAACCCCAGACCCCTGGTGGTATCACGCTGTAAGCACAGAACTCCTACTCGCCTTGTAGTCCTCTCCATAATCCTCTCCAGTTCTCAAAACACATCATCAGCTTGATTTTCTCCTCGGCTGTGCCAGCATAAGCCAACCTGTTCCTTCCCACACCGTCTGGGCCTTCGGGCCCTGCCAGGTGGCACCACTGCAGAGGGGCAGCACTGAGTGGGACACGTAGGTGTGTAGTTACCTGCCCAAGGGAGGGTGGCTGACCATCTGGGACACCATGCCCAGGCACACTCCCTGCTATGCAGGCTGGCCCTGAGCCATGGCGTTTAGGCCAAGGGAAAGGGCCCTGGCTGGCATTTGTCACAGGTCTCCCCTTGTCTAATGTGCAGAATTCAGGAAATACTTTTTGAAGGCAGGATTGCCATGTAGCCAGCTGTCTGCCAGGGTTCATCCCAGGGACCAACCCCACTGTGTGCTTCTTTACAGCTCATCATAAACCGGTCAGGAGAAAAGGAGTTGCCAGCCACGGGGGTGACGTGAGCCGGGGCCTAAATGACTGGTGGCAAGCCGGGACTCACACTGGATTGCAGCCTGATTAGGCTTGCGGGGCCAGAGGGGATGAGAGTTAGCCAGGGCGGTGGAAACGGCTTCCCTGCCACTGCCGTTGTCTCAGGTGGCTGTGTCTGGTGCCTGAGCGCTCCGGTTCACAGTTTCTTTACAACCACCGCGGTGGGAGTTCTGGGGGCCGCCTGGGGAAGCAGCTCAACCACAAGAATGGGCAGCCCAGAGGGCAGGTGGGGGCTTAGCTTACCTGATAGAGTTCTTTCTAGAAAATTCCTTTATAGAAGTATAGTTTTCCTTAAAAATTTTGTTCTTCTTAAATTAGATGTTCTTCTTAAAAATACAGAAATAGGCCAGGCGTGGTGGCTCAGGCCTGTAATCCTAGCACTTTGGGAGGCCTAGGCGGGCGGATCACGAGGTCAGAAGCTCAAGACCAGCCTGGCCAACATAGTGAAACCCTGACTCTACTAAAAATACAGGAAGATGAGCTGAGCATGGTGGCGGGCACCTGTAGTCCAAGCTACTCGGGAGGCTGAGGTAGGAGAATCTCTTGAAGCTTGGAGGCAGAGGTTGCAGTGAGCTGAGATCTCACCACTGCACTCCAGCCTGGGAGACAGTGGGAGACTCCGTCTCAAAAACAAGACAAAACAAAACAAAATACAGAATAGTATATAGGTGCATCCAGTAAAAAAAGGATACACGCCCCTTTCCTCTCAGAAATTTAATTATCTAGAGAAGAGTTTGATGTCTCTCTCTCTCCCTAGATATATATTTACACACACACACAATGAGCCTATATTTTATATATATGCATGTCCATATATACATGTATCTATTTATATTCATGTATACATATGCATATGTATACGATTTTTCATACATGTTATGTTTAGTCAAAACTTAAGCAATAACCTTCAATGCTTGTCTTTACAAGATGTTCTCCCTTCATCATATCAAGTACCTTTCCAGTCTGTCTTTCTACAGCTTTCCAGCAAATCCTTTCCAAAGTCAGTGGAGAAGTTTCCAGCAGGAGCAGCTGCTGAGAGACCCACATTGCACATACAGGCCTTACCGCCCGCTGAGCGGGAAGAAGCGGCACAGTGGCTTCTCAAGGGACCACTGAAAAGAGGCGGTCATTGCACCGTAGCTGGAAACAAACGGGGAAAATGCCTCAGTCTCACCTGCTGACACTCGCTGAGATTTTAGAAGCCACGCGCTGCAATAGCGGCTGGAGCGAAGGGACTGCAAATAGGTCACGTCACCCAGGATGGCGTTATCTCGCTTGAGGACAGAGTTCAAATTGTATGGATGTTTGTGGTTGTGAGAGCAAAGGCACGAAATCTTTGGAGATTTTTGGACATAATTTACTATCACTGTGTCTTTGTCTGCATAGACAAAAATAATTGATAGAAAAAATCCCCAGGAAATTCCAGCAGCATCAGCACTTTCTGCCGCTCATCAAGGCACAGGAGACAAAGAGGTACTTGGCCCTCAGCTGTCCAATCACAGGCCGGCTTCCTTGGCTGTCAAGTCACAGTCGTACTTCGCTGTCACCTGTCCAATCACAGCACGGCTTCCTCGGCTAATCACTGCACGCAGCTGGATCTTTTCCACCCAAAGAGCCACTTGCTCCACTTTGCGGGGCTGGCAGAAAGGGCTGCTGAGCTGCAGACCTGGTGATGCCTGGGTCCAGCCGAGCTGCTCTCTACAAACCCGGGTGCTGCTCTGTCACCCATGTGTAGATGCGATGTGGATAGCGTGTGTACCTGCCCCATACTCCCTATCATTCCATCTGCTGCTCTAATTTTGGGATCGCACTTCTTCTCACCATGGGAATTTGAATTCTCTGTTTTGCTTAGTTGTTCACTGTCTGTTTCCTCCACTAGAACTAGGCTTCTGTGAGAATGGAGACCCCCGGCTCTTTTATCAGTGTGGTACCCCAGTACCTTGGGAAGCATACCTGGTCCAGGGTAGACGCTCAATAAATAGTGTGGATGACTGTAGAAGTGGGTGCTGTATCCCAGGCTGCAGAGGGCTCATGGGAAAGGAAAAGGACCTACGAACTTGGAAAATAAAAAGGATGTGTGTGTGCATGTGTGAGTGTGTGTGTGCACAGTTCACACGAGTGTGTTCTGAACCAGGACCTACACGATCCCCCTGACTATGAGAGTGGAACAGGCCAGATTCTCCGCACTCGGGCTCACCTAGCTTTGTCGCCCTGATAGAAAGAGTGGAAGACAGTGATCAGTCACAGAGCTGCTGCTCTCCTTCACTCTGGTGCAAAATGAGGGTGCCTTAGCCCAATCAGATGCTGCTGTTCAGGGGCCCTGCAGACCCTCGACAGTCTTGGATGAGTAGTCAGGCCACTCACATGCCCCAGGTGGAGACGTGGGCTGAGAGAAAGACCCAGAATCCCAGGACATCACCAGCAGCTTCAACCACGCCATGGAGGCTGGGAGGATTCACAAATGGTGTGAGGATGGGAGTATTTCCAGCCAGCCTTGCTTTCCAGACCCCTCAATGGGTCTGCCCTCTCTGATAAGTAATGGAAATTAGCTAAGGGTCTTGGCTGAGGGCCTGACACAGCCAACTGGCCCCAAAGCTTTTTCTCTGATTGGCTCTCTGGGTTCTCCTTGGCCGAGGAAGAAGCCAGAGCCCCAAATGCCCGCTCAGCTCAGGAGGTGGCCTGTCTAGCCAGGGGAAGGCGGAGTGGTCAGCCCCTGCCAAGATTTAAGATGCTTTGGAACATTTGCTAAGAGAAAATACTCTCTCAAGCCATGGTTGTATTTACACAAATTGTTCTTCCTTAAACACACACACACACACACACACAGCATGAGTACATTTATTTCCAAAGTGTGAAATTCCCTAAAGTAGCCAAGAACTCGTTCTATTCCCTATAGATACCTTCTTCATCTTTATGCAGATAAAATGGTATAAGATACGTTCGAATTTATTTGGTGTTGCTTTTATTAACAAAGATTTCAGATGTAAATGTCAAGAAAATTGATATTAATTTGCTTACATGAGTACATTCCTTAAAAAAGCAAACCATTGAGTAGACTTCCCTTATATTAATCTTTGACTTTTTAGCCGGAAGTTTGGTGATTTACAAGGTGATTCTACAGCATGAAGAACACATGGCGCCTGTGGTGAACTCAGCCGTAGCAAAACGGTGCCATCTAGTGGCTGGTGAAGTCTCGGTTTTCCGGAACACGCGTGCTCTGAGCTTTGTATCACCCAGGGCATCTGTCATTTTAACGTCCAATGAGTGACCTGCAGATTCGAGCAGATCTACAGAACCACTTCTTTTCTCAAGCTGATAGAGCCCAGATGTTAATTTTAAGGACTGAAGTGGCTATTGACACCTTTTAAATCCTTTACACGTACCCCTCTTTGGCCTTTGGCAGGTCAGCCCTGGGCCGGGCCATGGCTCCAGTGCACACACAGAGCTCATAATGCCAAAACCAGCTCTGAGAGCCAAGCCAGCTCTGGGTTTCTAGAGGTTGCACTCTCTTCCCTCAGGCAACTCCACGTCTGCAGGAATGTGTAGGCTGCGGGAAGGCAGCCTCAGGGGTCGGGTAAGATAAGAGTGTCCCTTTGCTTATGATGAGACCACTGGGGGACCTGCCCTGTGGTCTCATCCTAAGACCTGCCCTGGTCACAGGAACACTGGGGGATGCTGGGAACTATCTCCTCTAAGAGTAGCATTTTATTCTGCTACAGAGAAAAGGCAGAGAGTGAAATATACTGGTCATTTTTTAAAAATCCCTTTGAACATAGATTAAAAGGAGGAACTGGGAGGAAGGGGGAGAAAAAGCAGACGTAACTGAAGCCATGGTTTCAGAAATTCAATCCCAGTAGAAGTGCTGGAGGGACAGGGAGGGTGTGGCTGGGAAGGATGGAAACAGACCAGGTTTATTTGTGCACAAAGGGAAGCTCCTTAGAAGGCACAGGCTGGTGAAGGGGAGGGGAAGAGCAGCCTCTGGAAACAGCCCCCAGAGCCAGAGAGCGAGTCCTAGAGGATGGGGCTGGTGAGTTGAAGCAACCAAGGGAGAAAGACCAGCAGACAGTGCAATAAAACATCAGGAAGGTCCTCTAATATCAAAATACAGGTCATCCGTGGGAACTAATGAGAGGCCAGAACTGAAGTAAACTAAAGTGTTGCCAAAAAATAAAAATAAGGTCCAAGTTGATTGATCGATAACACGGTTAGTATGAAGAAGTCCACGTTATGCTAATTTCTTTACGTATTATTCCAATTTGTATTGTCTCTGAAAGTCAAAATATCATCTTAGTCAATTAACATTTATTGAGGATAACATTTATTGGTGAAGTTGAACCATATATGTATCTTGAAGTTAACATTTTTGCCATATATCAGGTGCTGGTGCCAGGCTCTGCTGAGCTCTGAGGTGCTTTGTGCTGGCTGGCCATGTTTTCCACAAGGAGATGCATGAAAGGGTTTTGGAGGAAGGTCATTAGGGAGAGAAGGAAGCTGGGGCAGTGTGTGTGGCCGCTTGCCGGAGGGTGTGCGTACTGGGTGGTGTTGAAAATGACACAGATGAGGACTTAGGGTAGGAACCCTGAATTTCCCAAAAACCCCATCTAAGGCCCCGAGGGGTGTCAGAGGCCCAAAGAGGCAAGACTGCGTGTCTAAGAGATGCTGATGAGGTGAGATGAAGTGTCCTCTCGGAGGTGAGCATGGCTCACATGAGACCCTCTTCCCTTCAGGAGAGACTTCACCATTCTGCCTTTATCTGGCAAACACTCGGGGCTTAGAAAATGGAAAAAGCAAACCCACAAACGAACTACAGGCCAATGTTTCTGAGATGACAGACCTGGCTGCTGTCCCTGCACTGAGGATAAAGAGCACACGTGACCTCATAGATCGTGGACTGAACACTCCAGGCACTTCCTTTCTTGTCTTCCTGGTGGGTTGCGTATCCACAGGACAGCTGAAAATCACCTTTGAACAAACCCACACTGTTGGATTTAAGGAGCCGTGTTTCACAGTCCTTTCTGCTGCCCCAGTAATGCAGGTGGACCTAGTGAAGCTCTTCACCAAAATGTGTGTGTACTTGGCCCAGCGCCACACTCTGGCTCGTCGGGATCAAGGCCTGGAGGCTGGAAGGGGTAGACTGGACCCGAGGCCAGGCCGGGGCATTGCTTAACAGAACAAATACTGATTTAATGGAGGGGAGACAAACAGCAACTCACTTTGGTGTTCTTGGCAGTGCAGAATTATAACCTAGTGGCATGTCACGTCGCTGCTGGACTCTTAGCTACGTTACCAATAAGCATCAAACAGCATTTGTTTAAACTGTCCCCTGGATGTGTGGCAGAGCCGGTGTTTCACTGAGCTCCCCAAATGCACATCCCATTACCAGAAGTGCACCATGACTTATCTGAACTTACATGAATTTTAAAATGTATTTACACATTAAATGAAAAGGAGAACACTGGGACAAATATCCCCACAATATTCCATACGATAACTCTCCAAATGCTCCCAATGAATGTGATCATTCATATTTGGTTTTTGTTCTTCGTGAGCTATGTAAATAGTGGACTCAACTCTCCTTTTCCTTATATGGACACATGATACTCTCAGGGAAAGCCTTGTTGAATTGTGCAAACAAAGTTACCTAAGGTCAAACAAAGAGTATCAACGTCCAAGTCCGGTGAATGACTGGAATAAAGACTCCCTTTAATAAGGGATGCTAATTTAAATTGAAACTATTTCTGTCTTTCTGTACAGGAAAAAGTAATTTTTTTCAAAAATAAATCAAATTAGCTTGGCATGATGGCTCACGCCTGTAATCCCAGCACTTTGTGGGGCCAAGGTGGCGGATCACTTGAGCTCAGGAGTTCGAGGCCAGCCAGGCCAACATGGTGAAACCCCATCTCTCCTAAAAATATAAAAATTAGCCAGGCGTGGTGGCACATGCCTGTAGTCCCACTACTCAAGAGGCTGAGGCTGGAGGATCACTTGAACCCGGGAGGCAGAGGTTGCAGTGAGCTGAGATCACGTCATTGCACTGCAGCCTGGGCGACAGAGCAAGACTGTCTCAAAAAAAAAATGTTGGGGAAAATATTTTCACATACTTGAGAAGCTCCTGGGGACTTTGTACTCGCAATCGTCATGCGTGAGTGGCATTTTAGTACTGCGTTCCTGCACTCCTGGCAGGCTGGCTCTCCATGCAGCACAGCACACACACAAGGTCTCTGTTCTCTATTTTTTGAAAAAGCTGGAAATTTTATGTAGCTTTGGCTACATCTCAAGAGCAGCTCTCTTCATTTTTGTTTTTCTAAATAGCAAGTTAGATTTCTAATTTTATTCTCCCCAAATGTGTGCTTTCTTTTAAGAAAATATGTGGGATGTAATCCCAGCACTTTGAGAGGCCGAGGCAGGTGGATCTCCTGAGGTCAGGAGTTCAAGACCAGCCTGGCCAACATGGCGAAACCCCATCTCTACTAAAAATACAAAAAATTAGCCAAGTGTGGTGGCAGGCACCTGTAATCTGAGCTACTCCAGAAGCCGAGGAACAAGAATTGCTTGAACCCGGGAGGCAGAGGTTGCAATGAGCCAAGATCGTGCCACTACACTCCAGCCTGGGCGAGAGAGCAAGAATTTGTCTCACCAAAAAAAAAAAAAAAAAAAAAAAAAGAAAAAGAAAAAGTGTAGGCCAGGCACGGTGGCTCACGCCTGTAATCCCAGCACTTTGGGAGGCCAAGGCAGGCATATCACCTGAGGTCGGGAGTTTAAGACCAGCCTGACCAACATGGAGAAACTCCGTCTCTACTAAAAATACAAAATTAGCCATATGTGGTGGCGCATGCCTGTAATCCCAGCTACTCAGGAGGCTGAGGCAGGAGAGTCACTTGAACCCCAGAAGCAGAGGTTGCAGTGAGCTGAGATCGCGCCATTGCACTCCAGCCTGGGCAACAAGAGTGAAACTCCATCTCAAAAAAAAGAAAAAGAAAAAGAAAAAGAAAATATGTGGGACACGTACTTTCCTAATTAACGACACTGAATAAAACCCAGTGCACTTTGTCCTCACCTTTCAGTCATCACTGCTCAATTTAAAGACTGATCATTACAGTCTCCCACATAGAAGCAGGTCAGAGGACTTCACCATTCAAGCCCCTCCTTCCTGGGGCAGAATTGAGGAAGCCCGGGCCCGGGTCACTGTCCCACTGGGCTCCAGCCATCCCCCGGCCTCTCAAGGGGAGATCTGTGCCAGGCACTCCTCTCTGCTTATTCCCTCGGACAGCTAACGAAAGATGGGTGCAGTTGCCATGGCAACCCTTCCCCGCCAATGCGCTGCCGTGAAGATACAGAATGTCTAGTCTAAAAATACTCTTTTGCCCTGACTTCTCTTCAATGCCCCATTCACTTAACTGTCTTCTTTGACCAAACAACATCGTTGGGCTTCTCATCCACATCCCAGTGTTTGAGGACGGGAGCAGCATCCTGGTCTCTTTAACCCTGGGCCACCTGGGAAGAGGAGGCAGACAGGCCAGGCTGAGAGCAATGCTTTGTCTTTTTAAATACAGCTTTTATTTTGAAATAGTTTTAGATTTACAAAAAAGTTGCAAATGTAGTACAGAGAGTCCCCTTGAAAGGTACCAACCTATAGATCCAACGCATTTACCCCGTAGGCCCTGTGCCAGCTTCCCCAAATGCTGAGCATCTCACAGAGCCACGGCACATTCGAACAGCTAGGAAGTAACGCTGCCATGTGACAGTTAGTCGGGGGACAGCCTTTATTTGGGTTCCTCCAGGCTTCCCACGAGGTTCTTTTTTCTGTGCCAGGATCCTGTCCTGGATTCCCTGTTGGACTCAGTCATCGGATCTTCTGGCTGCTCTGTGACAGCTTTTCATTTTCCTTGTTTTTCATGACCTGGACTCTTTTGAAGAGCACCGTAGTCTGTAGACTGTTCCTTAATTTTGGTTTGTTTGCTGTTTTCTCATGATTAGGCTGGGGCTGTGGGTTTGCGGAGGACAGCTCCCTGGTGAGGCGCTTTCTTGTCCCGTCATATGGGGGATACAGGACAGGGACAGGCCTCCTCACCAGCGATGTTAACCTTGATCCCGTTGGCTCCGTGGTGCCGGCCACATCTCTCCACTGCAAACCCACTGCCTTCCCTTTCCACACGCGGTTCTGCGGGAGCGAGTGCCCAGGGAGCCAGCAGTCAAGAAGACAGCAGCTAATCTCCACCCTGAGGAATGTCTATGTGTACTCTGTAATTCTTCCATAAAAAACGCCTGTCCCTTCTCCCCGATGTATTTATTACTCAATCATTGATCTGCGTCAGCATGGGCTCATATATTTACTCTACACTTTGGGTCACCATCCATCGCCACATTATTTCTTCTGTGGCTGCTTTGAGCTCTTTCCCATTGGCTCTTGTGTCCTTCTGATGGGCCATAAATAGATATAGACACGTGTATGTGGCTTTTCTTTTCAGTGCATTCTTACTTTCTAGCACTAGAATGTATTCCACGCTTATCTTTTGTATTTTTCCCTTCTCTAGGGCAAGAATCAGCATTTCTCAGAGGAACCCACATTTGTTTTGTTGGAAAATTATATTAGAAGCCAAGATTTGAGTGCAGGCTGTGCTCATGGCTGCTGAGGTGCCGTTGTCTCCAGGCCCTCAGGGTTGGACAGAGGAGACACCTGCCTGTGTTCTGCCTGTGTACACACATCTGTGTTCATGTCTGTCTCCAGCTGCTTTCGCATTGCAATGCATGCAAGTTCATACGGATGCCTGGCCCCATCCAGCACCACAGGGCTTATTCTAGCCCCCACTGCGTAGCTGTCACTCCTTTCTGCAGCAGCCAGAAGCCTGGTTCCCACTAGGTATGACTGCTTCCTTATGTGTTCAATCTTGTACACATGTACAGTCATTTCAGAATTGTTGAAATACCGTTTTCAGTCTACTTTCCTTTTTAAAAAATGTCTTTCCCCACTATGTCATTAGCTGTGGGTATTTCCTTGCAATTACAAACAATAAATGCATTGCTCTCTTTATGTTTGGATTAACATAGGAGCCAAATCTTGAGTAATTCCCTGAAAAGCCTGACTTTAGTTATGACTGGCATTGGCCTCTCCTCCCCTAGCCTGGGCTGCTGTCATTCACACATGTGGCTTCCCCTTTCCCGAGTGGGTGAATGGTTCCCCCCATTCCTCCTCCTTGTTTTCTTGAAGGCAGTTCCAGCAGCATCCTCTGGGTCCTAGGCATCTCCCTCTGTGGGTGTGGACCCTGCTTCTGTGGGTAGAGCCGTGTTAGGAGACAGGCAGGAGTGAGGGTTTCACCTCTGTCTGGGGCCACACCCGTCTTATTCGGCCTCCTCAGTTCTGTGGTGTGACCAGGGGGCAGCCCGCTTTCCAGCCACCTTCTGGGTCCCAAGTCCTCCAGGCTGGGGACGCTACTGTCTCCCAAACACATCCAGGCAATTTTGAACACAAGTATGTGAGCTAGCAGACAGTCCAGCTCTTTCTCTCTTTGCTGTGAATCTCCCCTTTAGGGCCAGATTTTGGAACCAGACTCCGACAATGGGAAGTTCTTCATGTGACACATATGAAGCATTGAGGGCCCAGGAAGTTTAAGTTCATGAAAACCTCAGAGGGCTGAGCAGCACATGTCTGCTTAGGAGGAAGCTGAGCTGGCCTTGAACCAACCAGAACTTGATGAAGGGAGATGAGTCCCTTTCTTGGAGGACAGCAATTTCTAATCATGGCAGCACAATCTAAATTTCATCTTGAAATCTTGGAAAGATACCAACCCATATTCCCAAAAAGTTAGCTTAAAATTAGAGTTGCCTGTATTACTAGAATATTTATAACCTGGATCCATTGGCTCTGGTTCTCCGACCTGCCTGGAGTACAGCCGGGCACTTTTAGCCATAGAACGTGGCGTGGTCTACCACCTGTAGCCACGGTGTCTCAACTTGCATTTTCTTCCCTCAACCTTGGTTTGGGATCCAGTGCCAAGAGTCACCCTCAAAAAAAAGACAAGAGGTGTTTAGAATAGTCTTAGAAGCCACAACTAAATCTAAATTTGGTTACTTGATTCTCCTTGGGTTATTGCTTTTATTAAGGTGGACACTGTGCACTGTGGGACAAGAAGGGTGCCTTCTCCTGAGGGTTCCAAAGAGCCTCTTGTTTCTTGAATGTTCATAAGCTGTTTGCAATGTGAATCTTAGGGCTCTAAGCGGGGACTCCCTGGCTGAAAGCACATATCTGTGTTGGTCCTTAGCAGTAGAGGAATATTCATAATGTGAGTTGTTTTGTATAAAACCAATTAACAAAGCCTGGGACCAGCTGCTTCTCATAACTTTCTTTATATCCAGAGAAAGGCCTTTTTTTTTTTTTTTTTTTTTTTTTAAAAAAAAAAAGCACCTCTCTGGATGGGAATAGAACATCCCTGGGGCCTTGTTCACAGGATGTCTGTAACGGTGCTGTTGAAAGAAGGCCCGCCCCCAGGAAGGCAAGCGCCTGTGTTCCAGGGTGTTTATCTGACACTTTCCTTCTTGGAGGGAATCCCTCTCTCACTGACATCATCTGTTTGTCTGGGAGAGACCGGACTTCATCCCCCCAGGCCCTCCCAGGGCCAGGGCCCTGCTAGCTGGGGACGTGGCTTCCCAGGCAGTGTTTCACAGCCCTTGTCATTGCCCTCCCTGTAGCCACAGCCGGACAGGTGCCCTCGCCAAGCACAGGCAATGCTGTGCCTCCCTGCATACGGCATCATCTCTAGGACTAAGGAGGGGTGGGCAGAGCTTGTCTTTGGGAAGACGGTTTGCGCTGAGCCAGATGCCATAGAGTTTACAAAATTAAATGAAATCCTCCCTGCCTCAAGGACCCCAGGGCTCGCAGTCTGGAATCCTCTTGGGAACCGCATGCTTCTGCCCCTGGTTTCAGCCCCTGAGTGCAGTCACCGCACACCCTGGCCCACCAGAACTTGGTCGGCTCCTGACCCTGTTCCTGTCCCTGCTCCCTCTGCCCACTTGGCCTCAGCCTGTGGAGGGTTTTCCTGAGTCTGTGTGGCCGGCCGCCTGGGGGGAGTCCCAAAATGGGCCACTGCATTTAAATCACAAGCAAGAGGCTGCTTCTCCTGCGGTCCCTCGCTGGGGGGCTGTGCCTGCCTATGGGGGCCACTAGGCCTTGAGTGGCCTGCAGGGACCCCCCATGTGTGCCGGTGCCAGGTTCTGAGTTACTGCCGAGGGTGAAGCCCTTCCCACTGGGTGTCTAAAGGGTGAAGGCGCGAAGCTGTGGGGTGGAGATTGCAACAAGCTCAGGTTGCCCAGAGTGGACGCTCATCTTCCTGCATGGGGGGTGCACAGGGCCTCGCCCCTAGCCTTCCAGGCCCTGGTGCTGCCTCGGACGCTGCTCCTCTGTGTGCTGTAGCCTGGCTTGCGTGGGCAGAAGGGGCTGGAAGGACCCGGCTCTTCAGTACTGGTGGGGCCATTCCTCCCCCACATCCTCTCTCCTATGTTTTGAGATGTCAGAGACGGGGAAGGGAGGAGGAAAGGAAAGAATGGCACTCACCTGGCCTGCTTCTGGGCTAGGGGAACGCTACATGAGAGGGGCTTGAGGGGACAGTGTAAAGCCCTGGAGGGGACCAGGGGATCACCCACCATGCAGGGGCCTTCCTGGGCATGGTGGGAGGAAGGCAGGCACGTGGGGAGGAGCCTGCCATGCCCAGGAGGTGAAGGGGGTCCTGGGTGGAGGAGGGCTGAGGATGTACTGGATGCTCTGGAGGGTCCCTTGTCGGTCCAGGTGTGGTCACTGCCCGGCCATCTCTAGCTGTTCTCATCCAGGTATCTCAAAATATGACTACACAGCAAATAGGACAGAAACGTTAACTTGCCTTCACTTACAAGTATTGATCAGACCGTGTGAGTCAGCCTGGGCTGCCAACACAAGTACCACAGATGGGACAGCTTACACCACAGACCTGTCCCGCAGGGCTGGAGGCTGGAACTCGCAAGCCTGGCAGACCAGACAGGGCCCCCCCGAAGGCTTCATTCAACATAACCACCTCTGTAAAGCCCCCGTCTCCAAACACTGCCGCATCCTGAGGAACTGGGGGCTAGGACTTAACTCTGTGAATTTGGGGAGACAGGATTCAGCCCATGGCATAGACTTAGGTCATTTCTCCCCAAACCTTAAGGCAACCACCTGAGGGGTCTTTAACATCCCCCCAGGGCTCACTTAATAGACTTTAGACCTTTCTTGGAGGCACAGGTAGGAGTCCCTTGACGTGGAAGCTGTGCTTAGGGAACAGACTTTGCTCTTCAAGTCTCCACATGGGAATGAAACCCCCACCCAGCAGTGATTTTGCTGACTCTGCTGCAGTGATCTGAAAATCTGGAGGTGAAGATCTCTTCTCTGCTAAGCTTCAGTACACATATCTGACGACATTCCCTAAGGGAAAGGATGAGTGTCTTTACCCGTGTGATTGTTACCTGCGTTAGCTGTTGCTTTTGGAGGCTGGTAGGCAGCCACAACTCACCTCAGGCGAGCTTCATCTCCGGGCTGTGTGCCCCTTGTCTGCAGAGTGAGGGGAGGGCTGAGACTCCTCCCAGGGCCGGGGTCTCCTGGGTTCTGCTTCACCCGCGGATGGTGACTGCCCCCCTGCTGGGGAAGCCACTGACTCGCCACTGACAAGCCGCATCCGCAATGTGAAATCCCTGTTTGTTCGTTCGTTTGTTTCTGATTTAGTTGAGAAAATGGGGCAGTGGGAAAGCTGTGCTCTTTTCACGAACAGGGTCACTGTGGGGCCCATGGCAGAGCTCTCACTCCGCTCTCTCCTCTGCAGCTCTCTACGGCGTTCTGTTTGAGAAGAGCAAGGAAGCTGCCTTCGCCAATCACCGCCTGTGGGAGGCCCTGGGCTTCGTCATTGCCTTCGGGTACAGCACGTTTTTGTGCGTGCACGTCAAGCTCTACATTCTGCTGGGGGTCCTGAGCCTGACCATGGTGGCGTATGGGCTTGTGGAGCGCGTGGAGTCCAAGAACCCGATCAGACCCCACGCTCCAGGACAGGCGAACCAGGCAGAGGATGAAGAAATACAAACAAAAATGTGAGAGCAGTGAGGTCTGAGGAGGATGAACTCAGAAAGCACCAGCCAGAGAGTTTTCTTAGAAGATGCCTCAGGACATAGAGCGGCTCCTCATCACCATCTCAGCACAATTTGGCCATTCTGAAGAGATCATATTATTTCACTCTTTATGTATTTTTTTTCTATTCTAACAAATTTTTAGTCCACCATCTTAACAGAGATCAAGTGTATACATGAAGGTATCAGTTCATTTAATTTTAGATGCAAAAGAAAAAGGTCTAACGTACAATCAGCCAATTAGAATTTGCCTGAAATCATAGACTCACCCTAGTTTTATTGCTGTAGTTGTTTTTAAGAATTGGAAGCCTGCTTAAAAAATGTAGTTGAGCCCCATAATTTTACAAATGGGCGAACTTTTAAACTTCTAACTCTACTTGGATCAAAACCTCATACATTTTACAAAGGGGTCCTGACAAGTCAGCTGACTCAACCTCACAGAGTCAGGGGGTGACAAAGCCAGACTGGGGCTCAGGATTCCTGAAACGTGTGGGGTCTGCGTTTCTAAATAAAGACGGTTATTTAACGGACTTACCTCCTGCCCAAGTACTGTTGTGCTAAGTACTCACATAGACACACACACACACTTCATCACATCAGTGCTTTAGTGTGCTGTGGCCTTCGCAGACCTTCGAGAGCATTTCAGGTGAAGATGCTACACGTGTCTGTTAACATGGAAAATGGTGCCGGGCATGGGTTGAGTGATATTTGCCCATCTCACAGTCATCGTCTTGTCCCTTGGCACCTGGTCTCCTCTCTCCCTTGTTCTTCCTAGCAGCGCTGCTGGCCGCTGATCTCCAAGGCTTCTTCCTTGTCCAATATGCTCGGGTCCTCTGACCCTCACCAGCCCTTCCCAGACCCCTCCCTCCCCAGCACCCTTTCCAGCACCCCTCCTCACTGGCCCCCTTCAGTCCTCCACCCACACCTCCCTCCCGGGCCCTCCCCCTGGCACCCTCAGCCACCTCCCTGCCCCTCTCCTACCCTCCCCCAACTCTGCAGCCCTCCCTGGCCTCTCCCTTGCCTCTCCTTGGCCTCCCCGGCCCTCCCCAGCATGTGTGCCTGGAGCTTTGTTTCTCTTTTGTTCCTTTAACCTTAAGCTGCTTCCTTCCCCTTCCCCTTCCCCTTCCTCTTCCTCCCCTTCCTCTTTGGTTCACACTGAGGCTTCCTCTAAACCTTCTAGGTCTTGTCTGTGGCTCTCCCACCTGCATGTTGTTCATTTATTGTTTCTACAAGCATCTCCTCCTCCTGGAACTTCAGCTTTCTAGCGTCTATTACACAGCACTAGCAGGTGCTTCATATGTGTGGAAGGAAATGGGCCTCTCCATGAAATTCCAAATGCTTCCTTCACTCACCCTAATTCATTAGGCCACTGGCCACCTCTGACCATGGGAGGGGGAGCAAATGCCACCCGGCCCTGGCCTTTTCTCCTTCCAGTCAGTGACAGCCAGGTGCCCAGACAGGCGATGATCAAAGGCAGAGAAAAGTGCAGCTGCCACGAGCTAATGCCTCCTGGCCTCTCGAATGTTACCTCTCAAGCTGCCCCACGCCGAGCTGTGCATTTTCTCCCACCTGTTAGAATTCCCCTGATAGCCCAGTGTCTCTGACCACCAGCAGCCTTCTTCTTGTCACCCAGCCTCACGTGCCCTTCATTTGGGGCGTGCTGCCCTCTCCCCAGCCTGGCTGATCAGGGAGCAGGCACTGCCATCCCTCCTCCTGTCTTTGGATCCTCCGCCTCCGTTCCATTTCCTCTCAGTTGCTTCCTGGTTGACTGTCCTCCATGCAGGGCTTGTCCTCTCCTCCATCTGAGCTATCAAGAGAGGGATTTTGCTAAAGCACAGGACACTTCACCCTCCAGCGCCCATCTAAAGAGCACAATCTTACCCCCTGGCTGGGACAGTCCAGGCCTCTGTGAGTTAATCCCAGCTGCCTCTCTAGCCTTCCGTCCATTTCACCAGACTTCTCTGTCCAATGCTTCTGTTAAATACCGAGGTCCTTCCCTTGTGGGCCCTTCGCTCCTGCTGCTCCTGTGTCTCTATCCAAACCACGTTTATCCTCCCAGACCCAGTGGAATGCCGTTAACTCTTTGCAGGCTTCAACCAGCTTCCTAAAGCTGGGCCTCTGCACTCTCTAATCCCTGCCCTGCTTTGCCCTCCCCTTTCCCGCCATGCACCATGGGCTACCTGGTGCCATCCCTGTCTGTGGGATCCATGGCCGTCTTGCCCAGCGCCATGCCTGTTTGTGGGATCCATGATGGTCTTTGCAGCTCCCACAACAGGGTCATGTCAAAAGGAGTCAAGACTGGCTAGGGTATTTGTGTAGAGGGCGTTCATCGAGGGTGAGGTAACATGTCACGTCCCCTCCATTTGGAGGTTTAGGATTTTGTGAATTGATGATGGGCACTCCTGGTGCTCCTCAGGATAAGTCTTATTTGGAACTGGTCTTTGGTTTCTCAGTCTGCTCAGAGCATTTTGAACCCTGTAGACCCTAAGTCAGTAGGAACTCCTTAGACCTTCGGGGGTAGTGAGGCCTTTGCAGAATGTCTTGGAGACAATGAACTAGGCCTGCTCATGAGGTGTGGGGGGCACTAAGGAGTGAGCCCTGGGCCTAAGGCTGGAGGGGAGGACCCAGAGGTGAGAGGAGTTGGGGAGTGCGTGTGCACGTGTCCAAACCAGTGTGCGTCTGTGTGGCTCCAGCCGGCCGTTCAGAAGTGAGGTGGAGCAGGGCAGCCTCTCCAAGTGCTCCTGGGACAGAGAGCTTGCTAGTTTAGAAGAGTCCAGTTGGGGTTGCAGGATCATCAGAATTCTGCTCAGAGACTGAGCCATGATCGTGTTCTGCTGATGTTGATGCTTACAGGAAAGTGCCAGACTCTGTGTGACAGGAGCCCAAGCCTCCTCTGAGTCACTGGAGGGGTTCAATCGAGCTCAACGGAGGGTCTGAGTGACAGGATCCCAAGCCTCCTCTGAGTCACTGGAGAGGTTCAATCGAGCTCAACGGAGGGTCTGTGTGACAGGAGCCCGAGCCTCCTCCGAGTCACTGGGGGGGTTCAATCGAGCTCGATGGAGGGTCTGGTTTTTGGGAGCAGCCAGCTAGAGCTACGCAGATGCCCTCAACACACAGCACTACCCCACTGCTATGCACCTGACCTGCATCTTGTCTGGACAGCCAGGCTCTCCCTAAAGGTGGCCGGTGGCATTGGGGACTTTTCTGATTTCTTCATCCTTTGCATTTTGGAACTGAAGCATTTGTGGCTGCGCCCAAGTGCCCTGGTGAGAGCCTAGAGAAAGAGCAAACCAGATTCTAATCTCTTCCTGGTCCCGGGGGGAGGGTGTGTGGCTGGGTCCCTGGGTCGTATCAGTATTGCCAGCCCAGCACGTGCTTAGCGGGAAAGTTGAACAGTAACGGGACTTCAAAGCAAATTTTTGGTTTTTCGGGTCTCCAGATAGCATTTATTTCAATCAGAACATCTACACACTACAGAAAAAATAGTTTCTCTCTCTAGTTTTCACATGACTGCTGGTGCGTCCAGGTCACTTTGATCACAAAACCTTTCTAACCAGTTTCCAGGTTAAGGGTCCAATTTGTGAAACTCTTAATAGGAGCCTCACTTTCCATTGTGTCAAAGCAAATTAGTTAACCTCACTCTTTTTAGTATTCAGTGTGTAAACTGGGAATATTCCTACTTCACAAAGAAAAATTAAAACAGTGTGTATCACAAAGTGCTATCAAGAGCTATACAAGGGAACAATAAGAACAGCTATCCCCTAAACCAAGCTTAAAATGCAGTGCTTTTCTGTCAATCCCTGAACTGCAGTGCGTTCTTCTAAGCTTTCATAACATTTCATTCATCAGTCTTAAGTTTCCATGGCCCAACTCCCAGGACTCAGAGGCAAATGTGCCCTGTTTTTACTTGATCAGAGATTTGATGAAGGCAAGATTTTTAAAAAATATAATGTATGCCACAATATATTATACAAAATTTTCTAAAATCTAAAGATCTATCTATAAGAAAGCCCTTAAATATAGAAATTAAAACGTTAAGAGCATATAATGAAGAGACAGGGAGGGTGCCGCTGACCCAGATCTGTTGCCCATCTGCAGTTACTATTGCATTCTAAGATTAGCCCTGAGCTTGCTGGCAGCCACGGCAGAAAAATAAATGCAAATTATAAAATAGTCAGTTTTGATGAAAAGAGGCCTGCCAGCATCAAGAAAGAGATTCGTTTTCTAGGTCCCAAAATGTAAGGGGATTTTCATGTGGGTCCCCGGCCAAAAAACATGGAGCGAGTGTAGTGGACACTCTTCTCTGATGGGTTGTTACGGCTGTTTGGTGACTGTGATCTTTGCTAACTGCAATGATCTCATTGGAACGTGATTCTCTGAACGTGTGTGAGCAAGGTCTGCTAATGAGACCAGGAGTGTGCACCCTCCTGAGATGAGGGCCGTCCACGCCTGGGCTTGGGGCCTCTGTAGCACCCGCCTAGCCTGGGTCTGTTTAGTCAGTGACTCATCGCTACCTCACCCCAGTGAAAGCCGTGATGCCGAGATAGCTAACCCGCAGGAGAGCTCCAAAGCACTGAGGTGTCTGGCCTTTGTCAAGGTACTTGAGTCTGTTCCAGCTTCACAGCCAAATAACAAACAGACATTACTTCTTTTTCCCAAGTTCATTTCCAGGCCCAAGTCAAAGCTGCCTGAGTCCCCGGGGCCCCACTCCAGTCCCTCTGGAATGTTCTCTCAGAAGTTCCCAGCCCACCTTCTCCTAGCGTCCCGAGGACAGATCACGCCAGCTGAAAGAAGACCTGAGTCTGGGGAAGGAATCAGGAAACTTGTCTTCCTTCCTCCTTCCCCCTTTCTTCCCATGGGGTCAGCACCCTGGAAGGGGTAGGAAATCCAGAAGGAAGCACGTGTGTGGCGGGAATCGTTCTTGAGAGAGCTGCGGGTGCCACGGGGCCAGCCACGCTCCTTCCCCCGAGACTGCCTGCCCAGGCCCCTGCTCGGCCAGACCGGCACACAAAGGAGCAGCGGCCGGAGACGTGGTGCCCTGGTGGACAGGGGCTGTACCGTGGCCTCAAGGAACGTGCATGGGCAGAGAACAGTCTCCTGTGGTGAAAGACAGACGCCGCCGTGGGTTTCCCCTGGTGACTACAAAGCCTCCATCCTACCCACGTTGCAAATGTCCCACTCTGCTCCCTCCTGTGCCTGACTCACTATCCCTGTCTGGAGAGCATCTGTCCGACTCCCAACGCGACACGCCCTCCCTCAGTCCCTGACTCCCTCCCTTTCCTTAGTCATTCTGTTTGCAAAAATAAGACAAAACAAAAATCTACAGAGGCGTTCGACCAGACCGCTTTGGAAGGTAAAGTCTCACACCGGGAACGCAAAGCAAGTTATTTATCTCCCATGACGCCTCCGTCTGCCTGTCCTGATGCGTGTGGGCAATAGGAAGCCTCCTTCCTTAGGGAATAGTTCTTTCCTGCCCATTGCTGGCAGTGCAGGCTTTGCTTCATCTCCAGCCATGGCCTGAAAGGGCACCAATGACAGGGTGGGCCTTTGAAAATATGGCCCTGAAACCCAGAGGGTTTACCTGTTCAACTTGGAAGTGTGCCCATGAGCACCCGTGTGTGTGTGTGCACATCCGATGAGCTGCACAGTCCACACACTCAGCTCCGAGGAGAGCACAGAGGCCTTGAGGAGAAGCAGATTCGGGAACCTCCCATTCAATACTGAGCCATGGATCTCACTCGGCCTCCAAGTACAGGAGAAAGCCCCACCCACCACCCCTGTCCCTCCTTCCCGGGCCTTCCCGCCAGGCCAGCCCCCTTCCAGGGCCGTCCCCTCACTCCTCCCTCACCTGCCCAGTCCTGCAGAAGGCAACTGTGATTTCTGTTTTTGCAGCAACCTTTCCTGAGACCTCATCTATCTGTTCCACTTCCATCCTTAACCCCAACAAATTCCAAGCAGGTCTCATTCTCATCATGCAAGAAAATTATCTAATAAGCAAATTAGGATATTCATTCATTCATCCAACAAATATGTACTTAATGTGAAGCATTTGCTAAGTGCCACACATTGACCTAGATATAGTGAATCAAGCAGGCTTTAAACAGCAATGTTTTGTTCTCAATAAGTTTCTATTCTACAGAAAAAAATGTAAAATCGGTTTGTGGGTGGCCAGAGGCAGGAAGAGCAATGGAATAGGGCGAGGGCATGAGGACAGACATGGCACAGCTGTGTGCAGGGCAGAAACACTGCTTCCTCTGACGAGGTGGTGGGAGAGGCTGCAGCACCCAGCGGGAAAGCCAGGGAGGTAAAGGGGGGGCTGAGGTCTGAGAGGAGGCCCATGGAGAGGTCCCAGATCGCACAGGGCCCAGCACCGAGGTAAGGCCCTTAAGTTTTATTCTGAGCCACATGGGAACCCGTATTCATTTCCTAGGGTGTCATAATAAAGCACCACAAATTTGAGTGGCAAAAACAGCAGGAATTCATTCACTTCTCACAGCTTAGAGGCCAGAATTCTATCAAGATGGCAGTAGGGCCAGGCCCTTCTGAAAACCCTAAGGGAGGATCCTTCCTGGCTCTTCGGCTTCTGGAGCTGCAGGCCATCCCCAGTGTTCCTTGGCCCGTAGATGGACCACTCCAATCTATGCCACCATCTCCACGTAGCCTCTTCCCCATGTGTCTGTGTCTTTGCTCAGCCTTCTCCTCTGTGTCTCTGTGTCTAGTTCCTCTAAGAAGAGGAACTTCATGCCACTGGTGTCCACAGAAGGACACTAGTCATATTGGATTAACCTCATCTGCAACAGCCCCATTTCCAAAGGTCACACTCTGAGGTTCTGGGAAGACATGAATTTTGGGGGACACTGTTGATCCCAGTACAGAAGCCACTAGAAAGCCTTGATCAGAGGAGTGGCATGAAGTGACTTCTTTATAAAAAGATCATTCTGGCTACAAGATGGAGAAGACACCATCAGCCCAGGAGTAAGACAAAAAGGCTAAGTTAAGAAGCTCTCAAATCGCCCCAGCAAGAAACAATAGCAGCTTGTACCAGGGTGGTCATGGTGGCAGGAGAGGTGGTCAGACTTTGGATGTTCTTTAAAGGTAGAGTCTAGGGAGATGCCAGTGTAGAGAAAGACAGCCATGGAAAGCTCCAGGCCTTTGGCCTAACAAAGACCTGGAAGAATGAAGTGGTCGTTTACTCAGACTGAGGAAGCCTCAGAGAGTAGCAGGTTTGTGGGGTAAAAAAATCAAGGTTTGGTTCTGGGTAAGTTAATTTCTGCATGTGAGCAGACATTCAGGTGGTTTTGTTGAGGGGCAGTTAGATCCATAGGACTGGCACCTACTGGAGATTCCATCTGGAGAGACAGGAAATTGGAAGTCAAGAGACCGGCTGTGTGGAGTGAGGATGGAGGAGAGCAAAGCGTGGTCATCGGAATCCTTGGGCCTTCCCGGCTTTAGAGGTCCAGAAGACGGGGAGGAGCCAGAAACACAACCAGTGAGATAAAGGAAGACCCGAGAGTTCGTGCTAGCCCGGGGCCCAGCGAGAGGTGATCCCAGAAAGACTGACTTGGTGACAACATCGGTTGCTGCTGGAATGTCTGCTTAGACACGAACTGAGGGTGAGTCATGGGTCTAGCAGGGATCATGTCACTGGTGTCCACGGCCAGAGCAGCTCGATGGCGCTTTGGGGATGAAGACCTGAATCAAGCGGCCTAAAGAGACCAGGTAAAAAGTGTGGCTGGTGAGGGTGCCCAGCCCCTCCTGGAGGGTTTCCCAGAAAGGAAGCAGCAGCTGGAGTGCAATGTGGAGGTCAAGGGTCCTGACCCAGGGAGAGATTTGGGGATCGGGAAGGACTGGGCGTTACAGTAACTGTAGTTCAAATTACTCACATGATATTTACGAGGAACACTAGAATAATCATGCAGGTTAGTGGCTTGTTCAAGCCACACAGCTGGCTAGTGGAAGACATAGGACTAGAATCTGCTTTCATAACTGCTGGCCCAGATGCTTTTCTACTAAGACGCTAGTTAACAGTAATAACTCCAAATGCTCTTCTTCACCTGCAATGTGTGCACTTCAGTTTTGAAACTTGTTATTGAATTATAACACAGATACAGAAAATGCACAATTACACCCCCCCTTATCCTTCAGGGACACAGTCCAAGACCCCCAGTAGATGCCTGAAACCACAGAGAGTACCAAGCCCTGTATGCACTATGACATTTCTCAGGCATGCACGCCTATGACTAAGTTTAGTTTAAAAACTAGGCAGGATAGATCTGGCAAGATGGCCAGATAGAAACAGCTCTGGTCTGCAGCTCCCAGTGAGACCAACGCAGAAGGTGGGTGATTCTTGCATTTCCAACTTAGGTACCCTGTTCATCTCATTGGGGCTGGTTAGGCAGTGGGTGTAGCCCACAGAGGGTGAGCAGAAACACTGTGGGGTGTCACCTCACCCAGAAGGTGCAAGGAGTGGGTGGCCTCCCTATCCCAGCCAAGGGAAGCCATGTGGGACTGTGTTACTCGTCCAGATACTACGCTTCTCCCATGGCTTTTGTAATCTGCAGGCCAGGAGACTCCCTCATGTGTCTACACCACCAGAGCCCTGGGTTCCAAGCACAAAAATGGGCAGCTGTTAAGTCAGACACTGAGCTAGCTGTTGGAGGTTTTTTTTTTTTTTTCGTTCCCAGTGGCAATTGGAACCTCAGCAAAACAGAACTGTTCACTCCCCTGCAAAGGGGGCTAAAGCCAGGGAGCCAAGTGGTCTCACTCAGTGGGTCCCACTCCCACAGAGCCCAGCAAGCTAAGCACCACTGGCTTCAAATTCTCTCTGGCAGCACAGCAGTCTGAAGTTGACCTAAGACACTGGAGCTTGGTTTGGGGAAGGGCATCCGCCATTACTGAGGCTTCAGGAGGTGGTTTTTCCCCTCACAGTGGTAACGACTGAGTGGAACTCAACATAGTGCAGCAAGGTGGCTGTGGCCAGACTGCCTCTCTAGGTTGCTCTTCACTGGGTAGGGCATCTCTGAGAGAAAGGCAGCAGTCTCAGTCAGGGGTTTATAGATAAAACTCCCATCTCCCTGGGACAGAGCAACTGGAAGAAGGGGTGGCTGTGAGCGTGGCTTCAGCGGACTTAAACGTTCCTGCCTGCTGGCTCTGAAGAAAGCAGCAGATCCTGACAAGGAGGTTCTCCAAGCAAAGTGCTTGAGCTCCACTAAGGGACAGACTGCCTCCTCAAGTGGGTTCCTGACCCTCATGCCTCCTGACTGGGAGAGACCTCCCGACAGTGGTTGACAGACACCTCATACAGGAGAGCTCTGGCTGGCATCAGGCTGGTGCCCCTCTGGGATGAAGCTTCCAGAGGAAGGAGCAGGCAGCAATCTTTGCTGTTCTGCAGCCTCTGCTGGTGATACCTAGGCAAAGAGGGACTGGAGTGGACCTCCAGCAAACTGCAGCAGACCTGCAGAAGAGGAGCCTGATTGTTAGAAGAAAAACTAACAAACAGAAAGCGACAACAACAACATCAACACAAAAACTCCATCCAAAAGTCATCGGCCTTAAAGATCAAAGGTAGACAAATCCACGAAGATGACGAAAAAACAGAACAAAAATGCTGAAAATTCCAAAAACCAGAATGCCTCTCTTCTTCTCCCAATGATCACACTTCCTCTTCAGCAAGGGCACAAAACTGGATGGAGAATGAGTTTGACTAACTGACAGAAGTAGGCTTCAGTAGGTGGATAATAACAAACTCCTCTGAGCTAAAGGTTCATGTTCTATCCCAATGCCAGGAAACTAAGAAACTTCACAAAAGGTTACACGAACTGCTAATTAAAATAACCAGTTTAGAGAGGAACATAAATGACCTGATGGAGCTGAAAAACACAGCATGAGAACTTCATGGAGCACACACAAGTATCAATAGCTGAATTGATCAAGCAGAAGAAAGGATATCAGAGATCGAAGATCAACTTAATAAAATAAGGCCAGAAGACAAGATTAGAGAAAAGAATGAAAAGGAACAAACAAAGCCTCCAAGAAATATGGGACTACGTGAAACAATCAAACCTACAATTAATTGGGGTCCCTGAAAGTGATGGGGAGAATGGAACCAAGTTGGAAAACACACTTCAAGATATGATCCAGGAGAACTTCCCGAACCTAGCAAGACAGGCAAACATTCACATTCAGAGAATACAAAAAACACCACTAAGATACTCCTCGAGAAGAGCAACAACAAAACACATAATTGTCAGATT
Source organism: Homo sapiens (assembly GCF_000001405.40). Classification (NCBI taxonomy): domain Eukaryota; kingdom Metazoa; phylum Chordata; class Mammalia; order Primates; family Hominidae; genus Homo; species Homo sapiens. The sequence continues at coordinate 167,198,345 of NC_000006.12, read as the reverse complement.
CTCCAAATTTGAAACAAAGGAAAAAATGTTAAGGGCAGCCAGAGAGAAAAGTCAGGTTACCTACAAAGGGCAGCCCATCAGACTGGATATCTCTGCAGAAACCATACAAGCCAGAAAAGAGTGGGGGGCCAATATTCAACATTCTTAAAGAAAAGAATTTTCAACCGATAATTTCATATCCAGCCGAACTAAGTTTCATAATGAATAAAATCCTTTACAGACAAGCTAATGCTGAGGGATTTTGTCACCACCAGGCCTGCCTTACAAGAGCTCTTGAAGGAAGCACCAAATATGGAAGGAAAAAACCATTAGCAGCCACTGCAAAAAACACACCAAAATATAAAGACCAACAACACCATGAACAAATTGCAACAACTAATGTGCAAAATAATCAGCTAGCATCATGATGACAGGATCAAATTCACACATAACAATATTAACCTTAAATGTAAATGGGCTAAATGCTCTAATTAAAAGACACAGACTGGCAAATTGGATAAAGAGTCAAGACCCATCAGTGTGCTGTATTCAGGAGATGCATCTCACATGCAAAGACGTGTGAGATAATAAAGGGATGGAGGAATATTTACCAAGCCAATGGAAAGCAAAAAAAGCAGGGTTGCAATCCTAGTCTCTGATAAAACAGACTTTAAACAAAGATCAAAAAAGACAAAGGAGGGCATTACATAATGGTAAAGGGATCAATGCAACAAGGTAAAGGGATCAATGCAACAAGAAGAGCTAACTATCGTAAATATATATGTACCCAATACAGGGGCACCCAGATTTATAAAGCAAATTCTTAGAGAAATACAAAGAGACATATACTGCCAAACAAAAATAGTGGGAAACTTTTAACACCTCATTGTCAATATCAGGCAGATCAATGAGACAGAAAATTAACAAGGATATTCAGGACTTGAACTCAGCTCTGGATGAAGCAGACTTAATAGACATCTACAGAACTCTGCACCCCAAATCAACAGAATATACATTCCTCTCAGCACCACATAGTATTTATTCTAAAATCGACTGCATAATTGGAAGTAAAACACTTTTTAGCAAATGCAAAAGAACTGAAATCATAGCAAACAACCTCTCAAACCACAGTGCAATCAAATTAGAACTCAGGATTAAGAAACTCACTCAAAACCTCACAACTACATGGAAATTGAACAACGTGGTCCTAAATGACTACTGGGTAAATAATGAAATTAAGGCAGAAATAACAAAGTTCTTTGAAACAAATGAGAACAAAGAGACAATGTACCAGAATATATGGGACACAGCTAAAGCAGTGTTATGAGAAAAATTTATAATACTAAATGCCCACATCAGAAAGCAGGAAGGATCTAAAATTGACACCCTAACATCACAATTAAAAGAACTAGAGAAGCAAGAGCAAAATATTCAAAAGCTAGCAGAAGACAAGAAATCGTTCTTTTGTGAGCCTTCTGTTCTCTGACGTGTGCTGCTCTAACCAAGTTTCCTAAATAGGGGAGAGAATGTCTTTTCCTTTGCAATTTCTAGATGACTTGGGTAGTCCTAAAGTTTTGGTGGCTCTCCAAGATCATTTAGGGCAGCTAATATGTTATTAGTTTTTGTCTGTTTTAGCAAAAATCTGCAATTGGCATTTCCCATGTGATGCTGCGTGTTGAGGGCTCATCTGCTTCTCGTCCAGGACGACATTTCCAGCTTCATCTTTGATCTTAACCCTCCCGGAGGCATACTTGGTTTCCTGACAGCCGCTGCAATACACAGTCTTGACGGTGCCATCCGGGTACTCCCTCCTCTTGAACCGGGCTGTGTGGATTTCTTTCTGCCCGTTGCTGAGCACAATGGTTTTGTCGCCGTTCCTGAGAGGAGAAACACATGGTAAGGCGGCCTGTGCCAGGGTGGAGGCCAGTGGGGGTTGGGGGAGCACAGAATAATGCCCCCACCCGGGTCTGGAGCCCTCCTTCCAAATCTCGTTAGATGAGGGTGCAGAAGGCCACGGGCAGGGGCAGGAAAGGTGCACGGGGGGCTCAGGGAATCGGCAGAAACTCGGTGTGGGTGAGAGAGGGCAGGTGGGGAGGGCCAGGAGGCAGGGCGGGAGGTCAGCCGCATCTGCTCACCTGCAGGCTGAAGCCTGTGCTGACAGCTGGCTCTGATGGTGAGAGGGATGGCAGGGTTGACACAGGGAGTGACAGAGACACACATTGAATCATTTCAGAAAAGTGGCCCCGGAGGTGACAGGGAAGGTTCTGACTGCTGTGAGGAAGCTGGGGGAGTCTATTGTAATTGCCCAGGGGAGAAATGGTGAGAGCGGGAGACCTCAGACCTCAGAGAAAGGGCGGAGGCGGGGCAGCGAGGAGACACAGCCCACAGCAATCTGTGTTCACTTTGATATCAGGAAAGACAGGGAAGGTGTAAAACAACTTCCCACACTCTCCCTCGGGCAGCTGAGTGGATCTTTACTTTCTGCACAAACTAGCATTGAAATAGCAGCTCTGATGAGCTCTTCCTTGGTGTGCCTTAAACATTTGCTTGCACATGTTCTGCAATAGACTCGGGCTTCTAGACTACGTGGTCTGAGGTGAGCACTGAAGACTGGAGTGATTTTTACGGTTATAATTCAAACGAACCTAACGTCAGTGAAGTAAATACCTAAAAGTCCATTTGAAACCCATGGTCTCTGTAAAGGGATTCAAATCAAGGCCATAAGACAAAACTTCTAGAGTCAATGACATTATTTTCTTTTTTTTTAATACAAGCACTTAAATGTTTGCAAAAACTTAAATTAATATAAAGAAATTATTAAATAAACAAAAACTGGGGATGTTTCAAATTCGCATTGTCTGACTTTACTGACCTTTCCACCCTTACGATTGTCCCATCAGGAAATAAGGTCTCTTCCTGTCCATCCTTGAAATGTTTCACTGTCCCATTGGGAAACACGATTTCTTTGGAGCCATTGGGGTAGAATTTTTCTGCAGAATGCAGTTTTTCAGTGTATGTTACATTGAATCTGTTTAGAAACATGTTCTATGCAAATAATCTATAAAATATTCATGAGATTTATAGAGAGTATTTTCTAATCATCTGGCTTTATAACTAGGATTGCCAGGTATAATACAAAATGGCCAGTGAAGTTTGAATTTTAGATAAATGATGAATAATTTATTTATTTATATTATTTTTTGAGACAGAGTCTCACTCTGTTGCCCAGGCTGGAGTGCAGTGGCATGATCTTGGCTCACTGCAACCTCTGCCCCCCAAGTTCAAGCAATTCTCCTGCCTCAGCCTCCTGAGTAGCTGGGATTATAGGCATGCGTCACCAGGCATGGCTAATTTTTGCATTTTTAGTAGAGACAGGGTTTCACCATGTTGGCCAGGCTGCTCTCAGACTCCTGACCTCAGGTGATCCACCTGCCTCGGCCTCCCAGAGGCTGGGATTACAGGCATGAGCCACTGCACCAAGCCAAATGATGAATAATTTTTAACATAAGTATATTTTAAATATTGCATGGAACATACTTTTATACCAAAAATTACTGCTGTTTATCTGATATTTCAAATTCAGTGAGGGACTTGAATCTTTATTTGTTAAATCTGGCAATCCTACTTATAATAAAAGTTTAAGGACTTCAATACTGTATGAAAATACTCAAGAAGAAAAACTGTGTGAACATCTGAGAGCACATTTGCTGTGTTTCACTGTTTCAACCCGGTTGTAAACAACATACACACCTATCATGGCAAATTCAGTAAATTTATATTTCCAAACCAGGACGCTTGTGTCACTTAGCTGCTTAAACCTACTTTGTGGTGATCTGCTCCACTATGGGCTGAATGCTGTGTCCTCCCCAAATTCGTATGTTGAAACCTAATCCCCAAAGCAATGGTGTTGGGAGATGAGGCCTTTGGGCTGTGGCGTGGTCATGAGGGTGGGGCCCCGTGAATGGGATCAGCACATTTACTAAAGGGACCCCAGAGAGCTGTCTCGCCCGTTCCACCATGTGAGGCTGCAATGAGAAGATGCCGTCTGTGAACCAGGCAGCAGCCCTCACCAGACAGTGAAGCTGCCGGCACCTTCGTTATGGACTTCCAGCCCCAACACCGTTGTTGACAAGCCAGCCAGTCTATGGCACTTTGCTGTGGCAGCCTGAACAGGATAAGGCACACTCCATAAAGAACCGGTATTCAACATGCATTTTTGTACCTGCTCTTATCATTTTTTTATTTACACTTGAATATCTTGCTCTGGGCAGAATGATCTCGGTCTCATTAAAGCACAAAATTTAGATTCTCCCAACTTTGCTCAAGTGATCTCCCTGGCTGAAAGTTTCCTTTCCCACCCATACGCTGTCTGACTCCCTGAGTCCCTATGCTTGAAGTCCAATCTCCATTATGAACCCCACAGTCGGTGCCCTCTGCTTCTGAATGCTTTTGACTCTTGCTATGGTAAACATTCAACTTGACATTTTCATATTGATTTGCAGTTTTCAGCTGAATAATAAATTGTAGGAAAGAGCCATAATTCACCCTCTATGGTATCCTCCAGGGATGAATAACAGTGATTTTCACCTTGTACTGGAGACAGAACCCTTGGACACTGAGGAACTCGCTGTGGAGCCTGCTGAAATACTGCTGCACTGCTTCTATTTCATTACAGGAACAGGAAGGTGATTACAGTGCCTGCATGTGGGGTGCATTCACAGCTGCTTGATGTGTTTCTGAAAAAAAGAAAAGCTGCCAAATTAAACTTAATTGATGAGTTTCCATTTCTTCTTTTTTTCATTGAGACGGAGTCTCCCTGTGTCACCCAGGCCGGAGTGCAGTGGTGTGATCTCAGCTCACTGCAACCTCCACCTCCCAGTTTCAAGCGATTTTCCTGCCTCAGCTTCTGGATAGCTGGGATTACAGGCACGCACCACCACACCTGGCTAATTTTTGTATTTTTAGTAGAGACAGGGTTTCACCATGTTGGCCAAGCTGGTCTCGAACTCCTGACCTCAAGTGATTTGCCCACCTCAGCCTCCCAAAGTGCTGGGATTACAAGCATGAGCCACCACACATGGCCTCCATTTGTTCTTTTAACATCCATTTGCTTCTTTGTGTGTGTGTGTGTGTATGTGTGTATATTTAGAGACAAGGCCTCGCTCTGTCACCCAGGCTGGAGTGCAATGGTGTGATCATGGCTCACTGCAGCCTCAGACTCAGAGCTCAAGTGATCCTCCTGCCTCAGCCTCCCTAGCTAGGACTATAAGAGCATGCCACGATGCCCAGCTAATATTTTATTTTTTGAAGGAATAGGGTCTTGGTATGTTTCCCAGGTGGTCTCTAACTCCTGGCCTCAAGAGACCCTCCCGCTGTGGCCTCCCAAAGCACCAGTATGTTTCCCAGGTGGTCTCTAACTCCTGGCCTCAAGAGACCCTCCCGCTGTGGCCTCCCAAAGCACCAGTATGTTTCCCAGGTGGTCTCTAACTCCTGGCCTCAAGAGACCCTCCCGCTGTGGCCTCCCAAAGCACCAGGATAACTAGTGTGAGCACCATGCCCAGCCCACAAACTGTATTTAAGCAAAATGAATACAGTGAAGAATCTGACAACTGAGGAAAAATTCTACCCCTTAAAATAATTTTTAGCACAAAATGGTAAAAGATTGTTTTCCGGTTGTATATTAATGGAACACCCTGCAGAAACTGGGGGCTCTTCTTTGGGTCAACAGCTGAGAGCAACTGAATTCACTCCCTGCCTGGTACATATCAATGCCTGACTCTTGGCTGATTTGTATGAATGTATAAGAACCATGCATGAGACACACAATTGCACCTGTAAAATGGAAGGAGTGGGAAACAATGGGACTTCTGTTTCACTCTGTTCTTGAAATATCAGCCGTAGGCAGAACTGTTGAACGTCTGATAAATATATCCAAGAACAGTAACAGAACTTAGAATTCCTGCTGGAAAATTAACTGATCAGAGACCTTCTACATGGACCAGCTGAGAGTCAAAGTTTTAGGTCTTTTAAACAAAAATAAAATACAGACCTATAAATACTTTTCTTTTTCAGAAGACTGGCGTTAATATTAATCAATCGCTCAGCATGGCCTTTGCAAACTAGCAAGTGTAATTTTTCTTTGTCGAATGTTTGCTGGAGGTCACTCAAGAAAACAAATGCTCTAGTGCCCACTTTGCTGCTATGTGCCCAGTCAGAGCCTAAATGACAGCTTGTGAAGGCAAAAATTCTAACAAGACACACAGCTGCACTGGCTGAAATATTAGGACAAAAAGAAAAAGGGTGGGAGCCAGGAATTCACAGGACAGTGTGTCTCAGCAGCTTCAAGGGCCCATCTGGAGGTCCGTTGTGTCACGGAGGAGCAGATACCCCACAGCGGCCTTGATTCTGCCCTTGCAATGGGGCAGATCAGACATCCCAGCCACACATCCACTACAAATACCGAGGAATGCTCAAGCAAATCACAAAATCCCTGGGAAATGAGCACCCAAGTTCATGGAAGGGGCTACAAATCCCAGAGGGTGCTGGAATGCAGACTCGAACCTGACCTGCGGCTGCCTTGGTGACCTCTGCAGTCTCCAGGAGGTTTGGTCCTTAGTCACTCTGCTGGGATAGGATGAAGGGCTTTGTCTGGGAACTTAAAGAGGACACTCTCTGAGGGTTAGAGGCCCAAAGAAAGAGGGAACTAGAAAATACCTCCCTGCCGGCAGATGGAGAGCACCAAGGAGTGTTGCTGTCTCTCTCTGAGCTCTTTCCAAAGAATGTGTTACTACAGGGTGACCCTCATTTACCCTTAGCAATTGCAGTTCTGCTACCTGTACCTGGGACACCTTAAACTAAGAAGCTAACATGAAGTGATCCCAGGCTGGTCGTGCCCTGGGACACCTGGCAGAAGCAAACACAAAGCTTTCTGGATACTATCTCCCAGACTGGGCCCCATAGGATCGCCACCAACACAGGCTGCCAGCACAAATATAAAATAGGTGAGGAAGCGCAACACCATGAGGAAATGCCAGAAGTATTGGAAGCAGAGACAAGCTAGCAGCAGCCAGTGTCACGCGGAGCTCCGAGACGGCAAGCGTGGTGCTACCAGAAACTGATGACAAGGCAAATGTTTGTAGAATATTTAAAAAATTAAAGTAGGAAATTAAAAATGAAAGAGAGAAAAAATTCTTGGTGGATTTGAAAAAGAACAAATGAAATCAATATAATCTTCAAAATTAAAGCTAAATGATATATTAAATAGCACATAATATTCAGCTGAAGAGAAAACTGAGAAACCAGAAAAATAATTTACCCAGATGATAACAAGAAAATATAATATGTGAAGAGGGAAAGACGCTAGAATGAGGTGGTGTAATGCAGCTATAATTGGAAGTACAGGAAGAGAAAGAATGGAGGAAAGGTAAGATTGGTAAAGATAATAGTTCTGAATTTCCCTGAACTTGATAGTGTTCCCAGATAAAATATAGGACACCAGTTAAATCTGAATTTTCACATAAACTACAAATGACTTTTTAGTGTATAAGTATGTCCCACATACTGCATGGTACATACTCATAACAAAAAAACATCATTTATTATTCACCTGAAATTCAAATTCAACTGGGCATCCTGCATTTTTATTTGCTAAATCTGGCAACCTAAGCTTCTGAAAGACACAGTGATTATATTTAAGATGCACAACAGGCTGGCCGCGGTGGCTCACACCTGTAATCCCAGCACTTTGGGAGGCCAAGGTAGACGGATCACCTGAGCCATCCTGGCTAATATGGTGAAACTCCGTCTCTACTGAAAATACAAAAAATTAGCCAGGCATGGTGGCACACACCTGTAATCCCAGCTACTTGGGAGGCTGAGGAAGGAGAATCACTTGAACCAGGGAGGAGGAAGTTGCAGTGAGCCGACGTCATGCCACTGCACTCCAGGATAGAGCAAGACTCCATCTCAAAAAAAAAAAAAAAAGCAAAACAAATCCCCAATACAATGAACAAAATTAAATCCATAACTAGACATATCATAATGTCACTGGAGACAGAAGAGTCCTTAAAAGCAGCAAGTAAAAAAAAAAATCACGTTCGAAGGAAGAAATTAGTCCACCATCAGATCCTCCAGCAGACACCGTGTGGGAGTGGAATAAAGTCCTCAACACGCTCAGAAAAATCACTGTCATTCCATTGCTCAATACTATCCAATGGCTTCTCCACAATGGTCTACACTGCCTGGTCCTGGCACTTTGACCTCATCTCCTGTACCCCTGCCACACCGGCCTCCTTGCTCTTCCTCAGACACACCACACACTTTTCACGGCTCTTTCTCACTCTAGAATGTTCTTCCTGACACGCACACAGCTCCCTCTCTCACATCACTCATGGATCCCTAAAATATCCCCCCTCAGTGAGGCCCTCCTCAACGGCATACAGATGGCCCCCTAGGGCAGCAGCCCAGCACTCTCCCTCCCTGCTTTCTACCCTCTTGTTTTTCTCTGTAGCTTTTCATAGAGACTGATTTTTATATTGATATTTATTTTTACCTGATTATTTTATGCTTCCCTCCAATAAAATGTCATGAAATAAGAACTTTTCACAAATTTGCTCACTGCTGGATCCCTAGCCCTAAAACAATGCCTGCCACAGGGTGGCCATGTAATAGCTATGGGATGAGGGGTCAGAAGGTGCATCAGGACGAACGACCACTCATGAACAAGGCAAAACAAAGGACATTTTCAGATGAGCCAAAAGGGCTGATTGCCCCCGTCTCCTCATGCTCGTCAAGTAGAAGGAAATTGTGCCAAGAAGAAAGGCCCAAAATATAAGAAAGAAGAGCCCCAAATTCTGCATAAATTTAGAAAGTTTAAAGTAAACACTGGTTACATAAACACCACGGTAATAATCATAACTAATACTGAGGGTGAAAATCAAGTTAGAGTAAAAATCCTGGCAGAAGCCAACACAATGGCGTGAAAGATTGGGGAGGGGAATTCGGACTAAAAGACTCTTGATTTGGTTGTAGAGGACAGTAAGGACACTGATACATTTTCAGTTTATGCAATAAAACCTCAGGTTAAAAGGAAAGTTATTTTCAGATTATATATTTTTCTTAATGTCTGTTTCTTATAAGATCACATTTAAAGGTAAAGATTTAGAAATAGCAAAAGAAAGAATAGAAACAGATATACCAGGCATATATTAACTAACTGAAAGAAAGCTGCTGTACCTATTAGATTTAATAGACTTAAAGCAGAAAGCATTAAAGGTATAAAAATATGTATTACTGGTTAAGGATTTTTAAAAAGAAACCAATTCAAAAGAAAGAGAAAAACTACAAATAAATATTAGCAAATTCATAACCAAAGTAGGAATTTTTTTTTTTTTTTTTTTTGAGATGGAGTCTCACTCTGCATTGAGGCCTGAGTGCGGTGGCATGATATGGGATCACTGCAACTTCTGCCTCCCAGGTTCAAGTGATTGTCCAACCTCAGCCTCCTGAGTAGCTGGGATTACAGGTGCACGCCACCACATCCGGCTAATTTTTGTATTTTTAGTAGAGACAGAGTTTCACCATGTTGGCCAGGCTGATCTCGAACTCCTGACCTCAGGTGATCCGCCCACCTTGGCCCACGAAAGTGCTGGGATTACAGGCGTAAGCCACCGCACCCAGCCCAAATTGGGATATTTTTAAAACAGTTCTCTCATTATCTAATGCAGTGGTCCCCAACCTTTTTGGCACTAGGGACCAGTTTTGTGGAAGACAATTTTTCCATAGACTGGCATGGGTGTGGGTTGTGGGAAGATTGGATGATTCCACTGCACTAACTTTACTGTGCACTTTATTTCTATTATTATTACATTGTAATGAAATAACTATACAACTCACCACAACGTAGAACAAGTAGGAGGCCTGAGCAATGGCGTGACCTCGGCTCACTGCAACCTCCACCTCCCAGGTTCAAGTGATTCTCCTGCCTCAGCATCCCAAGTAGCTAAGATTACAGGCACCTGCCACTACGTCCGGCTAATTTTTTGTATTTTATTTTTAGAAGAGATGGGGTTTCACTATGTTGGCCAGGCTGGTCTCAAACTCCTCACCTTGTGATCGGCCTGCCTTGGCCTCCCAAACTGCTGGGATTACAGGTGTGAGCCACTGTGCCCGGCCGCCCTGAGCTTTTTTCCCTGCAACTAGAGGGTCCCATCTGGGGGTGAAGGGAGGCAGTGACAGATCATCAGGCATTAGATTCTCACAAGGAGCACGCATCTAGATCCCTTGCGTGCGCAGTTCACAGTAGGGTTTGCGCTCCTGTGAGGATCAAATGCTGCCACTGATCTGAAGGCGGCGGAGCTCAGGTATAATGGATCCATGGGGAGTGGCTGTAAATACAGATAAAGTTTCCCTGGCTTGTCCTCCGCTCACCTCCTGCTGTGCAGCCCAGTTCCCAAGAGACCCAGGGGTTACCCAGAGGATGGCATTTTAGAGTCCAGGCGAGACTTCAGGAAAGAATGTGGTGGCTTTTAGGACAATGCGCTGACTAGGCTGTGCGAATAAGTAACACCCACTTATCTCAGTTGTTGCTCGAGCCATGTAGCCAGGCTCACCCAGAAAAGCTGAAACACAAGCCCCTGACTAAGGTCTGACGGCGTTTACAGAGGCATCCAGACCTGGGTGCACTTACACACCCGCACAGAAGCCACAGGCTCACAGCTCTTGGATAAGAACCAGGAAAACATACATTAAGCAGGGTAAGCCCCAAATTATCTGGACAGCTGCTGCTATGGGGAACTTGCCTACAGGGCTCAGGTATCTGCTAACCTGCAAGTCTCCACACCTCTACACACTCACATGCAAAGGCACCTACCCACGCGGGTTCCTGGTGACGTTACTCACCTGTCTGCTTGTTAGGAAACTGCACAACTTCCAAACCGTCAGGGTTAGGTCGTGCACACTGTCTGAGCATTTGCGTGATAGTAAATCTGTAAGCTCCAGAAACACCTACGTTGGGAGGAAGTCTATGTTATCATTTTGAACCTGGATTTAATCTAGTAAAGTCCTTCCTGCGGGTGGGTAAAAGCACCATCCCAGCAGGTGGGAGTGGGCTGACCTTGTCCATGGGCACCCTCCACAGCAAGGGGGCATGGGGGGAGGGCTTGTCACCCAAGCCCAAAAGTCAAGACACTGTGGCTCTAGGCTCGTGGGAGAGAGGACTGGACCGAGGTGGAGTTCCCGGTCCTTCACCTGGTGGGCTCTGAACTAGAGTTTGCTGGGCCTGGCAGCCTTGGGGGCCTGCAGGAGGTCCAGGTCCAGCATAGTGAATATGAGTGAGGAGCCCTAAGACCCAAACCCCACAGCTCAGAGACCAAGGGTCTCCCAGCAGCTCCAAACAACAGAAACACTCCCTGGGTTGTGCCTCTTGAATTGTCACATTACTGTGAAGTTTCCCATCATTGTGACCCCCTCTGGTTTCCAATAAAGTGGGGAAAAGAAGAGGGGAAGGAGCTGCTTTGGAAGAGGACAGTCATCCGGGAGGGGAGGGGACATTCCTTATGGTCAAGCGAGCCTTGACTATAAGTAGGGAAGGGGGAATTATTAAAAAATTAAGGGTCCAGAACTAGAAAACCGTGGGATGTACATGTTTGTTTTGAAGTGGGACCACGGACAGGCATCCACTCTCTCCTGAGCTCTGGGACCCCGGTGTGTCACTGCATGTCTGCCATCTATCATAGCAACAGCATCGCTGCCCGTCAAAGGCTGAGAGAAGGCAGGAGAGAATAGGAGAGGTGACTTATTTAGAAAAACCATGACACTGAAGTCGAAGGGACTATTTCCGTGCCATTATTTTAAAGGCATTTTTCTCACATGGGGGACATTTGTCCAAATGTCAGAAGAAAGCCACAAATTCTCAATTCTGCATCATCCCAATAATCATCAAGTCCAAGCTCAGGCTCCTCGCTGGGGTCAGGGTTCCCTTTGGAGACCAGAGAGGTCTGAGGGGAACAGAGGGGCTCTCAGGAGACCTGGGGAGGTGCACACTCGCTGGCCTGCAGTGGCCATTCCCTCTGACCACGCAGAAGGTCAGAATAGGAGGATGTCCTTCCAAGGCCTGTGCCAGGCCCTGTTCTCTCCCGCTGATTCATCCTCACCGCATCAATTCTTATATTGTCACACTCTGCCTCCCTACACCCCCACATCTGGCTAAGAAACGGCTATTTCCTACTCCAAAGTGACGGAAAGCTAGACCTCACAATGAAAGGCTGGGGCAGGCTATGAGATCGGTATCACAGATTCCTCCACTGGGCAGTGGCGTAACACAGGCCACCGTCTAAAGGGGGTCATCCAAGCTCTTTGTCTGCATTTCCCTGCAAAAAAGGGAGCATGCAAGTTAGTTCAGGTCGGTGGAAGAGCACGTGGTGGGCACACCACGCCTGTGTCCACGCTCGGGGCTTCTAACATCCACCCTCAGGAAGGGTCAAGAGGCTTCGCTGGGATAAAATCACAGAGCCACAAGCAGGCGCCTCTCATTAAAGCAAGTAACACAAAAAACAGAGGCGCGCTCTGCAGTCTTTCAGAACTCCTGGACCCTGTGCCTCTACATTTGTACCCAAAGCTTGGCTAACAACAGGGAAACTGATCATTCTAAAGAGGGAAATGTTTAGAATACAATTTGGTAATGTGTGGGTACTAAGAGACTATTCTCAATGCACTACAAACCCTGCCCTGACCTCCCTTATCTCACCTTATTTACAATCGGTTTTGGAAATTATCCAAATTTTCTTAAGTTAGAATCGAGTTATATACCCTGAATTATCTGGACAAAAATACTGCCACCCTGGAGACCTTGCCTAGAAGACCTCCAGATTGCTCAGCATCTGTGTTTTCCATACATGATCCCTAGACACACAGAGACATGTAGTTTGAACCAGGGGGTCACAGCATCCTCACAGCTCCTCAGCATCAAGTGGGCCCCCAGCTACTGTGATCTGTGGCTTTCTTCCACAAACACATCATCGGCTTTTACCAGTGATGATCGTCATGGTAACAGCAGCTGTCAGCTGCTGAGTACTTGATGGGTGCCAAGCAATATATGCATGGCATAACTTTGGTCCTTATAATAACCTAATGGGGCTTTCCCAGCCTCAGAACTATTGTCAGTTTGGGCAGGATAACTCTGTGGGGTTGGGGGGCTGTCCTTGGCATTGGGATGTTTACCAGCATCCCCGGGCCCCACTATCTAGATGCCAGCAGCACCCCCACCACCCCCAGTTGTGACAACCAAATATGTCTCCAGACATTGTGAATGTCCTCAAGGCAGGGGGAATAATTGCCCCCAGTTGAGAACCAGACCTGGGAATATTTCCTGATTTTTTTAATGCAGAAATTGAGGCTTGATGAGATGAATTAGTTGGCTGGTGTTGGCACAGCTGGTCTGGCAGAGCTGCCAGTCAGCTGAGCCCGTGAACCCCAAGCCTGTGCTTTCTGCTCCACCTGCAAGGTGGCTGCTGGACACAGTGCCTCCTCCCGGCTGTAAAAACCGTCTCCCTGGATCTCACCTCCAGCTTGTACCAGGGATTAGCTCCTGACTCTGCCTAACTTTGTTGCAATACTAATGCTAGTTCTACAATCAATGCACATGTACTAAGTGTTTACCACTGTGTTTCTAGAGAGTTCTGCAGAAGAGACATTATTTAATGGACTATGTTACTTAACTTTCATAACCATCTTTTGACTTAGGTCCTAATTATCAGCCACATTTTGCAGAGGCTTAGAAAAGCTGAAAACAATGACTGAACTCAGAGCCAGGAGGGGTGCTGCTGCATTCTTGTGTCACCGCGCAGATCGGAGGGTCTTGACAACAGGGTCTCACTTGCCTGAGCGCACCAAGGAAGCGGAACAGCCTGGCTCATAGAGAGCCTCGCCCGCCTCCACAGCCTGTGCTCTGCCCGTCCCCCCCCACCCATCCTGAACACCCAGAGGAAAGGGGGTACAGATGTGCAAAATCGTTCCTAATAACTGAGTTAGTTGTGATTTCTTTTAAAAAAAGACAGATCTTTTTTATAAAAAAAAAACATCCATTGTACACAACACTCTCTGATCGGGTTTGATCTTCTTCACGTCACCATTAGAAAACCGGATGATGTGTTCTCACTCAGAGGTGGGAATTGAACAATGAGAACACTTGGACACAGGAAGGGGAACATCAGACACCCGGGCCTGTCGTGGGGAGGGGGGAGGGGGGAAGGATAGCATTAGGAGATATACCTAATGTAAATGACGAGTTAATGGGAGCAGCGCACCAACATGGCACATGTATACGTATGCAACAAACCTGCACATTGTGCACATGTACCCTAGAACTTAAATTATAATAAATAAATAAATAAAAGAAAACCGGATGATGGTCGCCTTCTTATCCATGCTCGGCTCCTTCTGGCTGGCCTCGGGGAAGGTGGTGATGGCACAACCTTCGCTCAGTGCCTGTTCTACCTTTATGGAAACACAAAAGCTCCAAGATGAAAAATGATGTAAAGCCTGATTATTGTGGTTTCATTATTTTTTCTTCAATTCAGAATTGTTACATGATTATCACCTACATGGCATTCTCGACACTGGGTGTGATATTTCCCCCAAAACTGTACTGACTGAGTAGATCAGGTCCAAATTCCCATCCCCGAATGTGGTTATCAGTAATGAATAAGTGCTATGATCTGTCCCACCAACATTCGTCTTTCATAAGCTCGTGTCCCACAGTGGCCATCAGTCTAGATCTTCCACGGCCGCTGACTTGGTGAGTTTAGAGTACTGGGCCATGGGAATTGTGGTAATTACTACGTAAAAATTACTCTTGGAAGCTTTTTCTTTCCTTTTCATCCCAATCTCCTTACCTCTTCGCTCCTACGGCCCATCCCGAAGATGTGTTGATTTTAATTAACTATCAGCAAATATTATATAACCTCATGTGCATAATGCTGGACAAGGAATGTAGAAAGAATATCTTTGTCTTCACATTGAAAATATTACTCCTGTAAAGATTAGCAAAAGAAAATATCTGAGAGAAATAATCTCAAGATCTGGGGAGATAAGATAAGTGCATGTGAAAATTCCAAATGGCAAAATGTGTTTTTGTTATTTATGTCACACTGTCCCTCTTAACCATAGCTCAGAAATATAGGTGTTAATTCAGCTGAGAAAATACAAAGGGAATAGAAGCGAATGCTGGGCTTCTTAAACTGTCTTCAACCATCCACCAAACAAACCTTGACGGTGTGCGCCACCTGCTGGCCGGGACAACAGCCTCCTGTTTGATGGGGTTTGAACTAAGATGACTCCACCTGCTCCCAAACCAACTCGGTGAATGAAGCAGGGCTGTGTTCAGTTCCGTATCTGAAGATGAACTTTTAACCAACACTAAAAACTGCGGCAACGTTTAAAGAATCAATTACTCTCAGAAGTAATAAAGCACAAATAATATTTTAAATGTTCCACATGAAAAGAATCAAACAATCTATTTTGGAGTTTATATTATTAAAAGAAAGAAAACACAAAAAAGGAAAGAACTTTGGCATATCCAATGCAAGACACACAAGAAGTAGATGCAAGATGAGTCACGAGAAGAGGAAAGTGTTGAAGACCTGGGAGGGAGGGTGGGGGAGCCAGAGACGTAGGAGCAGGCAGAGGTGGGTGACCGCTGGTTGTGGGGAGAAAGGAAGGATCGCGCTAGCAGAGGGCACAGCGCGTTACCTAGTTCTTGTGTCCTCATCTTCGTGGTTTCATGAGCTTCAGCGATTGGTTTCTCCATGCACTTAGCCAAGGAGGAGCATCACTTATGTCTCATGGACCTGCCTATGGGGATGGCAAGGTCAGGTGCTCAAATGATGTGGGTTTCCTTCTCCCCTGACAAACCACTACAACCACTGCGCTAAAGACAAAAGCATTTCAGTGAATTCAAACTGTTACTGCAAGTAGCATTCCCTGTTGTTCATTTATCCAAATGCTTTATCCGCTTGCAAGACATGAATTCGCTTTTACTGAGGCAGAGTTCCCTCAGCAAAGCTAGCCTGAGGCCGACTCCCAGTTTCTAACAGGCCAGCAAGAGGCGTGAGATGAACGAACTGTTGAGCTGAAGAAGCAGCGATGATGTGCTGCCCCAGGCAGGACTGGGTCTCCTCGGAGCTCACAAAACACTGTAGCCGCAGCCGCAGCCGCAGCAGGTGCCTCTTCCCACCCCTTCCTGAGTCAATGCCGACCACCGCCACCTTGACGCGTCCTTCCGGAACTGAGCTCTCCTCAAGGGCTAAAATGTGGTGGCTGGAAGATATTTGAGGCTATAGTTTTGGGTTTTTTTTTAAGTATTTAAAACAAATCTTCCTCCTGAAAAGCGTATTGCTTTATTTACTGGTAATAAACTGGCAGTCAACAATGCTAGAAACGCCTGGCCTCCAGGTCAGGGCCCCATGTCCTGTCTGGAGGGAGCGGCATGCAGAGCTCCTGGAAATTCACTCGGGAAACCGGACCGCCGGCAGTCATCTGCCTTGCCATTTGGATGTCGTTTTTCTTCCTGTACTTCCTCCTTTTTCATCTTAGTGTCCATGGCCTGTGCTATTTCCAGGGAAGATGGTGGGTTTACAGGAAGATTCTGCAGAAAGAGCATAATCCTAATCTCCCATGGTCTCCATGAACACTGCAGTATGAGGCGGGAGAAATGCACCTTGCCCTGGCATTTTGCAGCCTCTGCCTCTAAGTCAGTGGGCGCGGCTGAGCCCCGGACAGTCAGCACCGGGACTTTGGACCATGTTTTGTGTTTTATTAAAGTGCTTATCTCCCACTTGTATGTTTGGTCTGGAGTCAGGGTGGCCACAATGACAACTGCCACATTTAACACCTGATACAAACACCACACAGAGACACCACCTGCCATGGCTGCTGCACTGCTTCTCAATGTAGATCATTAGCCCGGAGGCTTCCAGGTGAACTCATTAGCTGGATCCCCAAACAAAATAAAATCCCAAGAAAAATATTCCCACTCGTCCCCCCACTGAAGACGTCGGAGAGGGCAGAACAGAATGTGGGCTTTTCGCAGGAGAACAGAAAACAAGCGGGACCTGTGTTCTGAGACTTCCCCGCCAGGTGTCTAGTTTTACATCATACGTAAGTTCACAGCCCAAATTTCCTGGCGTAGAGAAAATAATTTTATTTTATTGACTTTTTTTTTTTTGTAAAATATAGCATGTTACAAGTGGGCCCCTAGCTAGGGCTTAGAAGTATGTTTGCTATTCTTGCCTTCGAGTCTATTAATGTCAACTGAGAACTGTAAATCAAAATGATAAAAAATGAAACTCTGACTAGGGGAACTCTTAAGTCATAAAAAACATTAATCTTGTTTGGGCTAAATGCAACCAACTTAAATCTATAAAAAAAAGTCTCTGTTTGAAAGGCTGAACTTCAGGAAATAAAGAGACATTTGGAATCATCTTAATTTTCTGTTCTTGTTGAGAAGATGGGAAGATGCAACCATCTCATGACACCGGCTCCGAATCTCACTTCCCCAGGACGAAAAGGTCACCTTCTCAGGTCTCCCTGAGGGGAACCGGGTGGGCCGCCCTCACAGAAGCCACTCAGCCACCTACCTGCCGCTCTGCACTGTCTGGGGAAGAACTGGCGAACTCTTCAGCTTGAACGCGGCTGAGAAATCCGCCTTCAGAACTCCCTAAGACTGATGAGCTTCTGTCTAAAAAGCAAAAAGTTAAATTTAAAGGGACAGAGCATATACATTGTGGAAATATCATTATCCTACTGCGATTGCTAAATCCAATTGAAGTGAATGGATGCACAGCTTCCCTCTTGTTCATGAGATCACTATACACATGTCAGGTCAGTTCAACAACAAGTGATCCTGTAAGAACATTAATTCTTTCATGAATACACTCAGTCAGTATTTCTTGGGCATCACTCTCTCTCGAGTATTCTGATGGATCAGGAGATTCACGGATGGAAAGGCACTGCCTCGGCCCTGAAGCTGCTCATGGTTCTGCAGGAGGCAGACACAGGAGAGAAAGGCCGGATCCCTGCACCACTGGCTTATGGGACCTATGAAGGGACAGGGGCTGTGGTGAAGGAGCATCACAGGCTTCCAGGAGAGCCCGGGATCCGGGGGGTCGTCCCCAGGATGGCATCACTGTCAGCTGAGATGATGCCTGGAGGTTGTGGAGGTTGTGCAAGACAAGGCCTCCAGTTCTGCCCGGCAGCAGCAAGTAACTAAAGTCTGGTCTGGGGGCCTGAAGAGGAGGGGGCAGCAGAAACAAGGTGGCCAGGCTGGTGCTGACCTGATGGGAAGGGCTTCCCCACCCCGTAGAGGAGCGCAGAGGGGACTGTGAGGGTACGCAGAGCCTGGGGTGGTCTGAAGCAGACAGATGGCACCAGTCTCACCTCTGTGAAGCTCCCTGCAGAGGCCATGAAGCAGTCTGGGGTGCAGGAGGCCCGGGGAGTGGACCCAGGAGGAAGACAGTGTCGGGTTTGGCCCTACAGGGCCACACAGGCCTGGGCCGAGGATGGGAAAGAGTCCAGGTGCCAGGCAGCCCAGGGCGAGTTGTGCCCACAGGCTTGGGCTGTGCTGTGCATAAGGACCACACCTGAGGCTCGGCCACCTCATGGGCTCCATTTCTTTAGGAAGACAGGTTCCTGCGGGGTTTGTGAAGCTGCTATGGTCATTTTCTGGCAGTAACGTGAGGAAGGAGTTCTTTCCCAACTCTACCAGGGGTACTGTTGGCTCCTCCCGGTGGGACCCCCAATGCAGAAAGCACCCACATCTGCATGGACAGAGCTGGGCTCAGGAAAGAGGCCGGGCAGGTGCCCGATGAGAGGGCGCTCCATCAGCGTGGCAGCAACGCCATGGGCGGGCAAACGGAGAAAAGGGAACAAAGCCCCCGAGTCCGCCCAGGCCCAGCCAGACGCCTTCAGCTGGGAGTGTACTCAGGGGAAGCGGCCGGTAGGATTCGGAATCTCCAGCCACGGCCCCTGGAGACCGGCATGTGGGCTGTGTGTGGGGTGGAGGGCTAGGGGTGTCGGCAAGACTCCCAGGTGAGGACCCAACCAGGGAATCGGACAAAAGTGGTCAGAAATTAGGCAGCTCCATGAAGGACATGTCCTTGCCGTAGTAAGATGTTCTGCTCACGCGTATCCACAAGAAAGCCCCCCACTTTACAGGAAGCATGGAAACAGGAGCCCCCTACCCTGCTCACCAGCAACTCCGGCTGCTGCCGTCTGCTCCTGCAGCGTGGCGGCCTGGGAAGCCTGCACTGGTGATTTTCTGCCACCGGAGTTTTGCAGACTTCGGGAAGATGGATGCATAATCTGGGGCAAAGACAGTCAGAGGCCTCCCTTGTCATAAGGTCCCTGCAGCCGGCAATGCCTCGAGCCCAAAGGCTGGGAGCACGAAGCCATCTTCAGCCATCCACAATTTCCAGCAAGACCCCAGGGCTCACCCAACAGCCCTGAGCTCAGCACTACAAGGTAGATCAATTCTTTTAAAGACTCTGCAGAAATATACCAATTACGGAGCTCGGGCAAGTAATTGATTTTTAAAACCCAATTCAAGTTGTTTGCTTTTTAAAACCCAATTCAATTTATTTGCTTTTATAGCATTAAAGACATGTCTGCAGAAATTCAAAGTTTTATCTATAGAAACATAATTAGGTTAATAAATTACTAGGTCTATTTCGAATAACAAATTGAGTACTCTTATGAGACCTAAGTGGAACTTCATCTGAATCTGAATTTTCCATGCTGCCAGTGTAGAGTGACCCAGGTTTCCGAGGTCACCTTTCCGTCTTCAGACACCTCCCGTCTTTCTGCACCGGGAGTCGGCCTTCCAGTGGGTGCTGGACTTCTGTCTTGACGTCTCCCGGGAGGACTTTTCTCTCTATCTTCCTGTGGTGGTGTTTTCCCCGAGTTAATTCTTTCTGTCTTTAAACTCATTGGCTGAAAATAAATGTGGTTGCATTAATAACCATCATATTATTTTAAAATGTTGAGCAACACATCACACCAGCTGCCACAGAATCTAGAGGATTCTACCCCCGCTTCCTACAGAAGGACACATGAGGCATCCACGCTCTCATTCCCCATTTTACAGCCACGCTCTTGAGGAATTCAGGGACGGTATGGCTGACATTGTAGAATAGTCAACAGTGAAATAAAGTACTTGAAACTCAATTCAAAAATGCATAATGAAAATAATGTTCTACCTTTTCTGCTGCTTAAAAATTCAGGGTTTGGAGGCGTGGATAAGCCACCCATTCAGTTATCTATTTACTCGTACATTGCCCAGCACGCGTGTGATTAACTCAGGTCAATGCAGAAGCGTGAGAGAAGTCCGTGTCTCACAGGAGGCTGGACCTATGCAGTCCGTCCTGGGACTTTCAATGTTTTGTACTCATAGGATCTGAAAGGACTATTTTCCTACTTGTGACAAATGCTTGGAGTAGATTTCTGATCTTCCTTCAGGGAATAAAGTGTTATCTGTTCAGCAGTTGCTTTGGGAAAGAAGCGAGGGGATAAATCATCTTCAGGAGTTGGGGGGCAGTCTTCTCCATCCACATCGACCCAGTATCAGTTGCTGGCTGAGGACTCACGAGATTTGCCCCCCGAGTGTGAGGGTGACACAAAGCTAGGATGGGAAGAGACACACTGGCCAGCAGAAGGTTCTAAAGAGGAGCTAATTTTAACAAGGAAAAATGTGTTGGAGACAAAATAGCATCCTGCACCGTGGCCCCCAAGCAAGTGGCACAGCCCCTGTTCAGAGGAGTCCACGCTGACAAGCAGCAGGTGCAAGACCGCAGTGCAGAAGCAGGGATCGTGGGAGGCTGCGAGCCCCCAGACGCACGGGCCATGGCATGTGGCGAGAGCGCCACGCGTATCACCTCCGTGGGTGGCACCCACGGAAACAAAGCCCCCGAGTCCACTCAGCCCCAGCCAGACATTTGCTGCCATGAGTGAGCTCAGAGGGAAGCAGCTGGCAGGACTTGGAATCTGCCCTACAGCAGGAAGTGCTGTGGTTTAGGATCTTGTTTGAAAGGCATGCACCCATGTCCTTGGAAAAACGCAGGACTCCGGGGAGCACCATGCTCACCCAGGGAGGTGAAACTGTGTGGTGAGGAGCTGATGGGATGTGTGTGTTTGGGTACAGAAGCTCTGCTGCTCTTTACAGACGATAAGCACGAAGGGTCACCTTTGGAGGAGCTAAGTGGTTAGATGACCATCTTTGTCCCAGGAGAGTCGCACTCTGACTCTTGCGGCCAGCGTATTTGGGCGTTGTCTCTTCATCAGCTGACAGAGGTGAAATTTTTCCAAAAGCAGGTTCCAATGCCTAAAAGACAAAATGCGGGGAAAATGTTCACATTTTCAAAGGTAAGATAAATTCAAATTTTAATAAAATCCAAAATAATTGGAATGTCCTAGAAAAAATTAGGGTACGAGGTGGGGGGACTTGGCCTGGGTTTTTCCCCTAACATGTTGATAAGAACAGAAACCCTCACCCAACGTTTGTGAAGGAAGCTTTGTGGAGCCCGTATTTGCTTTGTGTTTCTTATTGTGGTTCCTTGTTTCAAATTGATCACAGGATCCCAAAGGCTACAGAATGATCAATACCCAACATATCTTCCTTCAGGCTCATGTGTCTTCAACGGGGAATGTGGCAACGGAGGAGGAAAATGTGATGCTCCTTCTAGTGTTGTCTCTACAACTTGTCTAAGATTCGAAATGCAAATTCCCAACTTCCCCTGTTATCAGCAGACTGACCTGGAACAGCGTGATCCTGCAGGTGGGAGGAGGTGTGTTAGGTCTGGAATGTTTAATTATTCCCCGCTCTCCCCTCTGAGGAGGAGGAGGGAGTGAGAAGGGGAGAGGGTTGCTATGAACGAACCCTTAATACCAGATCCAGAGTGGCTCACCCACACAGCCGTGCCCGCGTTCCGAGGGTGCTCATGCCTCAGCCTTTTAGACGCTCAGTCCCTAAAACTGCGACTACACACAGATACACCTACGCAAATTTGAAGTGTGGAATTCACATATCCCGTCCTTTCTTCAAATCAGGTATGCTCTTGTGAGCATAGATCCTCTTCCTATAAATAGCCCCATGGTGACCAGTACAATGCACAGAATCAAAAAAAAAGTTTGGAAATTCCCCAAGCTCTAACCTCGAAATAAGAGAACAATGGAAGCTGTAGGGAGTGTGAAGACTGGACGAGACTTCATTGGCTCTTGGGGTTACTGTTACGGTAACATTTCGACCAACATACAATGACCCAAATGGGGCAGTAGATACTATTTTTTAGGAACTGGCATACAGTATATGCAGGGAAAAATCCCTGTGGGTCTTATGGGTTCTCCTCACAGAAGGTGGACAATCCCGGCCAGTATTTGTGGCAATTTCTCCCTCTCTACCTCTGACGGAGGAACAGCCTGCCCGGCTTCCACTCGTCGTTCGGCAGAAGGACTGGGCACTTTGCTGTGCTGAGAGGATAAACCCGCTTTCTTTCTGAGGCAGCAGAAGCCATCTCCACGGAAACAAAACTCTCGCAGAGCTCCCGAAGACTGGGAATGACTTCCAAGATTTCCCGTAATTTCTTGTAGAGGAATTTGTGGCTGTTCTTGCCATGCTGGGAGAACCGACCACAGAGCAGGCTCCTCTGGAATGTATTCTGTGGGTGCCTCTGTGTGTGTGTGCATGTGTGTGTGCACACGTGTGTGTTGTAATCACTGTGTCATATCGGAAACATTCCAAGTCCTGGAAGTACCGATTTAAAAGTTCACGCAATAAGTGCAGATAGGAAATGTTGGTACTTTTCTTAACCCACTGAGAAATATCCCCACTTACATTTGGAGGGTGTTCACGTGGTTCCGCGTGTCCTGACCTGTACATATAATTTTAATGATTCAAGTTGTTTACACCCATGTGCGGGAGACAGAACCCAGACAAGGCAGTGATAACACTGGCCACATTCACACTCTCTTAGGCTCGGTCTTTGAGCCGTGTGATCAAACTCGAAAGCTCAGTGTTCTATAAAGGCAGGTGGGTGCTGGGAGGCACCGACTATTTCAGCATGAGAATGCTGGTTCTTCCTTTGGGATAGAGCAGGGCGGTGATATGGGACGGGCGCAGGAAAGTCCTGGGTAGAGAAGGGCAGGTCCCTGGCTAGGGCTCCACCCCCGGGCCTGTGCCCAGGGACCTAGGCATTTCTGCTGTCGTGCCCAAATGTAGCATTTCCAAGACCACCCTGGCCTGCCACACTCCCATCTTGTGCCTGTGAAGACCCCGAGACCCTAGTGGGCAGAGACACAAGTGGCTGGCATCGAGAGGAACACACTGGCAGACATCAGCAAGCCATTGACTGTCAGAATGACAGGGAGATTGATCAGGGCAGTCAGAGGAGAGCCCGGCGGCTGGGCTGCCCAACTCCAGGTGAAAACCACCTTCCCACTCCATCTCGGTTCTGGCTCCCCTGTCTGCTGAGAGCTACCATCACCCAATAAAAAACCTTGCACCCATCCTCCAAGCCCACATGTGATCTGATTTTTCAGGTACACCGAGGCAGGAACCCAGGATACAGAAAGCCCTCCGTCCTAGTGATGTGCAGAGGGTCTAACTGAGCTGCTAAACACAAGCTGCCTACAGAGAGCTAAACTGAAAGAACGCCCTGTAACACACGCCCACTGGGGCTTCAGCTGTAAACATTCACCCCTAGACACTGCCGTGGGGTTGGAGCTGCACAGCTGCCCGTCTCTACGCTCCCCTAGAGGTTTGAGCTGTGGGACAATGAGCAAGCGAGCCACATCCCCTTCGCACACCCTGGGAGGGGGACAAGGGAACTTTTCCCGTTTCAACAGGTCTCTATCGCATTCTACACAGCTGTCCTAGAAGATGAACAGAAGGACACCGGGCCACTGAGCTGACTCTGGAGTCACCCTGGGTTCAAATCCCAGCTCCGCATTCTCCAACCCGTGGCCATGATGGAGTTAGTTATAGGATCCATTTCATAGGGTCGTCGTAGACAGTAAGATGGTAAAGCTCCCTACCTAGCCCATGTAAAGTCCACAGTAAGGGTTTGCTGCTGTTGTCCTGAGACATCATGGGATGTCTTAGAATTCTAGACGTGAGACGCGCAGCCTGGAGGCGGCTGTGCTTCTGTCTGCTGGAGCGTCAGGTGAGATGCCTGATGTATCCAGTTCTTTAATCTTTACTTGTGGGAAATGGAGCTGATGGAAAGATAGCAAGCCCTCCCACCACCTGGAACGTGAGAGATACCACGTCACCCAGCGACAAAGCCCACATCTTTACGGGGACGCTATTTTTACACGACGCAAATGATACAAAAACACAAATGCGCCTTTGGTACCAGAGTGTGTGATTCTCGCCCCGCGTGTGGGGACGCTGCGGGTTTCTTCCCGGCTTCCCACTGCTGCCGCTGCAGGCCTCTCAGCTCTTCTCGGAGCTCCCGGTTCTGCTTCCTCAAGGCATCCATATGACTCTGGAGTTTTCTGTGAATATCAGCCCACAGCGACTGCTGTCTCCCGAGCTCTTGGTGGAGGCTGGTGATCTGCTGCTGTAATGACTGTCATTGGGAAGAGAACACCAGGAAACCTCTCAGACGCCCAACCGGCACATTCATCTGCAAAATACTCAAGCCCCCTCTGAAGTGAGACCAACACTCTTTCTGGACAAAAGGACACCCGATGAGATAAACAGGACTACCGCAGCCTTTTTCTTTCTTTCTTTCTTTCTTTCTTTCTTTCTTTCTTTCTTTCTTTCTTTCTTTCTTTTTTAATTTTTATTTATTTTTATTTTTTTTTTTGGCAGAGTCTCACTCTGTCATCCAGGCTGGAGTGAAGTGGCATGATCTCACTTCACTGAAGCTTCAACTTCATGAGCTCAGGTGATCCTCCTGCCTCAGCTTCTGATGTAGCTGGGACTACAGGTGCGTGCCACCACACTTGGCTAATTTTGGTATTTTTAGTAGAGATGGGGTTTCACCAGACTGGTCTCAAACTCCTGGGCTCAAGTGATTCACCTGCCTCGGCCTCCCAAAGTGCTGGGATTACAGGTATAAGCTACCATGCCTGGCCACAGCTTTATTCTTATTAAGTAGTGTTTATTATGAGTTAGTCCATATAATATAACCAGATAAAGATGGTCAGTGAATTATGATTCTTTGTTAAAACACTACAGCAATAAGAGGCTGGCATTCTTTTTCCCTTCCTTGTTTTCTTTTTCTTTTTTTTTGTTTTTGTTTTTGTTTTTGTTTTTTGGAGGCAGGGTCAAGCTCTGTTGCTCAGATTGGAGTGCAGTGGCACAATCTCGGCTCACTGCAACCTCCACTTCCCAGGTTCAAGCAATTCTGGTGCCTCAGCCTCCTGAGTAGCTGTGATTACAGGTGCACGCCACCACACCTGGCTAATTTTTGTATTTTTAGTAGAGACGGGGTTTTGCCATGTTGGCTAGGCTGATCTCAAACACTGTGCTGGCATGGATGTATGGTCAACAGTTTAAAAATTATGGAAGCCACTGCATTTTCAACCTGACATGTTAGCCTTCCCGTGGCATCCTTCATTGGACCGTAGAGCCTCCAGCCTTGCTCTGAGAATAAGCGGGATCGTGATAAAGGTACAGCCCTGCACTGTGTGGCCCTGGCCACAGAGACCCATGGCACTTTCATGAGAGCAAGCACTGTCCAACAGGGTCCAGTGAGGAAGGTGGTTGCTGGGATGATGTGAGGCATGTCAACCTGATTTTCTTTAATGAAGTTTTTAAAGTCTGGTGCCTTCTCCTGGATTAGAAGAGAAAAGCTGGAATGTTAATATTTTCTTTAACTCTGTGTCCTGCCTCCCATCAACAAAGAGAGAAGGTTGCAGAGGGGAAAAGAGCCACGTGCCCCTCTGAGAGGAAGTTTAGCATCAGCGTCCCAGGGTGGCGCATTCCTACAGGGGTCTGGCGAGGGAAGTCCAATGACAGGCCTCAGGGACAGGAATCAGGGTCCCGCCTGGTGGGACTAACTCTATCCCCACAGAGATCAGCTCACCGGCATCTCCCCGGCATTGCTGTCCTCCCTGGGGACCTCGGCTGCTGCAGGTGTCTTCTCCATGGCAGCCCCAGCTCCCGGGCACGGGTCCTCTGGGTGGGTGCCCTCCTTGGGCTCCCTGGCCTCGAGCTGACCCTCCAGCATCCTGGTTGGGAAGGGAAGAGCTATGGCAATGCCTGAATGCAGCCCCCTACCCCGTCAGTGTGGGCTGAAGGCCCCAGCCTCAACCTAAGGGCGAGCAGAAACCACAGCCTCTCTTCTCCCCCGGGGTCCTGTACACATTCCCAAGCCCGAAGCTGACCAGGTGAAAGGACACCACAGAGGGAGGGACTGAGAGGTCCACACCTGGCTCTCCACCATCCTCCAAGAAAACACTTCAGCTCCTAGAAGATCAGCCTGACACCTAACACACTGTCACCATCCACAGATGGAGGGACTGAGCGGTCCACACCAGGCTCTCCACCATCCTCCATGGAAAACACTTCAGTTCCTAGAAGATCAGCCTGACACCTAACACACTGTCACCATCCACAGACGGAGGGACTGAGCGGTCCACACCTGGCTCTCCACCATCCTCCATGGAAAACACTTCAGTTCCTAGAAGATCAGCCTGACACCTAACACACTGTCACCATCCACAGACGGAGGGACTGAGCGGTCCACACCTGGCTCTCCATCATCCTCCGTGGAAAATGCTTTAGATCCTAGAAGATCAGCCTGACACCGAATGCACTCTGGTCATCCAGAGAAGGGTGTGAGCGGGGTGTGAGCCGGTGTGAGTGGGGTGTGAGCAGGTGTGAGGGGAATGTGAATGGGTGTGAGCAGATGTGAGCAGGATGGTCTCGGGGTGTGAGTGGGATGTGTGTGGATGGTCGCGTGCGGCCCTGAGGGAACTCTTAGCCCTTTAATCAGCAACACTGGATCAACACCCACTTGGAGGTGCACAGGCAGACCCCACACTGTGTTGAGTCGTGTTGAGTCTGAGTCTTGAACCATCGGGATGACATTTGTGAATTCATGGTGAAGACGTGGAAAGGAAACACCTTTTTATAGGTACAGCATTTATGCCAGTTCTAGGAAGCTCACAGCAATCAGAAAACTAAAACAAAAGAGAAAACGCAAAGCTTCCTGCAAGCCTGCAGGGTCCTCTCTGAAAGCCGCTCCCAACCCTGCCTCACCCTCTCGGTTTTAGGAAGCGAATGGCCCCCAACGAAACCCCAGCTGTTTATTCATAAACTTCTCACTGTATACAAACCTGAGAATGAACAGTTTAACCACAGTGATTGGAGAAATGCTGTTTAAAAGAGAGTCTCCTGATGAAGGCAAATCGAAGGTCAAGAGCAAGACCTACCAGTAACCGGATCCCTGGCTGTTCCTTCCCCGCGGGGATTGGGACAGTTTCTGTGGAAGTGGGCAAGGGTCCGCGGTCCTCACAGCCCTGAGAAAGCTTCTTCTTTCCCGCTCCTCCGAGGGGATACCCCAGTGTCCTCGGCCCCAAACTTGTGACCCCCTCAGTCTGGGGAAGACCCCTTCCCTCAGCCCCACTACCAGACCTCATCACCTCACCTGGTCCCCGCCAGTCACTTCTGCTGGGACCAGAACATCTGGGCCGTGTCCCCACAGCTGTCCCCAAGTCCTCCCGCCTCATCTCCAGAGACCAGAGAGCAGCCGACGGTTCCAACGGACTTTCTGTCTTAAAGGGGCATGAGCGTCCCACTCAGCATCACCACTGGACCAGCTCAGATAATAATTAAACATCCCAAACCCGCAATTCTAACATAGGAGCTCATTGTCAGTGGAGTCCATCCATCCACAAAGGACACTGGAGAGAGTCAAACTGCTCCTCCCCATTGACAAAAACCATGTGTTTAATATCAAGTCTTCAATACCCAACGTGTAGTAAGAGCTCATTTCTCTGAGCATACATTCTTGAAGAAATATAAACTCTCTTTGGATGTCAAATTATTTACTAGAAAAAACATTTTTATGAAGGGAAAATAATATATGTGAGTTTAAATAGGAGACAGGATTCAAATTTTCATCATTTCACAGAATGCATCTCCATCTGAATTGTCGTGTGATTTTTGTGATAGAGAAGAGAATGAGGCACAAGCGAGGGTCCATGTTCCTGTTAAGCCCTGGCCATCCTTCTCATCCACGGTGCTGCCTGTGGAGAGCACACCTGGGGCTCCCCTGAGGCTGCTTGTGCTGTGTGTCACTCGGATAGTTCCTCAAGCGACTCGCTTGCAATAGGCAGTAAACACCGACGTCGTGAATGAACGAAGAAACTACCACAAAGAGGAAACGAAGCACTTTTGTCCCTGCGCGTCATTCTAACCATGGATTGTGGGTCCTGAGGTGTGTGAGGGGCTGTGGTGTGTGTGTCCTGAGATGTGTGAGAGGCTGTATATGTGTCCTGAGATGTGTGAGGTGTTGTGTGTGTGTCCTGAGGTGTGTGAGGGTTGTGTGTGTCCTGAGGTGTGTGAGGTGTTGTGAGTCCTGAGGTATGTGAGGGGTTGTGTGTGTGTCCTGAGGTGTGTGAGGGTTGTGTGTATTCTGAGGTGCATGAGGGGTTGTGTGTGTCCTGAGGTGTGTGAGATGTTGTGTGTGTGTCCTGAGGTGTGTGAGAGGTTGTGTGTGTCCTGAGGTGTGTGAAAGTTGTGTGTGTCCTGAGGTGTGTGAGGGTTGTGTGTGTGTGTCCTGAGGTGTGTGAGGTGTTAAGTTGTGTGTGTCCTGAGGTGTGTGAGGTGTTAAGTTGTGTGTGTCCTGAGGTGTGTGAGGGTTGTGTGTGTGTCCTGAGGTGTGTGAGGGTTGTGTGTCCTGAGGTGTGAGAGGGTTGTGTGTGTGTCCTGAGGTGTGTGAGGGGTTATGTGTGTCCTGAGGTGTGTGAGGGTTGTGTGTGTGTCCTGAAGTGTGTGAGGTGTTGTGTGTGTGTCCTGAGGCGTGTGAGGGTTGTGCGTTTCTTGAGGTATGTGAGGGTTGTGTGTGTCCTGAGGTGTGTGAGGGTTGTGTGTGTTTCCTGAGGTGTGTGAGGGTTGTGTGTATTTCCTGAGGTGTGTGAGGGTTATGTGTGTATTTCCTGAGGTGTGTGAGGGTTATGTGTGTGTCCTGAGGTGTGTGAGAGTTGTGTGTGTGTCCTGAGGTGTGTGAGGGTTGTGTGTGTGTCCTGAGGTGTGTGAGGTGTTGTGTGTGTGTCCTGAGGTGTGTGAGGGTTGTGTTTGTTTCTTTGCTCCTCTCAGGTTCCACCCGGTTTTTGTTCGAGGGGTGAGAGTGGCCGGCCCCCTCCCCTCTCCATGGGGCAGGCAGCTTCCATCCCCATCTTCATGGTGTCTCCTTCCTCCAGAGACTCCGCCATCCCTGGGAAACCCTGGGGGTCTCTCTGCCCAGGCCTCACAGCACCCTGAGTTTGACCCAGCTGGAAGTTGTGATGTCCTCGAGTTTCTGGAAGCTTTTCTCAGTCATCTCTACAAGTTGGGGAATGAGGGCCCAGTGTCTCATGTCCATTTCCACAGAGTTTTATTTGTTTTCCCGAGGATGTGTGAGCTCAGACCTGTCCATCTCGCCATCAAAGCAGGTCCACCCACATGTTTTCATCACCAGCCATCATCGATGGGTTTCAGGCTTCGCAGCTCCCCTCCTGAGCCTCAGCCGGGGTGGCTCCCAGGGCAGGCTCCCCGCATCCCTCTCTGTGCTGCGGGTCTCTGTGGGCTGCTCTTCCCGGCCCGGCCAGGCCATTTTCTTGGCTGCATCTTCCCCAGATTCTCGTCCTGCAGCAAACACTCGTGGCCGCGGGTCAGGTCGGAGCCTCCTGGGCGTTTGGACTATGGGGCCCTTCCCTTCTCTCTGATAAGGCCCCCGTTTTCTGTTCAGCCTGGTGGTGCCTTAGCCGCGTTTCAGGCACAGTCTTCCAGGGGCCTTCTGGTTTGAACATTCTGCAGAGGAAAGCACAGCACATCTTTTCACTCATCTTTTAAAGTCAGAAGCCAGTTCCAGAGTCGGCTGCTTGGAGTAGCAGCAGATACACTTTTTAAAGTAGCTTAGCTGTTTAAATTTCTGGTTCAAAGGACTACTTCGATAGTGGTACAGACCCCTGACAAAAGAAATCACCTTTTGTAAATGTCATCACTGCAAATGAGCAATGTGATGGGGAACTAGTGAGATGCCATTGAGACTGGAACCCACCCCACTGGAGGCAGCTGAGCGAATTCGTGGATGACTAAATGTCGGAATACTAAGTTAGGAGAGGGGTGCGTGTCATCCAAGGAATGACGTGCGCTCACACTGTGCCTCAAGTGACACAGATCATAGTAGATTCCAGCGGAACACTTGCAGCTGTGTTGAGTTCCTCAAACTACCACAAAACTCGTATGGTAAAACTTGTGAGAGGTGGAGATAAGAGAGTGTGAGCCCTGTGATGGAATCCAAATATGAATTGTAAAACATGCCTTAATACTATCACCAGTAGCTGTAGCGTACAATGATAGAACAAAAAGAGAAGGATTTTCTAGTCATTTTCTAGTTGTTCCCTCAGTGGTGCATTTTAGCACTCCCCAAACTCCACGTTTCTTTTGGATTTTATGAGCTGAGTCTGAATGTTATAAGTGACACACTCGTTTTTTTTTTCTTGCGAGACAGGGTTTTGCTCTGTTGCCCAGGCTGGAGTGCAGTGGTGCTATCTCGGCTCACTGCAACCTTGACCTCTTAGGCTCAAGCAATCCTCCCATCTCAGCCTCCCTAATAGCTAGAACTACAGGTTCACACCACCACACCCAGCTAATTTTTGAATTTTTTGTAGAGACAGGTCTCGCTATGTTGCACTAGCTGGTCTCAAACTTCTGGATTCAAGCGATCCACCTGCCTCAGCCTCTTAAGTGCTGGGATTACACACTTTTCAAGCATTTTCTCTGTACAATATTTTGTAAAAATTGAGAATAAGGAAAGACATTGCCCCTCTAAGCAAGGTGGTAAGGCAACATATAAAAACTACTCAATCCACAATAGTGAGTGCTTCCATTAATTACATTCTAAAGTTTTTTTGTTTAAAATGAATTGGGGGAGTACATTATGCTCCTCAAGATAATGAATGGAGAAAAATGTCCAATGATTGCTAGCCATTCCGATAATGTATTTACTCTATGTTGTGTTATTTTGTTTTTGCAGTAGGACACAAGTGATTAGAAAGGATATCACATAGTCAGTGACCAGCTGAGACTGAGTACGGACAGGGGAAGAAGCTAACTTAGACCTAAAGGGACCTGGGATCAGGAGACATTTCTAGATAAGCCCCTCAGCCAGATAACATCAACCCATGACTTCCAATACCAATGCTGAAGAGGCCACAGAGGAGAGAGAATCTTAAAACATTTTTAATATCTGAAAGTTCTTGTATTTCAAGAAGTGGAAAGTTTCTTGATATGTGTATGAAGGTCAAGATTGAGATAGTGATACTGAGGGTGGGATGATACCACACTGAGGCTGGGAGTTTTATTTCTTTCAAATCTTTCTGTAGGTATATCTCTGTGGATTCCTACCACTTCTAAACCATAGTTACAAGGCCAATAAATACATAGAACAATGTTCCTACTGCTCGTGAGCATGATGCTCTTCCTAATAGCTCTATCGGAACCCTTTATTGCTCATGACCTTGTGTTCATATCATGCTATCTGATTATTCATCATTTTTCCTGGATCTGCTTGATATGAAATGTGGATACAGCTATGTTTGAAGAAACATGTTATAGGAAAAGAAACTCCGACCTCAGAATCTGAGGATTTGTATAATTTGGCCTTTACACAAAAGAATTATGTAATCTGGGGCAAGTCCCTTAATACAGTATTTGAACTTAATTTTATTGCCCTTTCTAGGTCTAAACTCTCAGCTGTGAGTACTAATTTGTGGCATGATGGTGAGGTGAAATGACAGAGGCTCATGGCACGTCATTGCAGAATATCCACTAGAATTTCACAAGTCACCAGTCATGGATTTCAGGATCTGACTGCTTGTCATCTTGGGAGACATCAGGATCTGACTGCTTGTCTTCATGGGAGACTTCAGGTACAGCTTAACAATTAGCTAAGGGGTTCCTCTGACAGACACCTATAATTGCTGCTTTAGCTAAAAGCCCCCATGAAAGACACAGGTTTACTGCATCATATGAACCTGTGGTAAATATTCTGTGACCTGATACTTACCCAGTCAGAGCTCTGTTAGACAGAACTAAATAGTTGCAAGAAAAATGAAAACTAATGCTCATAATAGTAGTCTTGAAATACTACAAAATCATGGGACTTTTGAGTCATCAGTGAAAGTAAAAGCTTAATTCAACATGTTTCTATTCTGTTCCTTATTATTTTCTAATTCATTAACTGTAAACTAATCAACAACCTCCAGTGCCTAGCACTGTGCAGCCATTGCAAGGCTTAAAGACGAGTGTGAGACGTGGTCCCAGGTGCCTGAGAAGTCAGTGCATAGTGAGAGAGAGGAAGAGACTGTACTAGGACAATTATCATGAGAACAGCACCAAAGGGGAAATCTGCCCCCGTGATCCAATCATCTCCTACCAGGACCCTCCTCCAACATTGGGGATTACAATTCGACATGAGATTTGGGCGGGAACACAAATCCAAACCATATCATTGCTAACCCCCTGCTCACCTCTCCTCCAGGTTCTGAGTTCCTGAATGTATCCTCCGTCTACAGGAGAGAGGGGGCTCTGGTCCTGACTTGGCTTCCTCCTGTCTTTGCTGATGGAAGCTGGGTTTTGATGAGAAACTTCTCCTGGCATGCTAAGGTCTACTCACAGCAAATGTAAAGTCTTAGAGGTCGAAGGCCTTGATAACTGCCTTTCCTGACCTTGCACTGTTTCTAGTGAGTTTAATTTAATACAAAGCAAAACAAGTTTGATGATAGCCTCTGGCTGACTGCTGGAACCCACCACGCACAGGAATTCATGACTGAGTGACAGCAGGAGCACTTCCCTCATCACACATGATGCGCAGGCCACCCAGCGAGGCACTTCATCTCCAGGTTGACAGTTCCTGGCTGACTCGGGTCTGCCACCTGGAAGAGCGTCTGTAATTCTGTATTGTGGAACAGAAAACAATGTGCAGAATACATTCTTTAAAACAGAAGTACAAAGTACTTGGAGGCACCTTTATCATATTCCACATCCTCAACTTTATTTGCTTTTTTCTTCTCTTCCATAGATCTTCCTATTTCTGCATCATGATGAGAGTGTTTTAATTTTTATAACTGAAGAGTACACTTTAGTATCTCATTTTAAATGATGGTGTTCCATACTTTTACTTCTTCTTCCAAAAAACAATTACAGAAATTTCTTCAAGTTCTAAGAAAAATACTGTCTTTCCTTTTCCCAGTATGTTCTCTATACCCATAGGTATCCTTCAAATACTGCCTAAGACATTCCCTATTGAGAAGGCCCCAGCCAGCTAGCTGTTCCCAGTGCTCCTGCCTCCACGCTCACGGACTGTGGGTCCCGGCAGAATGTGGCTCCATGGACAGAGGGTCTCTGCTTCATACCCCGCTGCACCCCCAGGGCCAGAGAGGTGCTTGCATGGAGGAGCTATTCAATACGTTTAGTTGAATGAACAAGCAAATGAATGAACAAAATATTGTTTAAAGTATCCATGTTACACCAAAAATATAATGCAATTTTCTGATGTCTTAAATCAAATTCTCCAGTGGCAATAAACATAACAAAAACTCACCTTTTTAAACCTAGTCTTATTTTTCACTGATAATGTGCTGTCACTTTTACTTCTCTTTATAGCTTCCTGTTGGAATGTCCACGTTGGAAGATCTACGTAGGGGTTTTCCATCATTTTAAGCTTAAAACACTATGTTTATGTTAACCCTGTTGAAATAAAACTGAAAAAAAAAAAGCTGTTTTTACTAACAAGCGCATTTGCACATTTCATGTTTCAACAGTGTTGGGTCCCAATACAATTATTCAACTTTCATTAAAATTTTATTTTGTAGGACTAAAATTTTTTCTATAACAATATAATTATGTTCAAAATGACTTCTTATACATGAAATGCTGATTTCATTAGTAACTCATTTCTTTGATGGTCTTCACATTGTAGAAATATTAAGAGGCTGCTAAAATTATTTTATTCCAAACTATACATGTAACTGCCTTATGGGTTCCTCCTGCTCACTGCATGAAGACCATGGCATTGCAGTAAAAAAAGAGTTTAATTGACACAAGGCCCCCGACGCCATGCGAGAGACAGAGTTATTCCTCAAATCAGTCTCACGGAAAGCTCAGAGGTGACGGGTTTTTCAAAGGTAGTTTGCTGGGAAGGGGTGGGGTAGCTAGGCCACGGGGACTTGCTGCTGCCTGGGGGGTGCAGTCATAGGCATGTGGGAAAGGGTCCTCCTGTGTACTCAGTCACTTCTGGGTGGGGTCACAGGAGCTGTTGCCGGGTTGAGGCTCCGATCCAGGTGGAGCCAGGCGGAGGCATCTGTGTCACACATGCAGAAAAACTTAAAACAATATCTCAAAAGGACAATCTTAGGTTCTACAACAGTGATGTTACCTGAGGAGTAACTGGGGAAGTTGCACACCTTGTGACCTCCAGAATCACTCACGTCTACACCTTAGCAGAATTCAGACTCCTCCCCTCCCCTAGCCTGGTGGTCTCTCATTAGCTTTACAAAGGTCGTTGAGCTTTGGGGAAGGGCTATTATCATTTCAATTACAAACTATTTATCTCCCAAAGCTAGCCCAGCCTGAGCCCAGGAATAATTAAGGCAGCGTGAAAGCTAAAGGCCAGAAGGGGGCTGGCTAGATCAAGATCTCCCCCAGTCACAATTTTCTCACTGATTTAATTTTTGCCAAGGTAGTTTCAGAAACTCAAACATGTGCTCAGGACCATCACAGGCCTCGCAACTTCTAACTTCCGAGATTGTACATTGCCTCTGACCACTCCCAGCTTCTCTTTCTACAATGATTCCTTTTTTTTTTTTTTTTTTTTGGAAATGACCATAGCTCCTTTCTCCTGAAGCTCAATTTCCCTGTGGCTGGAGGTGAAAATAAGACAAGAGAAATGAGGTGTTAGCACGATCTGGACCTGGGAGGGGAGCCAGGTTTAGGAAAATCAGGTGTCCCTGAAGTAAGAGGAAACTGTGACATTACAGAGATGGACGATGGTTTGGATATGAGAGCAAGACAAGAAAATGAAATGCAATGAACTTGTGAGAGTCGACAAGAAAGTTACTGACTGTGGTTGAAAAAAATGGGGAGCCCTTCCAGCTCGCTATAAATATCTCACAACTGGGTGTCAGTCCAAACTGCACCATTTGGTAAGCTCCCTGCTATTTTGCAGACCTTCGTCAAAGTGAAACATTTCACAGGGATTTGGGCCGTGAGAAGCATCCTGCGTAACCACCTGACCACAAGGTGGACAAAGGCCGACTGAGGAAACAGCACGCCTCTTATCATGTTCTTCTGGGAGAAAGTGCAAGGAGCACCACATTCCACCCGAACAAGGGTCAGAAGTGCCTCATCATGGGAACATCTGCTCAATATCCTGCCGGGCGCACGCCATAGTGCCCATACCCCTCCTGCCCATACATTTACATTGCCCCAGCCTGTAAGCCCGCAGTGGGCACTGGCATTGGGCTGGTCCCCCACTTCTTTTGGTTTTATGCTGGACGTAAAGCCTGCGTTTGCTGTCAAGCCACCCTCTTTCTATGTATGTGTCTTTCTTTAACCCTCCCCTTTCCTTCAAAATCTAACACTGGTCACACACAGTGGGCAGTCCCCTCTGCCCAACTGGACCTTCCCTGCCCAGAGCTTCCCCCATCCCTCAGCCCCTTAGCTGACTTCTCTTCACTCTCCTCTCTCCATGACACCTCTCTCATGACACCCACCCCCACTGCAGATGCACCTTCTAGCTAATTGTATCATATTGTTCTCTACAAGTCTGTTCCCACATTCATCTTCCCCACTAGAACATAAGCCCCTTAAAGTCAGAGTGTGCTATTGTCAGAGGCATTTGAACCAGAGCAACTCCATCTTGAATAGGGGCTGGGGAAAATAAGGCTGAGACCTACTGGACTGCATTCCCAGATGGTTAGGCATTCTTAGTCACAGGATGGGATAGGACGTCAGCACAAGGTACAGGCCGCAAAGACCTTGCTGATAAACGGATGTGGTAAAGAAGCTGGCCGAAACCTACCAAACCAAGATGGTAACAAAAGTGAGCTCTGCTCATCCTCACTATTCATTATGCGCTCATTATAATGCATTAGCATGCTAAAAAGACACTCCCACCAGCACTGTGAGTTTACAAATGCCATGGCAACATCAGGAAGTTACCCCATATGGTCTAAAAAGGGGAGGAACCCTCAGTTTCAGGAATTATCCACCCCTTTTTCAGGAAAATCATGAATAATCCACCCCTTGTTTAGCATACAATCAAGAAATAATCATAAAAATAGCCAACTAGCAGGCCTTGGGCCTGCTCTGCCTATGGAGTAGCCATTCTTTACTTTCTTAATAAACTTGCTTTCACTTTACTCTATGAATTCATCATGAATACTTTCCTGCACAAGGTCCAAGAACCCTTTCTTGGGGTCCGGATCAGGACCACTTTCTAGTAACACTATAAGCATTTGTATCCTCAGTATAAAATGAGTAACACTCATTGTGTTCTAAATTTGTTGAATAAATAAGAAAAGAGCTAAACTTTTCCCAAAAGGCAAAGTTAAAGAGGTCCGATCTTGGCCCTCAGTAGCCAGGAGGTCACCTCCCAGGCTTTAGGATATCATGCCCAATGGGGATGTCTTTGTTTGCCTGGGGACCCTCAGCCAGACAGACAGTAATAATGTGGTTTAGGGTGAGGGCTTTGGTCCTGCAGCTGTAGCTCAGCCCCCAGAGCAGCTAGAGACT
Organism: Homo sapiens; assembly: GCF_000001405.40. NCBI lineage: Eukaryota > Metazoa > Chordata > Mammalia > Primates > Hominidae > Homo > Homo sapiens. Next base: position 167,161,369 of record NC_000006.12, on the reverse strand, counting down.
AAACACAGCCTCACAGATGGCCAGCTATGCCTGGGTGAGGTACTCCAATAAAGACTCTGGATGAGGAGACCCAGGTGAGCTTCCCGGTGTGGCAGTGGTCTGGGCACTGTCATCCATCGATACTGAGAAAGTAACACTGTCCTGACTCACAGCAAAAGGACAATGGGAGCCCCACGCTTACAATTTTCCTGGTCTCTGTCCCATGCACCTCTTCCCTTGGCTGATTTTAACCTGTGTCTTTTCACTGTAAAAAATGATATAGCTATGAAAGTAACAGCTTCCTGTGAGTTCTGTAAGTCCTTCTAGAGAATTATCTAACCTGAGAGTGGTCTTGGGGACCTCCAAACTTTAAGTTAATGTCAGGCAGAAGGTGGTCTTGTGGGAATTGTACTGTCTCCCTAGACTTCACGGCGGGCTAACTTTGCAATAAGTAGCAGGAGAATCTAAGTCTGAGTATTCATTCAGTCTTTATGAATAACCATCTTTCTGATTATTGTAAGATATAACAGAAAAATTAGAAAGGAAAAATGCAGAGAATTAAATTTCTGTATCTGAGTCTGGTGGCACACACCTGTAGTCTTAAGTACTCAGAAGGATCCCTTGAGCCTAGGAGTTGGAGATTACAGTGAGCTATGATACTGCCACTGCACTCCAGTCTGGGCAACAGAACAAGACCTTGTCTCTAAAAAAACAAACAAACAAAAAACCTTTAAATGTATGTTTAAATGTATGTGTGGGTTTAAGCAATAATTCAGTTTTCATTTAAAGTTAGGCACACGTGTAAATAAAATACACAGCATAAAAATTGAAATGAACACAGAGAAGTTTCCTAAACAAGTAGAGTATTGAAGAAATAGTAGTAATGACTGAAAATAGTCTCTAGGGGTGATAAGGTTTAATAAATCAAGATCCCTAAGGGAGAAGCTCAAATACTATAACTTTAAAAGAGATGGTCTGAAAAACAATTCAATGTCTTTCAGAAGTGAAAAAGATGAATCAAAGTACTTTAAAAAGGGGCAGAAGTTTTTAAAAAGGAAAATACGTAATTATTAATGTTCACATGCCAGTTGAGCTAAAATATTTATAATTTAGGAAGTTATTGGTGGTATAAACTGAAATCTGAAATTAAGGAGTAGCTTTTAAGGTCTGTTAAAGTTTTTAGTGTGTTGCAAGAAAGATATTTCAATCCATTTCTTTCCTGCATTTATGAAACTTTAATCACTAAAGAGTTGAATTTGCTGCCAGCTTTTCTGAGGGTCATTGTGTGCCTGACAACATTCGTCCAAATGAGACTAACTACACCACCCACAGGTCAGCGTTGTGCTCTATCCTCTTGTTCCCCAGGAACAATGTCGTAATGAACATGCAACCAGAGATCCTCATTCATAGAAGGTGTCACTGTGCAGAGACTAGTTGGGACATTTCCACAATTCCAGATGCTTGGAGGACTCTCCAAATTCACCTCCTTAGAAAACAAAAAGGCATGCGGACTTGTATGACATAGAAATGGGATGATATGTGGGCTGGTAGTCCCATTTTTAAAAATAATGGAATAATGAAAGCAAGAAGAATGCAAGTCAAATTACCTTGATATCATACAAATCACAGCCCTATGGGACTTGAAAAAGAGTGAAGCCTGACCATTAGCCATAGGACTATAGGGAAGCTGTGAATCCAGTTCTGGTTGAAATTTGGGCTGGGAGGGTCCTGGTCCCACCACTTACCTGCCTGTGACCTTGAGCAAATTACCTAATCTTACCATGCCTCCATTTCTTTACTCATAAAATAGAGCTTAACATTGTACCTACTTCATCTCACTATTGTACGGTTCATTGAAATAACTTAGGCCAGCACTAACAATGACTGACACGCAATGAACATGCAGTATACTTTAGTAATAATAATTATTAAAGCCTTAAACTTGGATACTATAATTGAAGGCATCAAAACACCATAGAACGGATATTTAGTACAAAAGTGTTTTATCGCGTTAAGAGATAACGAATAGTTTTTTAAAGCCTATGCATCAGAGAGGCTTAATAAATACTCTAGTAAAAGCATCAAGCTCTCACAACACCCAGACATGGCGCTAAGTGCTTTACCTGTAATAGTACCTTGACTACTCAAAAGAACTCTTCAAGAAGGTGTTACCATCTTCACCTCTCAAGTGAAGAGCCTGGAGTTCAGAGAAGTTAATTTGCTTTCCCAAAACCACACTGCTAATAAATGGAGAAACAAAAAATTATAACTAAAGTTTACTTAACTCCAAAATTCAAACCAGGCTGAATGGACCCAAGATAAATTAGAGTCAACAGTGGGAGAGGACCAACTTAAATTAGAGTCAATATGGGTAAGACCTATGATGAAGTAGGGTCACCAGTTGGTAAGGATCAAGATGAAGTAGGATCAAGAATGGTTAGGACTGAGATAAATTAGGATCATCAGTGGGTAAGAACCAAGATGCAGTAAGGTCAAAAGTGGGAAAAGATCAAGATGAAGTAGGGTCAACGTTGAGTGAAGACCAGGATGAATTAGGGTCAATAGTGGGTAAGGACCAAGGTAAATTAGGGTCAACATTGGGTGAGAACCAAGTATAATAGGGTCATTGATGGGTAAGGACTGAGATGTATTAGGGTCATCAGAGGGTAATGATGACTGCACACGTTTATTCATCAAAGAAATGCTTGTTGATAATGCTGTGTGCCAGGCATTGTCTGTCACTAGCGACACATGGATATATGGAGTATGTCCCTGGCTGATGAACCTAACTTTCTAGTGGATTCTACGCATTTTTACAAGCCATTGATTTTTCCATGCTTCCAGGGCCCACTCCAGGCCCTGCTGGTCCAGATCCCAATCCAAGTGGTGTACTAGGTAGGAAAGACTCCAGCAGAGAAAATAAAATAAATTTGTATTTAACAAAACACAAGTACAAGTGAAACCATCAGCTATGGAATGAGCAGGTTGTCTCAAATCCCCTTTCAAGTTTAAGTGTGGGGACCACATCTGACCAGTGTGTAAAATCAAGCCCCATGCAGAAGGATCCCAGCAAGCGTCCTTTATGTATGAAAAGGAAGAAGAAAATTTCCCCATGAAACATATTCAAAGTAGAGAACAATCTTTTTGATTCCATTGTTATTTTAATTGTATACAGACATAGGAGTCTTTGCATAATTAGACTTTTCCTTCTTTCAGGACTGTGGATGCAAAGCCCTGGACCCCCAGACGTTATAGGACATTACTCCTCAGCTTTGCAGCCCGGTGATGTGAAGCGAAACACCATTTCCCCTTTTTTATGGCGGAAGAAAACAGAACACAACTGCAAAGGGGCTTTTCCCTCCCCTGCTCATCCTCTTTCCCCAAATGAATTTTGGTTTGCTGTGGACTCTATTCTGCTGAGGAACTGTTCTTGTTGGGCAAATGTAGATCTTGTCTACTCTGTGGCAGGAAAAGGCCTTTTCTTTCATTTTGTAAGAAAGAGCACAGAGTTCCTCCTGTACCTGCTCCAGCTGTGCCTGCAGCCCCTCACGGCCGGGTGATGCCATTCCCAAACTGCTCAGCCCCCAGCACTGTGGTGGCCACAGCTGTGGGTGTCTTGCTGGGGCTGGAGTGTGGGCTGGGTCTGCTGGGCAACGCGGTGGCGCTGTGGACCTTCCTGTTCCGGGTCAGGGTGTGGAAGCCGTACGCTGTCTACCTGCTCAACCTGGCCCTGGCTGACCTGCTGTTGGCTGCGTGCCTGCCTTTCCTGGCCGCCTTCTACCTGAGCCTCCAGGCTTGGCATCTGGGCCGTGTGGGCTGCTGGGCCCTGCACTTCCTGCTGGACCTCAGCCGCAGCGTGGGGATGGCCTTCCTGGCCGCCGTGGCTTTGGACCGGTACCTCCGTGTGGTCCACCCTCGGCTTAAGGTCAACCTGCTGTCTCCTCAGGCGGCCCTGGGGGTCTCGGGCCTCGTCTGGCTCCTGATGGTCGCCCTCACCTGCCCGGGCTTGCTCATCTCTGAGGCCGCCCAGAACTCCACCAGGTGCCACAGTTTCTACTCCAGGGCAGACGGCTCCTTCAGCATCATCTGGCAGGAAGCACTCTCCTGCCTTCAGTTTGTCCTCCCCTTTGGCCTCATCGTGTTCTGCAATGCAGGCATCATCAGGGCTCTCCAGAAAAGACTCCGGGAGCCTGAGAAACAGCCCAAGCTTCAGCGGGCCCAGGCACTGGTCACCTTGGTGGTGGTGCTGTTTGCTCTGTGCTTTCTGCCCTGCTTCCTGGCCAGAGTCCTGATGCACATCTTCCAGAATCTGGGGAGCTGCAGGGCCCTTTGTGCAGTGGCTCATACCTCGGATGTCACGGGCAGCCTCACCTACCTGCACAGTGTGCTCAACCCCGTGGTATACTGCTTCTCCAGCCCCACCTTCAGGAGCTCCTATCGGAGGGTCTTCCACACCCTCCGAGGCAAAGGGCAGGCAGCAGAGCCCCCAGATTTCAACCCCAGAGACTCCTATTCCTGACAACAGCCAGCGTCCTCAACGCCCGTGTTTATGGAACTACCTGCGACCTAAATAATAATTACTCCTACTTTGGGATTCTGGAAGAAGAAGAAGTCTTAAGACTGCAATACAAGGATCAGAGCATAAACATGGGCACAGTTGCTGCAGGTGTGGTCTTATACTTTGTTGACCAGGGTGGTCCTCTGTGATTTTACCTTGTAGAGTGGCAAATCAAAATGAACAAGCTAGAACCTCCTCCTACCCAACTATGATGCAGATTCAGTTGCTGAACTGAAAAGTCGGGCAGCTACTCCATCTCCACACTTGAAGAAATGTAATTTGCTAAATCAGTGAAGGAAGAGAAGAAAGCCGGGTGATGGCATCTTTCCAACTCTTACTTGGTCTCAGCAAGTCATTTTCATTTATTATGCTTCAGTTTTAAATACAAAAAAAAAACTATGTTTTCTTCCCACCTGCTGTGCAGACTGGGGATGACCGACATCAGAAAGTGCCCTGGTTCTAAAAAGAGACTCTGCTGTATATAAGGTACTGTCGTACATGCTAGCCTTTATTTGGAACATAACATTTTTGTTTTCATAAAATTTTGCTTCATTTTTCTAGATTATACATTATGTTAAGGAAAATGTAGTGAGTTCCCTAGTTTACTGTAAGAAATGCTTTCCTGATACGTTTCTGGAATTTGCCTCTAGAGCTGTTTTTTAAGTTTGAATGTCTAAAAGGCTTTTGAAATGTACTTTGCTTCCCCCGATGTGAAAAAAAGGTCACAGAACTTTATGCCTCCTGCGAGAAGTGCACAATGTAAGCTATCACGTGGTGTTTGAAATGGTCATTTCCAACCCCGCTGGCACAGCTGGTGGACAATGGTGCTCGGGACATGCCAGGGCTCCATGGGCCACAGTGTGAAGGTGGGCAGGCGTCCAGCCCCAGCCTCTGGATGCCGTTACAACAGCTGCCATCTTTTCATCTCATTCCTTGTAAATTGTATTCCAAAACTGAGTCTCACGATGATGATAAAAGATTTTCAAAGTCACTTTCCTTGTTGCCTTATCTCTCATTCTCTGCTCAAACCTAAAAGTTTGCTTAGGGCCAAAAAGCAGTCACCACCATGCCCAGAGGAGGCGGGAGGCCTGCCTTGTCACGACATGGGCCTGGTGAGCTGCCCCTCAGCCTCCCTGGAGCTGCACTCATGTTATTCGTGTGCAGAAACTATTCTTTATCTCCTAACACGATAAAACACTTTTGTACTAAATATCAGTTCTGTGGTGTTTTGATGCCTTCAATTATCCCACAGGGGTGGTCCCAAGCTTTCTGTCAAATTCGAGGTCAAAAATGATGGCTCTAGGCAACAGAAAATGGCAAGTCTCCCATCTGCAGAGCTGACAGCCTGCCAGGGAGGTTCCTTATCAGAACCAAATTTGAAATGTGGGAGTGAGTTCCACCTGTTCTGCTAAGGAAGGGTGTAAAAATCTGCCCAACGAAAGGAGTATAATTTGGAATTCTACCAGCATTACTTTGCTACTGTCTGAGGTTTTATTTCCTCCTAAGTGAATAGAATTTCAAAGGGCTAAGAAGGGAACAGTGACCAGATAGTTGTGAAATGTCTGAATAAAATTCTTTAATGTGGACTCGTTCTACACTGTGCCTGTTTTCTTCCCTTGAAACAGAAAGGAAATATCTTCATTTTTCTTCCCCTGATCTTAATGCATATATAATTTTAAGTGCTGCTTTGAAAAACCTAACATTTGACAGAATCATTTTTCATATCATAATAAATGCCCCATAAGCATTCTTTGCATGGTTACACAATAGTCGACACTATGGGTGTTTCTTAACTGTTTTTCTGCTGTTGGATGTTGAGATCCATAACTCTCTGCACAGGTGGAATCCACACAGTGAAGTGGCATGGCCCCCTGACAGATGCCCTGTAGGAATAGACCCCCACAGGTGGGGACAGATGCCCTGTAGGAATAGACCCCCACAGGTGGGGACAGATGCCCTGTAGGAATAGGCTCCCACTGGAGGGATACAGCCCACCCCTCCACTCACAGGAAAAGCTCTGCAGTCCAGCACTGTGCGCGGGAATGTCATGGGGCTACAGACTCTCCCAAACCCCTTGATCTATGGCTTTTTCCCTGGGAATGCACTGTCTTTTCTCCAGGATACCACAACTTTCTGTACACTCTGCCTTCCCTGTGTGCATTTTTAGCCTGGCAAAATGCGCCTATATCTGGGGTGGTGTCAGCTCCACACCGCTGTCTCTCGAGTTCTTTCTGACATCTCCTGGGTGGAGCTGGCAGCCCTCCACTCTGCTCACAGGTGTGCCTGATGCAGCGCTGCAGGCCTGGGGGGTCCAGAGCTTTTAGGAAGCCCTGATACCTCGGCCAGCCCCGGGCGTTCTGGTTCAGTTGGCCTGGGGAGGAGCCTGGGCACTGGTAGGTCTGAAGTCCCCTCATTAATTCTATCAATGGGCAGTCAGGTCTAAGACTCGCCGGGTGAGTGGCTCAGGGCCTGGGCAACAACATCCTGCCCCATCACTTCTTAGCTCTGTGACCTGGGACAGAAGGGGACTTCTGTAAAATGGGGATAGTAAAATGTACCTCGTGGGATTATGGTGGGGATTAAGTAAAATAACACAAAACATTTAGCACAGTATGTCATAAGCATCAGTAAATACTAATTTGCTGTTTTTAAGTGATCACACAATTCTATTTTCATTGCTTACTTCCCCAACCAGATTGTGGGGGCTTTGGGGACATAGTTTTTCCCTCTGTATTCTCAACACAGAACCTGGCATGGGAAGGGTGTCTTATGAACTGGAAGTTGAAAAGTTCTGTTAAATCAAAGGTTGATTATCATTCTTCTTGTGTAGCAGATCCTTTTGGGATCTCCTATGGCTATTCTGTGTGCCTCATTTCGCTTCTCACATCTATGAAATGGGACTTTTCTTGTCCCTTGGGAGGCTGAGGATCACGCGAGTGGCCCCCACCTCCGGGGATGTTTCTCACGTGTCCAGCCCCATCTCATCAAAGGAGCATCCACAGCACTGCACATAGATGGGGTTTCTTCTTCAAAGAGATGAGATAACAAGGGTCTTATTCTTCTCCACGTTATTGTCTCTGAATAAGGAAATGACTCAAAAGGGAAGTGTGGACAGACGGTGAATGGCGAGTCTCAGGACCACGACTGTTTTGCTGCCAATAGCAAGTTCCAGTTTCTTTTCTCCCGTGACTCACTTGCTGTGATGAGGCAGGGGCACCATCATGTCTGAGAGTCATGCAAATCGGCACCGTCAGAATTCTGGCAGATCCAGGAAAGACAGCCAGGAGCTTCAGTTTCCACGGGAGTGATGAATTTCTTGTCCATACGGAGGCAATGCTATCAGCTGGGAAACTCCGTTAGTTGTTTCTCTTTCTAAAATCTACTGGGTGACAGCTAGAGAAAGCTCGTCCTCTGTCTTCTCATAATCATTTCTGCCAGTAATAAAATCAACACTTTCGGTTTATTTAAAGGTCAGGACAATAAAAGGACTCTGCATTTGCCTGTGAGCATGGCTGGGGACTGTGAAATGCATTTCGTGACTCCCAGGGGCTTCCAGAACATTCCACTAAGTACTTGTGAGGTCCTCAAATAATAGCCATCCTCATAATGCCTCTTTAGCGTGTGTGGTAAAAGATACATAAAATGTATCATTCTCATCATTTGTAAGTGCAATTCAGTGCCTTTAAGTACATCACACTGCTGTGCAACCACCACCACCGGCGACCGCCAGAACTCTCCTCGGCTGGTAAAACTGAAACTCTGCCCCATTATATAGCAACCCCCCACTTCCGTTTCCCCGGCCCCAGTCAACAACCACTCTACTTTCTCTCGCTATGGATTTGACCACTCTATGTTCCTCCTATGACTGGAAACCTATAGGATTTTCCTTTTATGGCTAGATTATTCTACTTAGCATGATATCCTCAAGGCTCACCCATGTGACGGCTTGTGTCAGAATTTCCTTTTTGTTGAAGGATGAATGATATTCCACTGCTTGCATACACCACATTTTGCTTATCCACGCATCCATGGGTTACATTCACCTTTTGGTTGTTGTAAATAGTGCTGTTGTGAACACAGGTGTACAAACATCTCTTGGAGACCTAGTTGAGTTCTTTTGCAGATATACCCAGGAGTGGAATTTCTGAATCATATGACAATTCAGTGTTTGATGTTGTGAGGAACTGCCATATTGTTTTCACAGCAGCTGCACTTTTTGCATTCCCACCAGCAGCACACAAGGGTTCCAGTTTCTTCATATCCTCACCAACACTTGTTCTTCTCCAGCTTGTTTGTCTGTTTTTATAGTAGCCATCCTAATGGATGTGCAGTGGAAAAGTGCTTCTTTGAAAATCAGGAAATGCTTAGTATCTTCAGAAACTAAGAAGAAATCTCTGTAGCTGGAACCTGGACACTACAACCAGGCCGACAATAAGTGTACGATGTGGCCACACCACACTCTAGTCCATGAGCTCACAGGCCATCTCCATTTTTAAGTCTTCTTTGTCACTGAAATCGCAGGTTAGAGGACAAGTGTATCCAGGAATTCTGTCAGCATGACCGTGATCAGTGGCAGAGCGTCCTCGTGACAGCTCCATGTGCCATTGGATCATCTCCTCTCATGCCACCAAGCTCTGCAATTAGAACAGGAGCCTGAACCTCCCATTCCATCACACAGCTAAAGAGCAGCAGAGATAAGACTCAAACTGAAGGCCTACAGTCTTTAAGTCTAGGAAACTGCAGCATCTCCGCTCGTCTCATACTCCACATTTTGGTTTACGGTTCACTGGACTGGAAGCTTGTAGGCCCTCGGTTTGGGTCTTATCTCTGCTGCTCTTTAGCTGTGTGGTCTTGGGCACAACAACACATGATGTCTACTTTTTTACCTGAAAAAAAATGAAGATGGTTGCACCTTCTTCAAGGGACTGTGGGGACGGCTGAACAAGCACACAAAAGTGCCACTCAAAACCACCCAGGGGAATTCAGCTGCTTGCAGGCCAGACCCTGCCCGACATGCAGAGGAGTGATCAACGTTTCCCTCGGTGTAACTTAGAAGGCCACATTCTCCTCTCCACAAATGGCGCAAGATTTTTCAATAAAAGGGGGACCCTTAAAAAATATTGTGTGGTTTGTGGTGAGAAATCAAAAGTACAGTGAAAACAGAAGAGCGAAATACCTTCTCTTTTGTCTTCCTTGAGTAAGACCCTTTCTCCTGCCTTCCTCCCAGCATTGCAGCAATGCTGCTGTTACACAGAGAGCCCAGCCCTCTTGTTTTCTTCTTTCTCTGCAGGTAATGCTCCCTTACTCCTTCACTCTCTGACATTTCAAAACCCAGTTCAGCTAATGACCTTCCTTTACAAGAATGTGACAGGCACTCCTATACGGCCCTGGCTGTTTTATCTTCGCTTCCTCATAATCAGCCTGCTGTGATTTGAATGTCCTCTCCAAAACTCAAGGTGAAACTTAATTGTCATTCTAAGAGGGCAGGAGGTGAGGCCTTTAGGAAGTGATTAGGTCATGGAGCCCCACCCACATGAATAAATGGGTTAGTTATAGCAAGAATGGGTTGTTATAAACTGAGCCTGGCCCCTTGTGCTTTCTCTTTCACAAACACTTGCTTGCCCTTCTACTCTTCCACTGTGAGATAACATAGTAAGAAGGCCCTCACGAGATGCAGCTGCCGATCCTGGACTTCTCGGCCTCTAGAACCATGAGCTAAATCAACCTCCATTATTTATAAATTACCCTGTCTGTGGTATTCAGTTGCAGCAAGAGAAAACTGACTCATACTCTGACACACTTTTCCATAAATCAGACACATGGTTCAAGAGCGTAGACAGTCTACACTCACACACCCAGTGTATGCCTGCTTCCATAAGTCAGCACAGCCAAAATGCAAAAAGCCCCAATGTAGTTGTATAATAAGTAGTTCTTGTTGACAAAACCTGTGAGGTAAGCAAGGAAGGTATCAATATCCTCATTTATAGATCAGAAAACTGATACTCCAAGAGGCTCAGGAGCTTGGCCGAGCCCACACGGCCACTAAACAACAAAACTGAGATGCAGTCCTAGATCTCCTGGAACTGCTCCAGCGCTCTTACGTTCTGGTCTCCTCTTGTCTTAGTCTCTTTGGGCTGCTCTAACACAACACTGTAGACTGGGTAATTTATAAATAACAAAAATGCATTGATTGAGGCTCTGGAGCCTGGGAAGTCCAAGATAAGGTGCCAGCAGATCCAGTGTCTGGTGAGGGCTGCTCTCAGCTTCAAAAATGGCACCATGTTGCTGTGCCCTCACATGGTGGAAAAGGCCAGGGAACTTCCTTGAGCCCTTTCTATAAGAGCAGTAGCCCCATTCATGAGGGCCCCATCCTCAGGACCTAATCAAAAAGCCCTACCTCTTAATACCACCACAGGTTGTTTTATTATTATTTTTTGAGACAGTCTTGTTCTGTTGCCCAGGCTGGAGTGCAATGGCATGATCTCGGAATCTCGGCTCACTGCAACCTCCACCTCTGGGATTCTCATACCTCAGCCTCCCAAGTAACTGGGATTACAGGTGTGCACCATCATGCTGGCTAATTTTTGTATTTTTAGTTGAGATGGAGTTTTCGCTATGTTGCCCAGATTGGTCTCAAACTCCTGGGCTCAAGTGATCCACCCACCTCGGCCTCCTGAAGTGCTGGGATTAGAGGCATGAGCCACCATGACCAACCCTACCACCACGAGTTTAAACATGAATTTTGTGGGGAACACTAACCTTCAGACTGTAGCCCCCATTTTTCTCCTCCTTGCCACTTTTGTCTTTGGGCTTATTTTTGCTCACTTATATTTTGATTTTCTTTATATCCAGAGGTGTACTGGCAAAACTGACTCTCTGTGGAAAAAGAAAAGCAGCAGCAGTTTTGACTTGTAGCATTTTCCAATTTCCAGTGTATATATACTCCCAGCATGGCTGATAATAAGCTACCAACAGTTTTAACAACTGGCTGTCCAAATTCCTGAATATTTCACAGCCGACTCTCCAGAACGTCACTGCCCATGCCCCCTTGTCTGCTGTGCCATCAGTCCCCACAGGTCGTGCCGCTCTCGACCTGCTGTCACACATGCAGAATAGAAGGCTAGGACAGAACTGAAATATATTAAAGCCATCCAAAGAAGAATTTCCTGCATACCCCAATAGAAAAACATCTACAAGTGTTGGCAAGGAGAACAGATCCTGAGCTTGGGCTCGGGAAGGTGCTGGAAGCCTGTGGTCCTGGCCAGCGTTTGACCCTGGCAGCACGCTTGCTTGCTGTCAACTCAAATGCATCACCTGCACCTGGTGGAAACTTTCAGAAACATCTTACCATAAAGTCTCTTCTTAAAGGCCACCAAACGGTCACAAAATCCAGGCACCCAGAAGAAACTCAGTGAAATGCTCCACAGCATGATCATGTAGTAACTGTAGGATGACAAAGACAAGGCCTTTAATTTCCAAAGAACTAAAACAAGGCAAGAGGCTGAGGTAGATGGTGCATGAAGCCAGACATCCTTGGGTTAAAATTCCAGGTTCTCCATGTGTCACTTGTAACTTACACTCTCCGGCAAGTCACATAACCACCTTGTTTCCGTGTCTATAAAAATGAGGTCATACTAATCTGTACCCAATAAGGTTCTTGGAAACGTTGAATTGCTAAAGCAGCCTCCTTCAATGTGAGTTCATGCCAACGCTTGTCCTTGGAGATGCCCCACAGGAAAGTTCCATGATGAAGTATGTTTGGGAAACATTGAATTCTGTACCCTCAATCGATCAGACTCTCTTTTTGTAATGAGTGAATAAAACAGCAATGCATCTACAGATATGGGAACTTAAGATTATTTTTGGAGAATATTTTAAATGAAAAGAAAACTTACATATGTAAGAGTTAGCAACCAAAAAGTGCTAGAGGATTTCTCTTTTATAGATTTTATTCCAAAAGTATACAATAACATGAAACAGTTGTTCTGTTGTATTTAACATTCCAATAAAGGATAGCAGCATTAATATTGGGCCCAAACTACTTCTTGTTTCCTAAGTTAAGCCAACTGAGTCCAACATGGTAGGAATTGTAGGAATTGGGGAAGAGGCTGGGTCTCCTCCACGGCTGATTAGCAGATGATAACCAGTTTCCACCCTGCCTACCCTGGCTTTCTTGCCTATAACCCATCTTCATCTTAAACACACATGGGATAAGTACTATCATTAATACCCATTTTACAGATAAGCAAACTGGAAATGTGAGAGTTGGAATAACTCACACAAACTCACACAACCAGCAAGGGACAAGACTAGGACTCAAATGCCAAATGTAGGCTCTAGGGGATGGCTCTGCCCTCTCTCCTATCTGCTGGTGAAACCTAGGGACTGCATTTCCCAGCAGCCACCTGCTTCCAAAAGTCATACAAGGACAAAAAAACTGAGTTTGCCAAGGAACTGAGTTGGGCCAAGACCACCAACTTTGTGTGTGTCAACCTCCTCCCCTGGGATGTGGCTGCCAGTTCAGGCTGTGGTCACTTGGAGCACATGAAGGAATCCTCTCTGTCAGCCCAGCTCAGCCCATGGAAAGGAGAACAAAATGCTCCCCACATCTTCAATCAAAAGTGACAGTTTGCTTAATGTGCCACTTTGAGTCAACAAGGGAATTGAGTTTTCCTTCTGTGACATTTCTTCTATCATTTTCACTTTACATCTCTAGCAGCTTCTGGAGACAAGAGTGGGATGGAAATCAGCCCCAGAGAGTTTCCCTTTGCTCCTAGATGCCAAGGCAGCCCTTCCAGGCAAGAGGCATCTCTGTCTACAGAGGGAGAAGAGGGAGGAGGAGGAAGCAGGTGAGAGGGAAGGAGAGAAGGCATTAGATCGAGACATGCACTCTCTGTTAGGCCAAGAACACCTGCTTTCTCATCACAGACCTGGCAGCTAGGGTGGGGAGCAAGCTCCCGAGCTGGCGGCTGTGTATTGACCACTCAAATACCGTTCATTTCACAACCCTTTAACTGGCTGCCCAAGGCCTAAATTCAGCTGACTGACAGATTTTGATTGGCTCACAAATAATTTTAAAACGTTCACATTATAGTTAGTGAATATATTAAAATTATATTACATCACCTACTTTCAAGTGAGGCTCTGCATTTTTAAAAGGCTAGATTTTCAGCTCTTCTTGAACACCAGAAGATTTGCAAGCCCTGGGCCCTCACTCTGCTCTGCGTTGGCTGGACCGAGGAGCTGGCGCCCAGAAGTGGGTTGTGCTCACCCTTCTCTCATTCAGGTCCCTGCCTCGTCCCTGCAGGCATGTATGTGTGTGGACCACACCTCACTGGGTTTCAAACATAATTTTGGTGTCCCTTCCTTGGGAAGTGTGATGCTTAATCTCATATGTGAACCTGGCTGGGCCATGGTGCCCGATGGTCAGACGCAAGTCTAGACGCTGCTGCGGGGGTATGCGGAGGCTGTGATGAGCGCCTGTTCTCAGTTGACTCTGAGTAGAGCAGGTGACCCTCCGCAATGTGTGTGGGCCTCATCCAATCCCTTGGCTTTAAGAACAAAAACCGCGGGTTCCTGGAGAAGGAATTCCCGCCTGCATTCTGTAAGGTACAAACTGCGCTTGAGTTTCCCGCCTGCCAGCCTGCCCTGCGGGTCTCAGACTCGCCCAACTCAAGCTTGGGCACCAATGCCTTTAAATAAATCCCTTAATCTACATGCACCGCTTGTGATTCTGCCTTCCTGGAGAGCCGCGGCTGACAGGAATGTGCTGTGCTCTCCAGTTCCCCAGAGGCAGCGATTTCGGGGATGGCTGGCGGTGCAGATTTTCAAAAGGTTTCCTTTTAACCCTTCATTTCCATTTTCACCACCTGCAGCTTCTCTCACCCTCGTGTGCTTTGTGCCTCTTACTTTAAGGCTTTCCTCTCCTCCCTCCCAGTGCCCCCCGCATTACACAGCACGGCGACCCCCAGACGGCCCTACTAAATCCTGCTGTGCTCTGCGGCCCCCAGAGCTGTGGCATGGGCTCTGTTCTACACCAAACCAAACACTTCTCACGCAACACCACACCAGTCGTATATTTGTATAGTGCTATTAAAAAATGAAAATTCACCAGATTTCCTATTGACCTCTGGACAGGGCCCAGAAACTCAAATTGCTCTATTAGCTATATACTTACATTATACTTTCTCCATTCAGCAAGATAACAGCATCCAACTCTTGCCACAAACCTATCCCCACTTAACACACGCATGAAACAGAATCACCAATTCTGAGTGAAGTGCTTTTGCCATTTAAAACACACTAAAGATCTATTTAATAGTAGTGATTATTTTTAACTTTTTTAAGTACTAGCAAAAGAAACCCCCTTTAAACCTGAGCAGGCACTTGGGCCGGAACACACCGGACGTTTTAGAGCAGGAAACGTGTTCCCGGAACACGGCCCCTCTGCGCTGGGAGCAGCGCAGTGCGCAGAAGAACCTGCGCGGAGGGTTTTGGTTTCTGTGTGCACATGAATGGCTAGAAAAATTCCTCCGGGAAAGGAAACACCCTCGTCTTTAATGACTCCTTCTTCTCATATTTACTAAAACTCTGAAGCCCTCCTCATACATCTGTTTTCAAAAGGCTCCAATCCTGTTCCATAATGAGTCCACGGTGCCTGGAGCACACGTGTGATTGCATTATTTTACCTACAACAGGCTAAAAGCAGTTAGAGCTTTTATTGTATTACAAAACATTTTGTGTTTCAAAAAATTTCGAACACCAGAATCCTACAATTTTAAGAGCTTGCTGTCTAGAAAAATGCATTAATTGTTTCTTTTGCCAATATGAAGGTCACAAATGAAAACCTGCTTTAAAAAAAAAAGGAAAGAAAGGAAACAAAGAATTAAAATGTAGGCAATGTACTGGAAACCAGTGACTTCATCACCGAATTGCTTGGTACGTAAGGAGTGAGTGGGGTGGGGGAACTGATGAAAATAGCTTCATTAGCAGACGGGGCAGAGGACACCCACCACCCTTCATGGGTGGCAGAGGGGTGGGGATGGAAGATGACACAGACTGATCTGGAACCACCACAGGCGCAACACCCGTTCATATCCAGCCGGCAGATGGAGTGGCCCCACTGGGCGCTGGTGGCGGGTAGGTGAGCGCCCTCCCCTCAGCCCCGCCCACCCTCACTGAGACCCTCTGGGGCCCCAGCTGCCCTCTGAACCATGACAACTGTAACAGCCAGCAGGAGCCTCGGGGTAGTCATGGTTGGCAGCCAGCCGGCCCAGCATCCCTCCTTTGGTTGCAAAATATTGACGTGGTCTGAAAATCTCTAGGCGAGAGTTAAGGAAGCCAAACCTGCCATTTAAAAGACAAGATCTAAGTAATACCCAAAAAGAGGGTTACACATTTGCTTCTCCGAGAAATATGGCATCAAAACAGACTCAGATAATAGCACATGTTGCTTTGACCCACCTCGCATTCAGCTTATTACTACTAACCATGGCTTAATAAATTCACTGCTTATTCCACGATGCAACCTCAGGACATCTCACCTGCCCCTGTGACTCATCTTACCGAGACAAGCCTGGAACAGTGATGTTCATGCTGTAGATTGGACTGAAGAGTTTACGCAGAAGAAAACATCTGAGTGACAATTATATGCCTGATGGATGTTTCTCAAACTAGGGACTCAGAATTGAAAAGCTATTCCCTGCCAAAGAACTCACTTTAGGGGCCTCTTATCATGCAAACAAAAATAAAGGTGATGCATTTGTAATTGCTCTAGGTGGTATTTATTTACAAAGCACAATGGAATCACAAGTGCAGCCCAAACCAAGAAGTCAAGGATGGTTGGACGGACATGGCCCTTGAAGTGGTACTAAGAGCCTTTTCTTTACCTGCATAATAACTGCATGTAGGTCTTGAGTGCATGACTCCTTATGACACAATGCATCCCTAACTCTGCTTCACCTCCATTGGGGACACAGGCTATGGAAAGTAAGATGCACAGGACAAATCCATGAACAGGCAGATAGGTGAGTGTATGTGAAGCAAGGAGGCCAAGAAGAGGGTGCAGCATTGGCAGGAGGGTCCACATGTACAACCTTGCAGGGTGAGCCCACCTGATCCACGCCGAGGAGCCAGAGATGAGTGCCAGGTAGAGGCGGCTGTCCCAGGGCAGGGAAGACATGACCTAGGGAAGAAGGGGCACAGCCATGGGGCCGGACTTGCAGCAGGAAGGGAAGAAGATGGAGGAGAGGGGCAATGAGGACTGCACGGGGTCAGGCCTGGCAGGGTCCTTGAGGAAGATCTAGAGTTGAGATGCACATGCTGGTGCCATCGGCCTGTGTGCCGTCCTGAAGTCCAGGGGAGATAGGGTGGCCTGGGGAGAGGATGCAGGGAGAGGAGAAAGAGAAACCCCACCTGGCGTCAGGAGCACCACTGCATGTCAGGGTCAAATAAAGTTGGAGGGGCCAAAGTGAGGCAGAGATGGAGCTGCCCACCTGAGAGGGAGGAGAGCAAAGCCCACTGCCCGGGCCCTGGAGAAGGGCTCGTGCTACCTGCAGGAGGCAGCTGAGAGGCGTCTGCTGCATTGGCTGCATAGGGCACAGGGCAGCCTTCTTGAAGACAGCTTGGTGGGATGGGGGCAGGGGCCAAACTCCAGGGGCTCCAGAGTGAATGGGAGCATTGGAAACAGGCAGAAGACCAGGTGGAGAGAGGGCAGAATACGGAAGTGGGGTTTGGGATTTGCATCCATCTCACTTTCCTCTTTACTATTTGATGGGAACAATCTTCCACTTGACCCACGGCAGGCCCAGGGCAGGGGTGTGGGTGTGCAGCACCGCTAGGGAGTGGAGTTTAGGACAATCAACAGGCACAGCCCAGGCCAGGTCCACCTTTGCTGGGGAGGGTGGCTTCCACCTTTGAAACTGGCGACAAAGGGTTGGGGGAGAGCCAATGCCCTGGGCCCTGGAACTGGCCACAGAAGATGGCAGAGCCCCTGCAACACCACATCTCCTGAGCAAAGCTTCCACCAAGGCTGATGGGCACACGTGAGTGGGGAGGAAGGAGGGCGGGTGGAAGGACCTCAGCCAGAGCCATGGAGAGTCAGGCCTGGGGACAGCTCAGAACGATGGCCCATGCCTCGGATGAGTAAATCATGAAACAAAATTCAATGTAGGTTGACTCAAACCCAACAGAAGTTCATTTCTTGCTCACACAGTAGCACCAGGCACATGGAGGGTCAGTGTATTCAGGTTCTGCTGTTTCCAGCAGCTGTTTCCAAGGTCTCCTGTGCCTGCTCCCTCCGGCCTTCAGGAGAAAGCGAGTGGTTTTGTGCACCAGACCTGGAAATGATGCGTTTCACCTGTGTTCAGGCATCTCCAGCCAGACCTCAGTCCCATGCCCCACAGAGTCCCCAGGGGCTGCACAAGGTGGCTCAGCCATGGACCCAGGAGGCAAGGGTGGTGGGCAGCTGCCCACACCACAGAATAGATGCTCTGTAGCTGGTTAGAGTGAGCGGCGAGCAGAGCAAACAGCTAACGGGAGAGATCTCAGAGCACGAGCTCTCCCCTGGTTGCACCCCCAGCCCCGCCGCCAGCCACGTTGTCTCTATCACATTCCCTGGAGAAAAGTAAGTAAGGAGGCCCAGAAGGCTGAAGGACAGGGCCAGGGGGCTGGTTCTCAGAGGGCACCCCTGGCCACGGCCTCTCATGCATCCGTGTGAGATGGTGTCAAGTCAGGTCTGCAGAGGACTAGAGGGACAGGGGTCCTGAGAAGGCTTTTCCTAAGGAGAGGCTGCCTCCAGGCAGCACCACCTCTCCTGCCCCACCTGGACACCTGGGGGCCCAAAGGCAGCAAGGACCACCATGAAAGCCAGCTCGCCCAGGGTCACACACACTCCTCTGCCATCCTAGTGCACAATCAGATGTGCCGTGATTCACAAAGGTGGAAAAGGGAGGTTGCCTGGAATGTTTATTTACCTTTCTCCTTAATTTTGGACTTGCATAATGAATTCTTGGTGAGTAGAGATTACATCATTTTACATATCTTCTTTTTATTAACTTAATATCCTAAAAGTCATTCTACATTATCTGCCATAAAAATATATAGATGCTGTATTTCCTGATTTATACATATATTTATTCTGCTATGTATATGTTCACATAGCAAAAAAATAAAATAAAATAAAAAGGAAAGAGCCAATCTACTATTGTGAATGTTAAAAGCAACAAGGAGAAAAATGAACAGCAGCAATAGTGCAGTGATATTTTTCTGAAGATTTTACGCCACGGGTGCAAGAAGATAGTATAAGATTGTATTAATTTCACATACTTATTATCCAAAATAAACTGTAGAGTTTCCCCGCTAAGACATACATGTGACATTTGTCCTTTGACACGTTGCAGAATTAGGGCAACAGCCGGGAAGGTGAGCGTCTCCAGGAGCAGGTGCAGGCGCTGGGAGGCGGCTCGCGCACCAGAGGGCAGCAGCGCCCTGTCCAGGGCAGAGGCACCCCTGGAAGGCTCAGGAGCTCGGCTCCTGGTGAAGCCAGGACTTTAGGAATCGCATTTGCTCCCCACTGGCGTGAAGAGAAGTGCTAGCTCATCTATTTACATTCTAGGTTCAGAAAGGGGACCCCAAAATGTTATGTGACATCCAAGAATCCAGTTCATCTTTCAATGTTAGGCAGAAAAATGAAACCTTATTCAAATGTTAACACTAATTCTAAATACAGTATTCTGAACATTTAGATGGACCGGCTGTGGGCACTGTGGTAATTATTAGTGGGCTACAGGAGAAGAGGCCCCTGTGTACAGGGCGCATCCCAGGTGACCCTAGACTTGCTGCACAGGGCCAGCCATATCTCCTGAGTGGCCTTGGCCTAGTGGGCTGCCTCGGCTACCGCTTACCTACAGCTGGGGAGATGCAGACCCTCCCCTCTGGTTAAAGAGAGGAGTCCGGCTGCCTCCCCTCCATGAAAGTGGTTTTCTCAGTATCTCTCCCCCTTCTTACATGGTGTGTTTGTGATTACTGCGTGCACATGGACACACGGCCACCCGCTGAAGAGCATCCCAGACTTTCTTTCACCTGGCTGTAACCATGTGACTAAGTGAAGGCTCCCACCTTGGGAGCAGAAATGATTTCCACAGCTTTCCAGTTGTGTCTTTAAGGCCACCTGCTTCCCGCATCCTGCTTCTTGTTGTCTAGAATGGAAATGGGCTGGAAGGAGGTACAACAGCTCCCTTGTGCTGAGGACAGCCTCGAGGTGAGGAGAACAGCACTCTGCCCATCATTCCTGACTGTCCACCTGGACTCTCAATGAAGAGAGGAATCAGCCAAGAAGTAGAAAATAAATCGTTCCTGCCTTAGCTCTTATATGGATTTACCTAAATAAGGCATCAGGAATATCATGCTATTGGCAAATGCAACACAAGGAAGAAGATTGCAGCTGTGCATACTGAGTCATAAGCATGAAATCAGGTCACAGCAAACCACCCTGAGCTCTGCAAACACACCAGAGCGAGGGGCCTTCGTCCGAATGCTGCAGCCTCTTTATTCTGTGAGATCACAAAGACTGAGTGCATCAGATTCTCAGAGCAGCCAGCGGAATGTAGAATGCAGACCACCCCAAGCTCTGCAAACATGCCAGAGCGAGGGTGGCCTTCATCCGAATGCTGCAGCCTCTTTATTCCGTGAAATCCCTGAGCACAAAGACCATGAACATGTCAGGTTCTCCACACAGCAGCCAGCAGAATGTAGAATGCATCAGGGCAGCTGTGCTGTGAGGCTGCAATGACTCAAATCATCTAATGGTAAATGTAAAATGCCACCTCCTTCTGTGTCCTACAGGAGAATGTGCCCCAAGAATGAGATTAAGACAACAGAGAGCCCCGCTGAAGTCATGAGCCTTGAATGCTCTGTTTATACAAATAGGGGGCAGAATAGGGCCTGGCCTCCCCTGGGCTATCACAGCTGCTTTCTGCTGCCACAGCTGAGATCACCATCCCTAGGTCCACAGCTGAGAGGGGGATGTCTCTGCTTTGAATATGGAGGCCACTCAGACTTGGGGAAATTCCCCACTTCCCTGTCAGAGAACTGGGAAGGGAGGAGATGCCACACCTCAGGGCAGAGGTCAGGGCAGTAGGTGAACCACTGGGATCAGATACTGAAACTTGCACCACGGGTGGGTGCTGGAGCTCAAGGCTGTGCACGGGTGGGTGCTGGAGCTCAAGGCTGTGCAGGTTAGATAGGCAGGCGTTGTCTCACTGGGGACCACAACCCTTCTCTGTCATCTCTCTGTGAGGTCTGCACCTGAAAAGCCGAAATGGGAATGAATGTTTGGAACATAACTTATTGGAAAGGCGGAAAGTATGTACAAAGAAATTCTCACATGTTTCAGGTTAACTTTAATAGGAAAATATGCCCCACCTTCAGGGAAATAGATGTTAGGGGCTGGATGGTGTCCCCTTAAAATTCATATGTCAAAGTCCCAACCCTCAGTATCTCAGAAAGTTGTGATATTTAGAGACTGGGATTTTAAACCGGTGATTAAGTTAAAAGGGCCTTTTCGGTGGGCTGTAATCCAATCTGACTAGTGTCCTTATAAGAAGCGTCAGCTCACAGAGGAAAAGCCATTTGAGGCCTCAGGAGAAACCAACCCTGCCAACACCTTAACCAGCCTCTAAAAATGTGAGAAATAAATGTGTTGTTTAAGCCACTCAGTCTGTAGTATTTTGTTAGGGCAGCCCCAGCAAACTAATGTCCTAGCAGACTATAGCATGTACACTGCGTTCATTGAGACCACATTCTCTGTACACATATCTCCAGAATGCCTGTAATTTGCACACATCACCACAAGTCTTAAAAGGATTTGAAAATATTGTGTTTTTCTGGCCTCATTTAAAATCCAGTCTGTCTGTCCTGAGAAGCAAATCACGTACAGTTTGCAAGGTAATACTTAAGTACCTAAATGTTGAGATTTACATACAGTAAGATCTCACGTATCCAGAAATAATTGAATACTTGGAGGTTCTAACACATTGCCCCTATTAATAGACAATTCTGACAAGCGCAGATAGCTGATGTCCCCACCAAACATATAGAATAATGTTTGCAATGAGTGGAGAGGAGGACTAACGGCAGACACAGTTAAGGCTCAGGAAGAGACGGCCAGAGCCTGAGAGCAAAAAGATATGGGGAGAATCAATGGGAACCACTGAAGAACAGCCCCTTCTATCTTAATGTCTCCTGAGAGTGTCAGGTTACCATGGCACCTGTTTTGATGCCCAAGACAGCAAGAAAAATGATGTAACCTAATGTACTACATTTAAGAAGAAATAAAGTATGTGGTATATTTTGGAAACATTTTTATACATCTTAGCTAAAATGTTTAAAAGGTTATTGCTTAAATAAGTCAGCTTCATTTATCTGAACATTTAAATTATGCAGAGAAGCTCATCTCCCAGCTTTGGCAAATAAGCAAGATGTTTCTGTGCTAGTTTTCAAGCATGAATCATCTTCATAGATCACATCAGCGCATTGATCACACCAAAAGAAGTGTCTGGGTAACCACTCCTTTGCTTTGATTTCTAGAGTCAAACGCTAACAGATTTGAAGGACATGAGAAAGCCTGAATACCATCCTCTCCAAACAGTGGGCCCCTCAATCTGAACCTTGAAGCTGAAATACGATTCCTACTTCATGTACAAAACACATTTTTTATTTTGCAAAGCCAAAGCCATGCTTTAAAAATACAGACTTTGAATCTTAAGACATTATTTTGCATTTTAAAGAGAGATATAGTTAAAGCTTACAAGAACAATATAAAGTTTCAAATAACACCATTGTCAGGTTTAAACATGTTGGTATGTTTACATGACAGTTCTTTCCTTTTTTTTTTTTTTTTTTTTTGAGATGGAGTCTCGCTTTGTCACCCAGGCTGGAGTGCAATGGCACGATCTCGGCTCACTGCAACCTCTGCCTCCTGGGTTCAAGCGATTCTCTTGCCTCAGCCTCCCAAGTAGCTGGGATTACAGGCACCCGCCACCACGCCTGGCAAATTTTTGTATTTTTAGTAGAGAGGGGTTTCGCCATGTTGGCCAGGCTGGTCTCAAACTCCTGACCTCAAGTGATCCACCCATCTTAGCTTCCCAAAATGCTGGGATTACAGGTGTGAGCCACCATGCCTAGCCCATGACAGTACCTTCCTAACATGTGTTTGTATTTTTGTAACACAAGTTGCTATTTTTCTAATGTTCATATATTTACATAGCCCTTTAAAAACATGAGTTCCATGAACTTTCTATGTCATTGAAGAGAGCTGTTAAAATCTGATTCCATCACAAATTTCAGACCCCTTTAAAATAATTATCAGAAGCCAGCATAATTCCAGCTGTCCCCTAGCTAATCTGCAGCTCCTCATAACAAAAGTCTTCAGCCACACATTGCTCTTCAACCACATTAAAGAAACGGAACAAAACTTCTTTCTACATTGTCTCAGTAAAGTTGCTTTCTTTAAAAAAAAAAAAAAAGTATTCCATTTATTTAAAAAATTAAAAACATCTAACATTTTAAACTGTACAATAAACCCCAACTTCATTACGATTCATTAATCAAATCTCTCTTGAGTCCATTTTGTTTGCTGGAACTCCGCTAGGCACTCAGAGCACAGCTGTGAGCAAGATTATTCTAGATCCTGTCTTCATAGCACTCTCAGCTTAATGGACGTTTAGACAAGAGACACTCACGACAGAGAACAGCTCCCAGGGAAATCAAAGCAAACCGACAGTTTCCTAATGGCCCACTACAACCTGAGCTGCTTTATCCAATTGGTGACAATTGTCACCAACACCTGTTCTGCCATTGTCCCCTTCTTCCCGAAGCACTTCCAGGTTGTGAACACTTGAGCTTGTCTTTCCACCTCCATTTTACAGGGTCAGGCTTGTTGACTGTATCAAAGGGAAATGAGAGGAAACACTAGCCGGCCAATCCTGCTGCTTATAACCAGCAACAATAAACATTCTGATAGATAAAAATGTTTAAACATTTGCCTAAAATGAGTGATGTGTTGGCTTCCATTTTTTTTTCTGTTTTAGTTTTTCAAACCACTGCCATCATTTTGTGCTGTAACCAAAAGACACTGTGATCTGTGACCGCTTCATGAATATTTCTGAAAATGTTTACATTTGTCAACAATTCACTTTAATTCAGCATTTCCCAAAGGCTGTTTTGTGAAATGCCAGGCGGATATATACCCTAGAGCTACAAAACATTCCTTGCAAAGTGCTGGAAAATGCTACCTATCAGAGACCACCCCACCCTGAAGAGATCACACAGCCCATGAGCACGTTAAGTCCCGCAGGAGAGAGGCTTGCTTGATTTTGCTTAATTCCCACATTTTCCATGCATACCTGGCCATAGACTTTTTTTTGCATAACATCTATGAGTATGTTTCACACATGCCTTAGGGAGACTCAGCTTTCTATCACATAGTGAAGGACGACGCATTGTCGTTATCTGCGGTCTCACTGGTCTGCCGAGAAATGTTTTCTGAGTACCTCCCGGCACAGGAGAAGCCTGAGGACTTGTACTTCCTTCTCACACACCACAGGTCCTTCAAGATCTTCAGAAAGTAGTTTCTGAACTTCTGCCCAATAAAAGCGTAGAGCACAGGGTTCAGGCAGCAGTGCAGGAAAGCCAGGACTTCTGTGACAGTTTTCGTATAGCCAATTAGCTTTTCGCTCTGGCAGGATCGGTTCATTTTACCCAAATTTGCAGCCGTCACAAGCAGGACCATGTTATGAGGAATCTGACAAGCCAGAAACACAAGCACCACAGCTATGATTACACGGATGGCTTTGTGCCTTTTAGAATTCTGAGCTTGCACCAAGGTTTTGACAATGAACGTGTAACAAAATATCATGAACATCAAAGGGATAAAGAAACCAAAGAGTAGCTCAAGCCCCAACATCAGCAGCTTCCACCTGATGGGCTCCGAGACAGTCTGGTACTTGGGTTCACAGACATCGCTGCCTTGGGTGTTGTATTTTTGGTTGAAGACAAAAGTTGAGCTGGAGATGATGACTGACAGCCCCCACACAACAAGGCAGATGATTTTGCTGCGCGGTAGTGTTCTGGATCGGAGCCGGAATGACTTAGTCGCCTGTACAATGGCGATGTACCGGTCCATGCTAATGCAAGTCAGGAGCAGCATCCCGCAGTTAAAGTTGATGGCATAGATGCCTTTTAGCAACTTGCACGTGGCATTGCTGAAAACCCACGCACCGGTGGCATGACTCACTGCCCAGAATGGGAGAGTAAGAACAAAGAGGATGTCTGCAATGGCCATGTTCAAGAGATAGACGTCTGTCATAGACCTGGCCTTCTTATAAAAAGCAAAGGTGATCACCACCAGAATATTCCCCAGGAGGCCAAAGACACAGATCAAGGAGTAGGCAATCGGTACAAATAGCCTGGAGAACTGCCTGACCTCCTGCAAGGAGCACAGTAACATCTCAGAATCAACTGAGTAATATGAAGTATTGACTGACACAAAATAATCTTCACTGGAGTCGAAAACATCGCTGAAATTCATTGATTCCTGGAAAGGAAACAAAGATAGAGTTAGCTGCAGTGTAGTGTTCAAGTAGCCACAGTGAACCCAAATTATACCCCTTGCCAAAAATAAAAATCTTACCCCGCTCATTGTGGGCAGAAAAAATGCAAGCTGGTTGTAGAAAAAGGAGTGTATGGTTCAGCCCCTTCAGCTCACAGGCAGCGGTAGCAGGAAAGTAGAGGTGACTCTAAGAAGGAAAGAAGGCAAAATGCACTACAGTTAACACAGGTATTCCTGGAGAGCCAGACAGTTAAGTTACCAGCATTCCATCTCGTGTGAACAGAGTGCACAGCACACTATTTTACATACAAATATTCATTGAGAATAGGCATCAGCAACCTCTTTCTGTAAAGGGCCAGATAGTAAATATTTTAGGGCTTTTCAGGCCATATGGTCTCTGTCACAGCTCCTCAAATCTGCCTTTGGAGCTTGAAAGCATCTACAATTACATAACTGAACAGGCCTCGCCGGGGTCCGTTGGCTAGAGGCTATAATTTGCCAACCCTTGATCTATTGGTTAAATAAGGTGCTCTCAGAAATCCACAAGTTTTGATCTGCACAAAAATCTTTACGCAAAATTTAAAAACATTCAACAAGATTTTACTGAACAAAATCTATAGAAGTGTGAAAGCGCATAGAAAATGTATAATTCATAGTCCCGGGCTTTAAATCGTTCACAATATATGTCAGTGATGATCACCCCTGTGGGCATGTGAGAATCTCCAGTAGAATTTAAAGTTTGACTATGAGTGCTGTTCTCAAGACACACTGAACAAGCTGCTCCAGCCTGGGAAGGCGCTGGAGAGGAATGCACCTGCTTCTCCACAGCCGCAGACCTTTCCAGTAGACATTCCAGGTCACAAGCATGAATCTGCTGTGGCAGAGGCATCCTAATCATCAGAAATCCAAATGCCAGAGGAAAGGTGGAGGCTGGCACAGTTAGGAAAGACTTCCTGGAGGAGGAGGCTCTGATCAGGGTTCTTGGAGAATGGTGAGGCTATGGGCCAATGATTGACAGAGAACCGCCATCTCCTTCAGGTGACCAGCTCGTCTCAGGCTGAAGAGCAGTCCTGAGTCATGAGCCCTGTATGTTTGTGAAACAGCTGAGCAACCAGCCTGGCCGAATCAACTGGATTGTCAGGAAACAATGGAGTATACCGTGTGCTGGGAACGCCAGCAGTGGCGGTGCATGGGTCCAGGCTGAAGAAGTTTAGCAGGAGACCGGGAAGAGCTGGAGCGGTTGTGGAGCGCCTGAGGACGAAGGGCTTTGAAATCCACCATCTGAAGCAAACTTAAAAAGAAAGAAAAACCCTTCGCTATTCTCAGGCTCACTCCTTCTTTCCAGCATTGTCCATCATCCTGTTTATTAACACGCCCTGGACGTCCCCCAGTAAAATCCATGGCCTGAAACGCTCTGATATTGACGTTGGATGTGCTTCCCAGCCAATCGCCCATCTTCCTCCTCTTTTCCCTGCTCTCGCACCACGTGGGCCTGGCCATGCCAAGCGGGAGCAGCTAGGGAAGTGCAGCCCCAGGTGCACAGGCAGAGAAAGTGGAACTGCCCTCCTCGCCCCCACACTGTGTCATATCAGTCCTCACTTACGAGTCCACGTGGATACTGACCTTTTGGAGAGGAAGCCCATGTAACACAAAGTTCACCCTGAATTATTTTCCAAACCTATTTCTTACATAATTTTGATTCTCATTTCATTATTTACTCCACCCCATTCCTTCCCTGATGCCTGGAGTCACAACTTAGAGATCGGTTCTTCACTGCCCCTCAGTCACTGCTTTGGGCCTAAAAAGCTGGAGGAAGGTATGGAGTCACCTCTGCACTTTTGTAATCCCAGCAGGTATACAGTTGAGTGCTTTAGAGTATGCAGAAGAAGCGTGGTATAGACCCCTGTGTTGCAAAAGCATGTGACGAGGTAATCGTATCAATCAGAAGAAGCACAGCAATCAGAACACCACTGCTAAACTTCAGCTTCCAGCCACGGTGGATCAACAGAGACCAAAGGCACCCTGCTGCATTAAACAACTAGAAAAACCTACAAAATGTAACAACCATTTTCAGACCTCGGCACTAGGCATCACAGGATTATGGATCCTGGCAGGAGGAGAACAAATACAGTGAGAAATGATACACACTCTTTCTAAGCTGCAGAGCATGGCAGGGGTGGAGGGCATGGGAGGTGAAATATACAATATGTAAAATAAAATACACCAATTGGAATTACCATTTGGATGTTAAAACTATATATATATATATATATATATATATATATATATATACACACATATATCATATATAATAGTATCAATAATTATATATACAATTGTATCATAAAATGTAAAATACTTATGGATAGCTCTAACAAAATTTATGTGAGATTTATATGCTAAAAACTACAAAACATTGTTGGCAAAAATTAAATAAGACCTAAATTAATGGAGAAATTTATCATGTTCAATTTTCAATGACATTTCATGTTCAAATTTATCAAAGATTCAATTTCAAGATATAATTTCTCCCCAAATCGATCTGTAGATACAACATAAACTAAATCAAAATTATGGTAGGGTTTTTTTTTTGAGAAATTGACAAGTCAATTCCAAAATTTTTATAGAAATTCAAGGAAATTAAAATAGCCAAAACAATTTTGAAAAAGATAAAAAAAAAATGGAGGACTCACACTACCCAGTCTCAGAGCTGACAAGGAACTACACTAACCATGACGGTGTTGGATTTCTGAAAGGACAGTTACATAAATCACTGGAACAGAACAGAGGCCAGACATAGATCCACATATAGATGGCGGACTGATTTTTAACTTAGGTGCCAAGGTAACTCAATGGGAAAAGAACAGTCTTCAGTAAATGGTCCTGGAATGACATGAACAAAAAGTCGATCCTTACTGCTTACCTCACACCATTTGCAAAAGGTAACTCAAATGAGTTATAAATCTAAATGTGAGAGCTAAAGCATAAAACATCTAGAAGGAAAAATGGGAGAAAATCTTTGTGACCCTGGAAAAAGAAGCTTCTTATATAAATTGCAAAAAGAATGAACTGTAAAAAAATTGATAAATTGTACTTGATTGTACAAAATGTAAAACTTCTGCTCTTTGAAAGACACTCAAGAAAGTGAAACATATATATATTGAATAGAAAAAAGTATGTTAAAGCTTATATCTGATAATAGGTTATATCCAGAATATACAAATAATTTTTACAACTCCCTATCAAAAACATAAACAATAAGAAACAGGGGGAAATGTGAACAGGCAATTCACCAAGGAAAATACATGGATGGCAAATACACACACAAAAAAGACGCTCAATGCCATTAATCATGAGGAAAATGCAAATTAAAACCACAATGAAGGCTGGGAACAGTGGCTCAGGCCTGTAATCCCAGCAATTTGGGAGGCCGAGGCAGACGGACCACTTAAGTCCAGGAGTTCGAGACCATCCTGGCCAACATGGTGAAACCCCATCTTTACTAAAAATACAAAAATTAGCCAGGCGTGATGGCGTGCTCCTGTAATCCCAGCTACTTGGGGGGCTGAGGCAGGAGAATCAGTTGAACCCGGGAGGCGGAGGTTGCAATGAGCTGAGATTACGCCACTGCAGTCCAGCCTGGGTGACAGAGAGAGACTCCGTCCAAAACACACACACACATACACACACACACACAGACACACACACAGAGATCCCACTGGAAGGACTAAGATTAAACAGGGGGCTGGAAGCTGGGAGAGGACATGGTGCATCTGGGGCTCTCACACTTTGTTGGTGGGACTGCAAGATCACACAGCCACTCCAAGGAGACAGTGGGGTCCTTTCTTGCACAGCTGAACATGCATCCACCATGGGAACCTGCAACCGACTCCTACATGTCTACCCAAGAGACATGGGAGGATTAACACTGGAACATTCCCAGCAGGTTTATTCTTAACCGTCCCAAACTGAAAAAGACCCAAATGTCTGTGAACTGGTGAGCAGATACCCGAGTTGAAGTGTATCCATGCAACAGCATATACTACTCAACCATGAAAAGGAACGGGCGACTAATGCATGCTCCAACGGGGGTGACTCAAAACCTTCGCTCGGTAAGAAATCCAGGCAGAAGAGACCATGCACTGCACCATTCCACCCCTAACATTTCTAGAAAAGGCAAAATAACAGTGGCAGGAATGAAATCAGGGATTGTCATCAGGACGGGAAGAAGGGATTGGCTGGGGTTGGGCGACACAAGGGGCTTTTGTGGTGGCAGAAATGTCCTCTATCCTGATTGTGGGGGTGGCACATGGCTGGGTGCCCTTGTCAAGACCTGTTGAATTGTACCCTTCAATCGGTGACATTTATTGCATATAAATTAGCCTCAATAAAGTTAATTTAAAAGTACCTGCGTACTCTTCCGCGCAAATGTGTTGGAACAGACACTTAGTGCCATAAACAGTCACAGCAAGGATCTGCCGCTGAGCACTGAGGGGTAATGGGAGGTTCTGGGGCAAGAAGAGCTTTTGAGGACTCCATAAGGACAGAGGCGGGGACGGTGGGAAGGAGTGGGCAGTGTGGGTGGAAGGCAGGGGCTTGGGGACAGCGAGGGGGAGGCCTGCAGCAGGGGCGCGGCTCTGGAGAACAAGGGAGCAGGGGCTGTGGGGAGCGGTCGCTGCAGGGTTGGACGGATGCTAGGCCAAGGTGGGGCCAGCGGCACGGGTTCCCAGGTGAGTGGGGCTGGGACCGGATGGGAGGGAGTGACCTCCCCATCACGTGGAGGCTGAGTTGATGACGATGGGAAGAGCAGCGGGGGCCAAAAAGGGAGGGACGGCCCGGCACGCCGTGCACTCGATGCCCAACGGGCCCCCATTTAAGGTAAGCATTTGTTTAACTGCACCGTGACACACAGTATTTTCTGAATTTAAGTTGAACTCAGTTCAACAAATGTTTATGAACTGTCTACGGAGGAGAGGCACTGAAGTGCAGCGATGACTCAACGCGTACTTGAGCTTCAAAAGGCTGCCAGGTAAACAAGTAATTATATAACGGTTCCATGCTAGCAGTCATCACGAGATGCACCCCAGAAAGTGAGTAACTCTTGGTGAACAGAAGGCCAGCACTGGGGCGCCTGTGTGATGGATCCCTGTCGGCAGAAGGAGTTGGGAGGGGGCCCAGAGAGAAGGGGTCCAGAGGGATGGGGGTCCCAGAAGGAGGGGTCCCAAAGGGAGGGGGTCCAGAGGGAGGGTGGTCCCAGAGGGAGGAGTCCCGGAGGGAGGGGGGCCCAGAGGGTGGGGTCCCTGAGAGAAGGAGGCCCAGAGGGAACCAGATACACAGGCCACAGGGCAGGAAGTTCCCGGCAGAGCTATGAGAAGCTGGCCTACTCCGTCCTGTTCATAAGACACTACTTTAATTTCCTTTCATTTATTCTCATGTCAGAATAAGTCAATGAACCAAAATTGATAAATTCCATGTCTCTTAGGATGGTGTTTTGCACGTGTTAGGTATAAACAATGTACAATTCTAGATAATGACAAATTTAATGTCACTGTGGTTAAGAATCAGGATTCTCCATAAAAACGGTGGTTGTCAGGTTCACCTGTATGCCAGCCACAGTCATTGAAAATGATTCGGCCTTCCCCAAGCCACTGTTTTCACAGGAAAAACTGTGTGAATTGTTTTAAGGAAACTGTTTTGGTGACAGATTGGCGTGGGTATCACCTCAACGTGTAAAGAATCCTGTTCACAACTTGCTCTATCATCTCAGATCTCAGGCAGCAGTCACCAGCTCCTTGGAGAAACAGGCTGCAGATTTTCTATTAAGAAAATGTTGATGTGAAGACACTAAGAAGTTTTTTAGTAGATATTTCTGTTCCTTCTTTAATGAACTGAGAATAAGACACCCTGTTATCTACGAGTGGCAGATGAGAGATGCAGGGAAATGTGCTGAGCCCTGTGTCCAGTTCTTGGTGAACCAGTGAACCTACCCTTGCAAAGCAGCCACCTGCAACACATCTCACACTGTCTCTTTGAGGTTCAGCACTTCCTATCTCACACGTGGTCCCTATGACCACCATTCTCACCAGATCTCACTTTGATGTCATTAAATCACATGTAAAATACATTCAGCTCAACTGATTCTTAAAGTGTAATTTTCTTGTCTTTGGAATTTAGATATTTCCCAAACAAGTGGGCAGAGGAATACTTCTAGAGCTTCTGTAGGACACACTGTTCTTTGGAGGAGGAGTTTCAGGGGCTCTAAGAAAAAGTCATCTAATGACACACTTTAGAAATGTCATTTGACTCAATTCGGTTTTGCAGTTAAGAGGCTTCTTTTCCAATATTCAGCTGCCTCAAGTAAAGTGTCGATTGTTGCTGTCTCAGTAACTCATTGTCACCCCCCACCTGAATGTTAGCCTCTCACAGGACCCGGGGTACCCTGTAGGGCGGGCACACTATGGCATGACACCAAATGAGAGACTCATCATGTCTCATCCCCTGAGTATCTCCTTCACCAGGAAGGCATATCTCATTGACTGAGCTTTATCACATGTTCTGAAGACAAGAGAAAGCAGAATTTCTTGATTCCTGTTTGGCACCTCTCTACTCTTTTTTAAAAAAAGCATTTCAAAAATATTCAGGGAATGTTGCAGTGAATTTGCCTGACTCCAGCGAATGGTGCCTGTGAAGTCCAGGAGCATAGAGCTGGTGTAAGGAAGCTCAAAACCCATTTGCAGAGAGAAAGAAGATAATGCCTCCGAATGAGGTAAAATGTTGGCTGTTGGTTCTCAGCAGGGTGTTGAGGGCATTATGAAGCAAGTGCAGGAGCGTCTGGAACGGAAGTGGTGGGCCCTTGGGGGTCAGCGTGGGTTTGGTAACACTCAGTCATGTCACACTGATTTCCAAGCCTTGGTGGTAACAGTCAATAAACTGCAGATCAGGGAGGTGTTACAGACATTGAACACTTACGATAAAATCTGAAACTTATAAGCAATCAAGAAGAGGAACCATGATCCAGGTGCAAGTACAATTAGGTGGCTTGCTAGGTGTCTGGACAATTGGCTCTGTGACACCACTTTGCTGGCAGGCTGGCACAAGGCCCTATGGACACTGCACTGATTTCGGCCTTCAGCTGTGTCCTGCCCATTGCTTCTATTGATGAGAGGGGCAAAAAGAGAGGAGGCAAGTTCATTAGATCTGAAGATGTCAAGAAGCCTAAAAAGATAATTAATATATTGGATGACAGAATCAATGTACAAATATTCTGGACAGAATCAAGCAATGGGTAAATCTAATGTTGTAAAATTCAGTAGGGAAAATAGAAGCTTCTCCACATAGCTTTAAATAAGCAGGCCGCGTGCATTGGCTCACACCTGTAATCCCAGCACTTTGGGAGGCCAAGGCAGGCGGATCACTTGAGGTCAGGAGTTTGAGACCAGCATGGCCAACATGGTGAAACCTTGTCTCTACCAAAAATATAAAAAAATTAGCTGGGTGTGGTGGCACACATCTGTAATCCCAGCTACTCAAGAGGCTGAAGCAAGAGAATCACTTGAACCTGGGAGACAGAGTTTGCAGAGAGCTGAGATTGTGCCACTGCACTCCAGCCTGGGTGACAGAGCAAGACTCCGTCTCAAAAATAAAAAATAAAAATACAAAAATAAATAAGCAACTACACAGATATAAGATGAAAGTGCAGCAGCAGCAAAAATCTTAAGAATTTTATTTGCTAGTAATCTCACCAAGAGGCTAGTTAATCAGTACTATGTGGGCGCAGACATCCAGCCAGCTGGAAAGCCAGCCAGCTCTGCTCACCTCTGGGTACTCTCCACCGTGGTCACTAAGGCTTTCCAACCCAATAATAGATAGAGCGCGGAGGCACCGGACACAGGGGACAGCACTTGTCGGCAGAATCATGGCCCCATGTCACGCTTGTGGTTAGCGGAATCATGGCCCCCTGCCCAGGCCCTGACACAGGCACCAGAACCTGTGTACGTGTTGCCTTACACAGCAAAAGGGATTTTGCATATGCAATGAAGTCAAAGATCTAAGGGCCTGGAGGTAAGCAGAGATCATGCTGGATTATCTAGTTGGACCCACTGCAATCACGAGTCCCTAGAGGTGAAGAGTCCTTCTCCCTGGAGACGGGAGAAGAAAAGATTCAAAGGTGAGAGATTCAATGTATTGTTGCTGGAGTTGCAGACAGAAGAGGGGGCCACAAGCCGAGCCATGTGGTTGCCCTGAGAAGCTAAAAAGGCCCTCTGCTGACAGCCAACGTGAATATGAGGATCTCAGTCCTACAGTCACAAAGAACTGAACTCTGCCCATGACTGGATTGGGCGAGGACCAGATCTCCTTGTAAACATGCAAATAGTACTTACTAGTGGAAAGAAGCCTGGGAACCCCTATCTAAAAGCACAGAATAGCTGGGCACAGTGGCTCACACCTGTAATCGCAGAACCTTGGGAGGCTGAGGTGGGTGGATCACTTGAGGCCAGGAGTTTGAGAACAGCCCAGCCAACATGGGATGCATCTCTCTGCCTAGTGTTTTTGTT
This sequence comes from Homo sapiens, assembly GCF_000001405.40. Lineage (NCBI taxonomy): Eukaryota > Metazoa > Chordata > Mammalia > Primates > Hominidae > Homo > Homo sapiens. The sequence goes on along the minus strand of NC_000006.12, from coordinate 167,127,669 downwards.
ATTGAATCATTAGTAAAGTTTGACATTAGGTAAGATCTATAGATCCTATGGATGTCTGCTTTGAAGATTCAAATCCTTGCATTAACACAATCTCTGTATTATTCTAATGCATACTTCAATTTAGGAGCTGTTTCTTCTTAGGGAATTCATGCATCCAGCATCTAAAAGTGAGTTCCAAGAGATGCTCTGGGTAAAAAGAAGGGAGGGAGACAGACAGGGGTGGGAAATGATTTCTCTGTGGCTAGTATATTAAGACATTAATAAGATGCTAACTACATCCTTCCCTAGTTTATTCCTATTAGAGCTTGTTTATCAGTGGCCCTTCAGAGCCCTGCTGGAATAACTCACTATTTCCCAAACCTTCTCACTCACAGAACCTTTTCAGTTCCTGTTCTTTGGAAACACTTTGGGAAATTTTTGAGGCCAGGAGTTCCAAGCTGCAGTGTGTGATTATCGTGTCTGTGAATGGCCACGGCACTCCAGCCTGGGCAACATAGCAAGACCTCATCTCTTTAAAAAAGGTAGTTTATTTATATGATGATATAAATCATATAATCTGACTATATAATCTATATAATTATAGATGTATGATTATATAAACCATATGATCAATAAGTTGACTGTATTAGTCCGTTCTCACACTGCTAATAAAGACATACTTGAGACTGAGTAATTTATAAAGGAAAGAGGTTTAATTGACTCAGTTCAGCATGGCTGGGGAGGCCTCAGGAAACTGACAATCATGTCAGAAGGGGAAGCAAACACATCCTTCTTCACATGATGGCAGGAAGGAGAAGAATGAGTGCCCAGCGAAGAGGGAAGCCCCCTGTAAAACCATCAGATCCCGTGAGAACTCACTCACTATCACGAGAACAGGATACTGCCCCATGATTCAATTATCTCCACCTGGTCCCTCCCACCACACGTGGGGATTATGGGAACTGCAATTCAAGATGAGATTTGGATGGGGACACAGCCAAAGAATATCACTAACCTAGAGGACTCTTCATTCATTCATCCAAAGACAGGTCTGAGCAGCTCCTAGGGGCCAATCCCTATTCGAGGCAACAGCAGAGGGAAGACAAGAAGATGGCTACATGCACCCACCACCTGACTGCAGCAGCTCACAGGCCCCCCAGGGCTGGCATTGCCTGACCCAGGGAATGTGGCAAGGGGTGCCACCAAGGCAAACACAGGAGGAATCTTTAGACGGTGTGCTGGTCCCCACACCAGCCTCTGACTTGAAGTGCCTCCATTCCCCTAGCAAATGCATGAAACAAAAGTTGTGCAGGCCTCACGTCTGATTGATTCTCTTCTCTTTGTGGACATACGTTAGACTTAGAAATAAACTCGTATTAAAAGATATTTTTAATGGCTTTTTCTTCCCTTACTTAGAGGCAAATAATGATAAGCTATACTTCAGTATGTATTTTAGGCTTGAAATCATATAAATAAACTACCTTTTTTTAGAGATGGGGTCTTGCTATGTTGCCCAGGCTATAGTGCAGTGGCCATTCACAGGCACGATAATAGCACACTGCAGCCTCAAACTCCTGGCCTCAAGCTATCCTACCATCTCAGCCTCTAGAGTAGCTGGGACTACAAGCCACCACCCTACTCTTTTAAATGAAATGCAAATGTACTAGGATCTCATGAAGATTAAATATATGCACATGGTAAGTAATAACTTAGCCTCTGAATTTCAATTTTAACATTTCAAAGATCTTGTTATCACACATGTTTAAAACTGTTACTTTAATAAAAACTTAATTCCAGAATAATATTTCTTACATAGCATTTAAAATGTTCAATTTTTTTTGCAATTTTTATTGCAATAAAGTAATGTGGCTTCCTAGTACAACTTTTATTAGGTACAATATGCAATAGAGTATCTCAGAAAGTAATAATTAATTGGCTAATTCATTTAGAAATGAAAAGAACACCTAATTATACATTCTGCTAAAAAGCAGAACCAGAAGAAAGAGGGAGGGGCTGCCCTCACTATAGGATTTAAGGCCGTGTTCAGTTCTCCAAACACAGCCACACTCATCTCCCCCCGGCCTTCAACGGTGCCTCTACCTTAGAGAAAACCATGTTTTTGGACTTGAGGGCATTGGGAGTCCTCTAATCACAGGCAAATGGCCCCAGAAGAGGTGGGTAGCCACAGCACACACTCTCAGGGAGACCAATACTGGCTGGCTCTGTGGTGGTAGCAAAGAGGGAAGGCCGGTGAGAGCTGTGGGTGGGGGGCTCCCCAAGAAGAGCAGGGGTTGGGGGGACCAAGCAACAGACCGACTGCCATTGATCATCCCTTTGGCCAAGGACAGACTCTGTCCAAGAAAATTCAATATGGGGAAAACATTAGTAATAGTTATGAAAATATTACTGGTAATAAAAACTGTGTGGACTTGTAATTTAAAAACATTTAATAACTAGCTTAACAATGTGTTACAATTGTCAGACAGTTTTAAATTTGTGCTTACTTTCATAAATAGTAGTGGCCCTGCAAAACAAGGAGCAAGAACTAAATAAGAGTATGTGTGTGTGTGTGCATATGTCGGTGTGTGTGTATGTATGTGTCTAGGCATGTGTGCATGTGTGCAGTGTGCATATGCCTGCATATATACACCTGTTTATATCATGTATGTGTATATGCATGTGTATGCATGTGTGTATATAGGTGTGCACATGTGTGTATACATGTGTATGTGTGTATTTGCATGTGTGTGCATGGGTGTATATTGGTGCCTGCATGTATACATACATGTGTGTATGCATGCATGTGTGTGCAGTATGTGTATAACTGTGTGTGTGTACATATGGACGTGTGTGTATGTATATATGCACGCATATGTGTGTGTGTGTGTGTGCGCGCATATGCTGTAAATTAAGTTCTAGTTACCTGCTAGGCATTAGAATCACTGGTTTACAGCTGTTTATCTCTTTTAACCTCACAAAACCCTTTAAGGTAGACATCATACCCATTTTACAGATAGCGAGTGTAGCTCATCTAGGACTGTGAGTACTGGTGAGACTCCCATTACTGTCTCTTACTCGCCGTTCTAATTCACCTTGCCACCAGCAGGTCTTAGTGAAATGCCATAGAATTCCCACAAGATCTTAAATAATATATTTATTTTAAAACATCTTATTGATATCAGAGTTTTGCATACTGTAATGGTAGGTGTTCAATACATTTATGTTCTCTAAGTTTATTTGAATCATGGGCCCACCATATTTTATACCTTTTTAGATAAGCATCAGTGGAGCTGAAACTCTAGGCTGGCTTCCTTCTGCTTTTGAATGAGAGTGGCTAAGGAGGAGACCAGGAGGTTTGATTTTTTTTTTGTTTTCCCCCGGTGATTTGTTTATTAAGCTTCTGTGGGTTGGTTTTTTTTTTTTTTCAGTTCCTTTAATTTCTTTGGAAGTTTGCTTTTATGTTTTCTGTTTTATTTGCAGAAATTACATCTTTAACCATTTAAAGAATAGCTTTAGTTATGGCCTTGCATTTTTGTTTTTCTTTATAAAGCTGATCTCTACAATATCTATGTCCTGCTGCTAAGTGGACTTTGGAGCTGATCTCCGGCTGGAGTGCAGTAGCGTGATCTCGGCTCACTGCAACCTCCGCCTCCCAAGTTCCAGTGATTCTCCTGCCTCAGCCTCCCAAGTAGCTGGGATTACAGGCACATGCCACAATGCCTGGCTAATTTTTGTATTTTTAGTAGAGACGGGATTTTACCATGTTGGCCAGGCTGGTCTCGAACTCCTGACCTCAGCTGATACACCCAGCTTGGTCTCCCAAAGTGCTGAGATTACAGGTATGAGCCACTGCACCTAGCCTGGCTCCCTTTAATATCATTGTGTATTATTTTCTGGTCATAAGATACTGCCTTCATAATCACAGTGGCATTGGCAGCCCTCATGAGAGCTTTGCAACTGAGACTTGTTGAAATTTCCACCTTGTCAATTTCTCTTAACTCCCCCTCACAAGCTCCTTCCTGCTCAATCTTAGGCTGTCCGGGATGCCCACTCATCAGCCTTCATTGCATAAATGACTTACTGCCTCCAAAATATTTCTTAGCTTAATTTTTTTGTTTTCCAAAATCTTTCAGTGTATTTGATCAAATAAAGAATCACATTCCTCTCCAGACTGATGCCCTGAGGATATCTCCTGTATGAGGAGCAAGTACCCAGACCATCACCGAAGCTCCAGTGCAGGGAGCGAGTATGAAATCCCTTACTATACACTTAGAGGAAAAGTGGGCTTCCTAAAACCATAAAGTCAATGCTTTCAGGAAAGGAAGTCTGTGTCGTTAAGCATAAACATGGTCAATATGCCAGCATTCTGGAAGATTAATGAGTAAAACAGTCCCATTCCTGTCAGACTAGGGGATCAAAGAAGTTACATTTTTGAAAGAAAAGTCTCAGGGGCCTTGGCATGCTCACCTCAGGCAGTGCTCTGATCCACTCCCTTCAGCCTCACTCCGGGCCCCACAATCTGATGACTCCAGCTCACCAATGTGATGACCATCTGTCAATAAGATGCAGCTTCTAGCAGTCATTAAGAAAAAAGCGGTGAGCTACTAGAATTGCCCAAAAGCAAGTTCTGGATTGCCACTTCCTATTGAAAAGTAACGCCTATTTGCCCAAATGCAAATGGTTAACCATGTATATCCTGTAGGGTATTGAGTAATCGTAGGATCCCTGGAATCAAAGTCCAACCAATGGTAAAGTGATAAGAAAAAGAGAGGCATTGAACTCCCCAGAGGAAGACAGCCTTTGCATGGTTTTCAATTTGCAGCAATGAGTTTGTACCCAAACTTTCATACTCCTTTACCTGGTTATCTCCTGGGAGCAAGGAGTCTCTGCAAGCCGACTGGGAAGATTTGGGAACGTTTGCAAGAGGCCGTGTGAGTTAAAGACATGGGCCGGGAGCACTTTTGTGTGGAGTCAGTCAGTCCTGGCCCCACCCCGAAAGCTGTGCAGCCACAGAAGGGCCACTGAGCCCCAGCAAGCCTCGGTTTCCTCTTTCAGAAGAAAGACCATGACAGCTCTAACCTCAGAGGGTTCCGAGAAATAGCCATGCCCGTCCACGGAAGCCGAGGAGCAGCGCCTGAAGGAGAGGTGGTTCTCCATGCATCTCAGCTATTATTACAAGATACTTTGAGAGCAACAGAGGAGCTCCTCAATCAAAAGCGGGCACCTAATCTTCATGTGGCACAGAGACAGAATCTCTGGGTGACGATGCGGGTCACTGCCCTGTCTTTAGACATATCAAGGAAAGCAGCTGACGACAAGTCACTCAGAAATTTATTTGTAGATGCAAGTGCTTAAAAAATAGAAAAGAACCCTAGAATCACAAGGCTGTTCGCACCTGGGTTGCTGTGAACCACGTCTCAGGAAATAACAAAAGTTTTACAGACAATAGGTTCGTGATCAATTCTCAGCCAGCCTGATGGACTCACACTTTCTCCACTTCCCAGTGCACTGTGCCTCCCCACCCCCAGGCTGCCCACGAGGCTCCACTGCCCGCTGCCCAGCTCTGCTCTATCTTGACCACACCTCACCTGGGTCGCTCCTTCCTGCAGAGCCCTGAGCTCCACGTCCTCACGCCTGAGTGAGCCTGAGAAGCTGGAGCGCACCCCTTATCATCTCTCTGGGGAACCAGCTAGACACAGCAGGACCTGTGTCCTGCTCAACCCCACTGGCCATTTTCCCGGGTTTGTCCAGGGTCCCCTCCAAAGACTCTGCTGGCCCCAGTGGCTCCCCCTTACTGGATAAAAGAAGGGCCTTTTCTGTTTGAAGTGCTTGCAGACCTATGGTCACGGGGTCCTCTTGCTGCCATCATTCCTCTCCCTGCCTTACAACAATCCTTCCAAACAAAGCCTCTCCTGACTAAGTCCTGGCTGTTTTCCTCTAACAGAGCTCACAACTTCCTTCACTCTGGGTGACCTGTCCCTCCTCCATCTGAGAGAAGCCCTGGGGCGCTCCTCCCCAGTAGTTCACCCCAACCCGAAACCTGCTGATTATTGGATGGCGAACAAAGCAAGACCCTCCCCTCTGCTCTTACGACCCCTCCCCTGCTACCTCAGCTCCATCCCCTCCTCCTCATTTCTACCATCGCCCCTGAGGCTTCTGCTTCCTGTAGAAGGGCTGCCCATAGGAGGAAGAAACAGGCCACCAGGTAACACACCCCTCCTGCGTTCTCAGGTGCCCTCTAACACTGCCCTTGGATGGTCTTGCTTAGCGTGAAGGTAAGAAAGTAAGCCCTTTTATAGATGATTAGCCCTGGCAATGCCTGCCTGGAAAGAAAAGAAAGAAAACGAAAAACAGATTGGACTTTGCTGGGGACCAAAAATGAACATTAATTAAGCAGAAATGTAACGTGTTGAACAAAACCGCGTTGTGTGGCCACGCAGATGCTGAGGGACCCAGGAGGCCCAATGACACCCCCTTCCTTGCAGAACAAAGAGATTCATGGCCACTGTGGGGGCCCCTTCTGTTAGACTGCACAGAGGCAGGGATCTGGAGGTCTCCAAGAGTGGCCTCCTCCCTGCAACACCCTCCCTGCCCCAGAGGGGAAGGTAGTGGATGGAGATTGAGACCCTGCTGCTGACTGGCTCCCAGCCTGGGCTGGTTGCCTTTACTTCGAGAGCTGAGGTGGAAGCTCCATATGGCACTGACCTCTGCAATGTTTCTCATGTCCTTTGCCCCATATTCCTTCTGTAGTTCCAAGTCAAATCTAAATTATATGTCACCCTGAGAAAGCTGAGACCTATTTGGTTTTTAGCTCTCTAAAAATGCCCCTATATTAAAGATCCTCTTAGATCTCACTCTTATTGAAACTTCCTCAAATTTAAAATCACACTGTTCATTTGCATAGACACTGTGAGGTGCATAAAAGGCGAGGAATGTGGCTTACAGTCACATGTTTCATAACAATAAGTTTCCAGGCAGAAAATTCCACAGCAACATCAGAAGTTCATTCCTAAGAAAAGCCAGGGACAGTTTGGTAAATTCAGATAACAGTCATAAGGAGTTGCTTTAAAACTCAACATTGAGGCATTTCTAGGAAAGCCATCTGCCTCTGGCTACAATCCTACAGAGGACACTGTGTACAGCTCAGAATGGGTCACCATGACCGTTTCTCCTTGTGATTGCCTTTAATTCACAAACAGGCTCTGCACACACTGGAGGCCATAGCACACACACTGGAGGCCATGGCACACCACTTTGTGGACATTGGTCATCTGGGTGTCAGTCATCTTTTGAAATTATCAGCAAAGTTGAAAAGATAGTAAATGCTTTGTTAACCCCTAAAGTAACACTCTGTATAAACTTTGAGGAAGTCAATATGGTGAGCTGGTTGGGAATTCTTGCTGAGATACCAGGCAGCAGCAGTGCACCACCTGCCGGCCACATGTGGGAGTCCCCCAGCCCAATCGAGCCTTCGGATGACATGGCTCCCACCCACTCTCTGATGGTACCTGCAGTGGAGGCCCCAACTGAGAAGCACTCAGCCGAGCCCAGTTGACCCCCAGAGCCACAAGAGATTGTAAATAAATCACTGTTAAAGCCACCATGACTCAAGGTGGTAGATAACTGGGGCAGTTTTCTACTCTCATTGTGCGCACAAAACTTCTGAAGTAATGAACATGTTTTTAAAAAACAAAACAAATTAAAATAAAAGCGTCATTTGTTGGTTTTTACAAAACCCTCCCCAGGAAAGCCTAGAGTTAGCACAGGTGCTGAGAGTGGAGGGACAGGAAGAAGAAACCTACAACAATGACAGCTGGCAGGCAGCCACAGGCTCACACCCATTGCAAAAACATAGACTACCGAGCCCAGCAGTGCTTGGATCTGTGTTATGTGGTTTGGATCTATATCTTTTTCTTCATAAAAAAGTTAAAAAAGGCTACTTAACAAATTACATCAGCAAATTCTCTAGTAGGGACAAAAACACATTTTATAGGAGGAAGTACAAGCTGTGCTGACACCTTGAATTTTGGAGTTTACGAAGATGTCAAATGGTGTATCCTTCAATGCTCACTGTATATGCTAATACATTTGGGCATGGGGAGTCACTCTGTGTTATTCTACCCCATAAAGTAGCTGGCCTGAAAATTACTCTCCCAAATAGCCAGGAGAACACCTGTTATAAATTATTTTTCAGATACGAATCATTTTTTCAGATAGTTACTATGTACAGCACACAAGCTACAGAAATAGTTAAAAGTATGCCATTTACTTCCCACCTTTTGGGAACTCATATAGTTGGAAAGTTGAGGCCTAAATACATGACAATACAAGCCACATGTGATATGCAGAGAGCCTACGTGTGACGGATCAGTGAAGAAATGCCACTGCGAGCGTCCAGTTCACAGGAGGGAGCACAGAGGAGCTCCTCCACCTCCAGCATCCTGGACTTCAGGCTCTTCGTGAAAGGCTGGGACTCAGCCAGGAAGGCGACTCAGATCTGACCAGGTAGGCAGGGGGAGGAAGGCAATTTGGGGACAAACAGCATGAGCCTGGGTGGGGAGGCAGAAAGGCACCGAGGTGGAGAGCAGTAAGGACAGGTGGGGGCACCAGCCCTCAGTGGGGAGCTGGGGAGGGTGGCTGCAGGACCGGAAGGCTGGCAGCAATACAAAGACACAGACGTCTGTGGGCCGTGGAGGGACAGGGAGCGAGTTTACGGTAGGGAGAAGAGCAGGTCACAGGGCAGGTGCACCCTCCTCCTGGCGGCAGCCCTGCCTGACATCACAGAGTAGAGAAGGGAGCCGGGACCAAGGGCGTCCAGCATGTGGGGCTGACCCTCGCCATTTCACCCATTCATTTTCATTAATCCTCACTAAAGGCCCAGGGGCCCTGGGGTTGTCATAGTCCTCCTCAAGTGACAGATGAGAAAACTGAAACTCAGAGGAAAAACGCAACTTCCTCAAGTTCATACACCAATAAGTTGAAGAGCCAATCTCAAAACCATGTCATCTGATCCAAAAGTTCATACCTTTCTGGGATACATGTGAAGAGAAAATGATGTGGGGAGATGTTTTGGAAAATATCAGTAAGGAACAAGCAAAAGGGGAATCAAGATGATGCCAAATTTTACATCGGGACAGAAATAGGGAAATCAAACTGAAAGCTTACTTTTTATTTACTAATTTATTTCTACGTAGAAGAACAGTTATAGAAACCGGTCTAAGAGGGAAGAAAATGGATGTCATTGAAGTACCTGGAATGTGAAGAGATTGATGTCTCGTGTAACTGAAAATTCTTGGAGATTCTTGACATGACTTTAGACTCATGTCAAGAATCGAAAGTCACTTTTCAAGTTAACCTCTAGATGTCTGTCTCCTAATCAATACACGAGGATTTTAGATTTGTAAATGATTCATGTGAAGATCGAAGACAAAGTTCATGCCTCACACAGCATTAGGTGCACAGTGGCAGCTTTGTAATTATGATTGTTGTCGTGGTGGTAGAGATGGGGGTGGAAGTTACCACTATTGAGTCATAAAGAGGGGGCTTAGCAAGAGATGCAGGAACGGTCTTGCATGGAGAGGTTGTAATTAAACCCAGAGACGCCGATGGAACTGCTGGGATGTTGGGCTCATGTTTACAAAGCAGAAGGACAGACTGAAGCTGGAAAAGTGACACTTCAGAAGTGGCCAGAGGATAGGTCCTAAAATATTAGTACAGTGTCTTTAAAGAAAAAAAAAAAAAAAAAACAGAAAAGTGCTTATAGGAAACCTGCAGAGTGAAGAATTTGAGCACTGAAAAGCGACCTGCGCGTTTCATCACTACTGTTCTCAGTGCTCTTTGAGACAAAATTTCTTTAAGAATGTCCAAGTGAGAGCTTAACTAAAGGGTTTAAGAAGGAAGAATACATTGAGGGAATAGAGACCACAGGGGTGGAAAACATTAAGGACTGACAGGGAGACTCAAAAAAGAAAATAGAGGCCGGGCGCGGTGGCTCACGCCTGTAATCCCAGCACTTTGGGAGGCTGAGACGGGCGGATCACGAGGTCAGGAGATCGAGACCATCCTGGCTGACACGGTGAAACCCCATCTCTACTAAAAATACAAAAATTAGCCGGGCGTGGTGGCGCGCGCCTGTAGTCCCAGCTACTCGGGAGGCTGAGGCAGGAGAATGGCGTGAACCCGGGAGGCGGAGCTTGCAGTGAGTCGAGATCGTGCCACTGCGCTCCAGCCTGGGCGACAGAGCGAAACTCCGTCTCAAAAAAAAAAAAAAAAAAAGAAAAAAAAAAAGAAAATAGAGTTCCGGTAAGCAGCAAACCCAGGAGACAGGTTATTTCCTTAACTGAAAACAAGCAGGTAACACCTTCCATTCCCTCAGCCCAGATCCCTCGAACACTCTTCTGACATAAGATGCAGCTGTGGTAGGCAGGATGCAGAGGCTGTGGTAGGGAGGGATGCGGGGACGGGGACGGTGGTAGGGAGGGATGCGGGGACGGTGGTGGGGAGGGATAAAGAGGCTGAGGTGGTCGCAGACGCAGCAGTATTCTTGGACACTTTCCATCTAAGCACCCTGAACTCTGGTTTTCTAAGGAGGCTTTGTGCTCAGCCCTCAGGAACAGCGCAGAAGTGGAGAGGAATCAGTGATGGATGATGGACAGCTCTCCCGCCACAGGAGGACGACAGGACTCACCCTCCACCCACCGCGGGAGGGGAGGGAACCCTCACCCACGGGACGGGTCATCTCCTGCAGCATTATCTTCCTGGCTCTTCCTGTTGGACTCCCAGGATTAGGGGGCCAACCCTCCCAGTTTTCCAGAGACTTCCCGGAAAGTAGAAACGTCTGTGCTAAAATCAGGACAGTGCTGCCACAGCAGGAAGAGCAGCCACTCTGGGCCTAACGGATGTGCAGGCGTCCGGGACTGGGAGGCGGTCGCCCTTCTCCTCTGCAATGGTTAGGGTACCCCTGGGTGCCTCTCTGCTAGGGGGTGGCATAGGCGGGAAGCCCTGACACCTGAGAAAGCAAGAGGGCCACTGGAAATGAGGGGCGGGGTGCAGCGGAAGGCCGAGGGGGCGGCTGCCGTCAGTATGTGAAGGGTGCCTGCAGGGAGAAAGAGCAGCTCTACTCTCAGTTGAAGCAAAAGGAAAACTTTGGCCAAAAGCCATGCAGGTGGGAGGAGGTGGCTTGGGCTGGGAGAAGGGAGGACACATTTCCCCGCAGGGATCTGCCGCGCTGTGGGCTGAGAGGAGGGCCTCAGAGAAAGGCCCAGCTGCCTCCTGTGCTGGAAAGGGTGTCAAGCCAGAAAGGTCAATTTGATCTAAAACAGAAAGCGTCGGGGGTGCTGGAGAGAGAGAATTCCCAAGAGGGAGCGAGGGCGGGGAGGCCCCGGTGAAAGACTCCAGAGGCTCTGGAGAGTTCGGGAAGGAGACAGCAGCATAAGAAAGCGCTCCTTCTGGCTCCAGCACAACCTCTGGAATGTTCTCCAGAGACAGAGCCAGGAGTTCCGCATTCTCTCTCGTGATCTCTTCTTGCAGTTGGACCCTGGAGCTTTTCAAGAAAGAAGACACAACAATAACGCCCATCCACGCCTGCTGGTGTGCTCCCTCCTGGCGGCAGCCACGGCTTCAGAAATGAATTCCACCTAACCAGTAGTCATTCGCTTTATAACGCCTGCGGATCTTTGAACTAGGAGGAAAATGGGGAGCTTTTCATAGCATCCCCTTTGAAAAATCTTCTTTGAGGTCTCAAATTTAAACTTCCAACCCTGACCATGACATTATAGATACAGCCTCAGTTTTGCAAAATTTTAGCAATAAAAGTGAGAAACTGACACAAGTATGAGAAGAGACATGAAAATCATAATGGTGTTTGTATAAGGAGGTAGAAATATAAGAAATGTAATTATTAAAAAATTCTCTTTGTACTTTCATTTAATAACAAAATAAGTTGGTTGCATAATGAAACAGAATTTCTAAGAAAAGCAAAAGGACTAATTATAGTGACTATTATGGATATCACTAATTTTCACTGCTGGAAAAATAACACCTTCTAGACGTTTCCAGATAAACTGTTGTGTGAGTGCTGCCATAGTCACAATTTCTTTCTGTGTTAGTTTCCAGAACAGTGGACAATACTATTTTGCTTCAAGTCAGATACAGAAAATGGGGAAAAGACACTAGGTTTTTGGACAAGGCACCCTGCTTAAACACCAGGAATGTGGAAAAAGAGGTATTGTTGAACCAACAAGATTTTTATGATGAATGAAATAGCTCTCAGCAGCTCTAAAACCGACTTCCAGCAGAATCAGTTTTCCTCTGACTTACTTAAAAATCTCCCAATCATATTCCGCAAAGGCATAATTGACTGCCAGAAAGGACAGGTCTGCTCACAGAATGAGGACCACAGAAAGCCTCTCTCGCCCTTCTGCAACATCTAGAGGGCGCTGGGCGCTGGGGTCTGGCTGGCACACTCTCTGACCCAGCAGCCAACTGCGGGGTGGACCAGTGAGACCCCCATCCAGTGTCTGAGGAGTGGGCAGCACAGCCCCCATTAGCCCGCCGCTGTCTTGGCGATGTATGTCGGAGGAGACAGATTCTTTACAGAACCTGAAGACTCATTCTGACAAAAAGACCAAAGGAAAATGACTGATTTTATTACGTAGTCATTTAATTACACTCACAAGGCTGATTTTTTGATTTACTAAAACATCTGTTTGTCTACCAGAAAGAGATCTGAAAGCCACATTCTTTTTAGGTTGGGGATCTCCTATCAAATGATCTTGCCATTGGATAATCACACAGATTTATGTGTCTAAAACCTCCTCCCTTGGATCTGTGAAGACATCCTCACCTCAGGTCCTCACTGGATGCAGAGCTAAGGACGGGGCCTCCCCTGGGATTTACAGCACTGCTCGGTGACCCAGATTCAGAGTGCTAATTTCCATTTCTGTCTGCCGGGAACAGCCTCACTGACTTATAAACTGCTACAGAAATGAAAAAGGGTGACGTGTGCACGGTGACGTCAGAGCCACAGGCTGGTTACAGCAGCCGTCACAGCAGGCCTCGGCCAGGGGGCTCTGCATAGAGAAGGGGGCCCTGCTCATCTCCGTGCCAGGGTTTGAAATTTAGGCCACTCAATGGCAGTAACCCCTCCGAAATATGAAGTGATGCCTCTGGACTGGGGTTTCCTATGCCTGGAAGAAGGGTTTCCAAGTGCACTGTGATTATGAATTGCCTCTCCTTGGGGTTCAAATGTAGGTTCTGGGTGGATAGACCAGGGCTGGGTCCTGCGGTCCTGTGATTCTGAACTCCTCTCGAGGTCTACCACTGCTCAGAAGACCACCTGGGAGCAGGAGGGAGCTAGACCGTCTCAGCTAAGTCACGTGATTTATAACCCATCAAACCACCATCTCCACCAGCCCCTAGGATTTCAGGCAGCTTGTGTGGCAGGAGGTGGGGACAGCACAGGGAGGATGACGTCCTCATGACATAAGCCCGATCAAGGGAAGGTGAGGAGGGAGAGGCAGAAGCTGCCGGAGAGTCCTCCTACACCCAGCTCTAGGTCATGCGCCGGCTGCCGAAGGGCCCTGCTTTGCATCTTGATCCTGTCTGCTGCGATGCGGTTGTCAGAGCCCAGAGCCGTGTCTGTCACGGTTGTGTGACCTGGTCCACCCACCCTGCCCTAACGATCTCTGCTCATAAGATCTCATGTCTATTTTATCCTGGAACCTCTTCCTTGCCCTGCCCTTTTTCCTTTCTTTGTTCCATTTTCCCTTTCTTCATCTATCCATCTTCTCATTCTACCCCCCAAAATAGGAGTGCTTTAAAAAGTAAAGAGGAATGCATGTCTTGCCTAGATGCCCCATCCTCTCTAACGCAGTCATCTGAACGCTGAAGGATGCGCTGCATATTTACTGTATTTTACTCAGCAACACAGCAATGTCCAACCAACATTTTGGTCTTGGGGAAGCCTATTCCAAATTAATTTTCAACTAATCATTTTAAACATTTAAAACTTGGGATCTGATGGGTGAAAATATTGCTAAGACATGTGATGAGATTTCTGGCTGTCTCCAGGGGAGCTGGGCGTCGTCCAACCCTGCCTGGGCCCCATTCGTGGAGCCGCTGGGGACGTGTGCTTTCTCATCTGCAGCAGCACACCAAATTCCACACTGAGATCCTTCCAATACTTGGAACTACAGTATCTGCTTCCGCATTAAATGGGCCCATGTGAGGTCTACTGAGTTGCCCTCTCTGTGTTTTGGGGTTCTTCCAGCCCACCTCTTGACTGCACCTGGCTGTCTGCCATTCCTCATCACTTCCAGCGTGCCTGACTCCAGCAGGTGACATTCCCACTGAATGTGCTGCTTCCAATAAGCTCTGGGCTGGGAAACCAAACAGCCCCCCCTTATCAGAACTGTGCCTAAAATAAGAGCCAGTGTATCTGAATGTGCACCTGAGGGTCTCCCCTGGGAGAAAAACACACCAAGTTTGGGTACAGGCTTCGTGGTATCTATTTTGGTGCAGAGTCTCTTTGGGTTCATTTCCTCTTTCTCAGGCTGCCTTAGAGGTTGATATTATTAGATAAGAGAGCTCCAGGTAAGTCAGGCCTCAGAGGGTTCAGATGTTTAATTAGAGAAGACATAATGCAAAATTACAACAAGTGCATCCGAGATTGTTATACAAATGGAATCGCAGTATTGTTAAATGACATAAATGCATTCACCCACAACACAGTGAAACTGATTGTCACTGGTTTATCACTTTCACTTGGGAGACAATGCTATCACTAGAACTCCTTCTGATGCATTGCAGCATCAAGAATTCTCTTGAAGCAGACCCATCAGTGTATCCAGAGACACACGTTCCAGACACATCTGTGTATTCCACGAGGCTGGCTCTGGGCTTCTCTGTGTCTCCCCCACCTCACCCCATCCCACCTTCGTCAGCACGCTGTGGCTCTTTCCTCCCTCCTGGGATGTCCTTCTCACCTGTGATGCCGCCTGCTGCCCTTGTTCATCCCAACCTCCCTGCACAAAGCCAGCCCCTCCACCGAGCCTCATTCATGTTAGATCCACCAGCACCCCCCATTCTGCAGCAGCCACAGCCCCCAGGGTGAGAAGTTTGGGAGACATGTTCCATTTTGGTCTGTGGGATCTGCATTTCTTCCTTATAGTTATGGCTCATAGAGATGACTGCTCTTTCAAAGGTGGTTGTGGTCTATTAGAGCGTTTCCAATGTCCCCATACTTCTTTCTCGAGTGCTAGTCAAAAGCGACTTGCAGATGGTATGGAATGTCTTTGTGAGATAGAAAGAACACAGACTAGGATCAGAAAAATCTGCCTCCCAACCCTCCATGGCCATCTTCTGGCTGTGTGACTTTACCGCCCTAACTCTTTAAAATAGCCCCACACCTACCTGCCAGGATTGTCTTCAGAATTACATAAAATAACACATACCAAAGTCTCTAGAATAGAGCATGTCACATAATAGACTCAACAAAGGTCAGCATCTCTTCTTTCTTTTTGGGATGACTAAAGTAGCCTAAATAAATAAGTATTCGCAATGCATGACTTGATAACATAAACTTTTGTAATACTCTATTACCTCCAAAGCATAAAACAATTATTGAGACAAAAGAAATACAATATTTTCTAAGTTCCAAGACAAAAAAAAAACTTACCAATAAAGAAGGAGCTGTCTGTTCCACAAACCAACAGCCACAGTTTTTTCTCTTAAATGTCAGACTTTGAAAAGGTTGACATTTCTGTTCACCAGCATATACACGTGGGCCCTCTCTTACTGATGACCACAGAGTCCTGGGGACCTTCCTGTGCTCCCAGCCCAGCTCTCCTCTCCGGCCACACTGCTGCCTCCTTCACCCATACACTGGGTGGTGTGCTGGGCTGCCCTCCTTACCACAAGTTTTATTCCTCAGCACACACTTCAGATCACAGAAAGGAGACAAATAAGGTGGAGGAAGGAAGATGGGTTGATGTAACTAGGTCACTTGGTAATTTCAATTTCAGACGTAAATTTTTCTTTGTTTCAGAATTATTGATCTGTGGAATATTTCTTGATTCTTCTTGGAAATTACAAATTAATTCAAATGATTGTAAAGTTCTCTGAAAGGCTCTACAGTTTTCTTAAGAGAATAAAAAAACCTGAAAATACCATATGATATATGCTTTATGAGTAAAGACACAGTGAATAGAGAATCAGTATCTCACCAATATCCCACTGCAGGTCAGTGGCAGCCACAAAAGAAGGCATACCCTAAGCATAAAGGAGAAATTCCACCCTCAAAATACTCATGTTGTTTTGTTAGCCATTTTCTACAATCTGTGGCCACGTGTCACAACTTGACCAATTTGAGGACGCAGAAACCCCTAAGTTTCCATACTCCCAAGGCAACTGTCAGCGCTCAGCTTAAGAACAACCTCGTAATTTAAGGGGAAATCTAGGTTACCTTCTCCACTTAGGTCTATAATAAGCAAGCTACAAATCCCCTAAGGAAAGTCCAAAATTGTTGCTTGATAGGAAACGCCAACGGCTTCTGCAGGGACAGAAGTGAGAGTCTACAACTCTAGGTCATCCACCCCTCTCCTTCCTTTTTCAAATGATTATAAATAGCATTGTTAAATGTTAATTAATGCATGTGTAATACAATTTAGAAAGTACTTTTCATGTTTATTACTTCATTTAATCCTGACAAACAATTTTGGGAGAATGGACATTGTGACCTTCATTTTGCAGATGGAAAGAAACCAGCACAAAACGCGTTGAGTAACTTCCCAAGAATGTATGAGCCAGGAGTAGTGAATTCAGAAAATAAGCCCTAGGTCTTCCACGTCCTCTTTGTACCACACGGCAGTCCAGCGATTCCTCCGGTAAACACTTCCTCATGCCCACCGCGTGCTGGGCACTGCTCCAGGCACAAGGGATACGGCAGTGACTAAAACAAGTAAAAGTCTTGGCCTCCTGGGGTTTCCATTTTAGTCATGGAACACAGGTAACAACCAAAAAAAAAATGAATGAAAAGATACGTAGTATGGAAGTTGGCCAATACCGTGGAGAAAAATCAAGCAGGGAGGTGCAACTGAGGCAGCTGCAATTTCAATGAGGGTGAACAGGGGAGGTTTCACTGAGAATGTGGCATTTAAATAGAGCCCCAGAAGAGGGGAAGGAGTGAGCCACATGTGTACCTGGAGGAAAAGCACTTTGGGTGAAGTCCTTGATGCAGAATTTGCCTGACATATTCAAAGCAATGAAGGAGCTCAGTGAGGGTGAGGTGAGCCAGGGAGGGATGAGAGCTGTAGTCAGAGGTGAGGGGCCGGTCGCAGGGCCTCACAGTCCACCACAGTGACTTTGCCTCCTCCAGGGGAGACGGGATGTTACTAAGACTTCGGAGTGACATTATCTGACTTCCATTCTAAGATCACTTTGGCAGCAGTGTTGAAAACGGATTCAAGGGATTTCAGGCAGAATTAAGAAGACCACCCGGGTAGGATATGAGGGGAATATTTTGGAAACAAACTCAACAGGATTTACTGGCAGACTGGATGTGAGATTTGACAAAAGAACAAGCACAGAGGATGGGTCCAGGTGTCTGCCCTGTGCAGTGAAAGCTGCTCATTCAATGCGCTGGGAATATGAGGAGGAGGTGGGTCTGGGGTGGGAGGCAGTGTTCACAGGAAGCCGGTTAGCAAATTGAGACATTAAAGCAGCCACTAGAACATCCCAGTGCATATTCACAAGAGCCAAGACATGGAACCAACCGACGTGTGCATTGGCAGAGGAATGGGTAAGGAAAATGTGCTGTCTATACCCGTGGAATGCTACCCAGCCAGAAAGCAGAAGGAACTCCTGGCATGCTCCGCAGGATGGGTGGAACTGGAGGACGTTATGCTAAGTTAAGCCAGGGAGAGAAAGTTAAATACCTCATGTTCTCATTCATGTGTGGAAGCTAAAAAACAGTGGATCTCATAGAAGCAAAAAGTAGAACAGAGGATGCTAGAGGCTGGGAAGGGGAGGGGGAAGAGGATAGGGATGGTTTTGTGAAAGGACACAAGATCACAACTAGACAGGAAGAATAAGTCCTCATGTTCCAGGCCACTGCAGGATGACCAGAGTTTATATCATATCACTGCAAATGGCTAGAAGGAGGATATTGAACTTTCCCAAAACAAAGAAATGATAAATGTTTGAGGTGATGGATATGCCAATTACCCTCCTCTAATCACTGTACATTACAGCTATTGAAATATCACTATGTACACCATAAATATGTACAATTATTACTTGTCAATTAAAAATAAAGACTAGGCCAGGAACGGTGGCTCACGCCTGTAATCCCAGCACTTTGGGAGGCCGAGGCAGGCAGATCACGCGGTCAGGAGATCGAGACCATCCTGGCCAACATGGTGAAACCCCAGCTCTACTAAAAATAAAAAAATTAGCCCGGGGGTGGCGGCATGAGCCTATAGTCCCAGCTACTCAGGAGGCTGAGGCAGGAGAATCACTTGAACCTGGGAGGTGGAGACTGCAATGAGCCAAGATTGCGCCACTGCACTCCAGCCTGGGTGACAGAGTGAGACTCTGTGTCAAAAAATAAATTAATAAACAAAATAAAGAATAAAAAAGAAGATTCCAGTGCAGATATCTGGTGTTCTCAGTGAGAAATGGAGTTGAGGGTGGAGCTCAGGCAGGAGGTGTGCACTGAGGAGCCACCAGCTAGGGCACCGAGGCAGTGAGAGCAGACGGCCAAGAGGAGCAGGCACCTCCAGATGGAGAGAACGTCGGCTATGTCAATGCTGCTGATCACAAGCAGCACAAAACTGAAAATTGACCACCGTATGTAGCAACTTGGAGATCATTGTGGTCTCAGAGTAAGACCAAGCTGCGGAGCCCCCACCCTGCAGCCCTCGAGGACTTGGAGACCCCCAAAGTGGGCACATCTGGGCCCCGCCCCACCTGGCACACACCTGGCAACCAGATGAGCTTCTCATGCCACGTGTGGTCACGCTTAATGGCATGGAGTGGTGTGGGAGGATACCTGGCTGGGAGAGGGATAAACACAGGAGAGAATGCAAACATTTATTCCAGGGAGGCTGTGTGGAGAGAAACAGACATGGGTCTCAGCTGGAGATGACACTGGAGCAAAACATATTTTGTTTAAGATCAGGTCATATTGGTAAGGATGACCCCATAAAGAGGAAAATGCTGACTGTGAAGGAAAAAGAAGGGAGAAGTGTCTGTAGAGTAGACAAAGGGGCAGGCATTCAGTGCACCCCCTGGAGAAGGGGCTGTGTCAGGGATGGGGCTAGTCTCCCTGGTGGCAGGTGAGGAGGCGGATCCCGGGGTCACAGAGGCCAGGAGACAGGTGGGTGCGTTGGTGAGCGGCCATGGGGGCTCTCTTCTGATTGCTCCTATCTTCTTAGGGAAATAGGAAACCAAGGCATCTGCTGAGGGGGAAGATGGAAAAAGAGGCATCCTAGTTTTAAGAAAAAAGGAAAAGGAATAAATCAGCCATCCAGGAAGAGGGAGAAGCAAGGGGCTAGAGAATTCTAACTGCCCAGTCAGCAGCCATAAACTTAAAATGAAGCAGTCGCCACGATGTTCTCGTCTCTTTTCAGACACATTCAGTTATGTAGGTGCAGTAGCTGAGTAGGAGGAGAGGTGAATTCAACAAGGGCTGTGGTTTAGCCAACTGAGTAAGACAGAGAAGGGGCTGGGGACTGAGGGCGGGGCGATACATGTATTGCATTGCCTTCTAACCCCCCAAAGATTACTCGGTCCCCAGAACATTCTAGCGGTGGCCCAATGACAGATTAGTTAAAAGGCAGTGGGATGCTCCCCATCTGGTTTCAGACATGGGGTTTATCCAACCCAGGGCATTGTCTCTAACTTGGTTCCAAGGACTATGTCAGGACGGGATGTCATTGTCCTTGGTGTCAACTACAAATGTAAGAACACTGTTCATCAAAACCCTTGCTTCCTATAAAAATCGATGGTGGTTTTTAACACCATAATTTACTTAAATTGTCCATTATGTTTGTTAATTTTGTCCCTGCCACTTCTCAGGAAAATTAATTATGAAATTTTATTAGGTTGGTGCAAACATAGTTGAGTTTTTTGCTATTAAAAGTAATGGCAAAAACAGCAATTACATCTGCACCAACCTAATACTATCATCTATGAATGCAGCACTTCATTCCTTTTAACCCCCACTTACTTTACTCACACACCAAGTCCATTCTAATACTCTGATATTTAGTCAGCAAGCTCACACTCAGTATAGTCAGAGCCCAGATAATAACCCGTGCTGCCAGTCTCTGCCTCTTTACTGAGTACTATATTTGCGGAAAAGTGAAAATGGTAAGCAAGAACTAATAAGTTTCTTGGGTATCCTTGGGTGGTACAATAAATAAGGGAAGTAATTGTGGGCTTATCTGTTCCTTATTGATAAGGATTATCTGCTAATGGATGCTTTTGAATCTGCTAATGTAGGCCCACAGGTCAATCTAGGCTGGAGTTGGGGAGATATTACTGGCATAATATAATAACAGGAATTTAGAGGTAGAAATTTCTCATATTTAGTTTCAGGTTGTCCTGGCCTTTGCTACAACATAGCCAGCCCTCCACCATCCCCACACATTAAGTAAAAGTCTATTGCATGATTTAGACATACGCTAGAGGGGCTTTAGAGGAGTGAATTTCATAATCAGGCACCCCAAGTGGAAAGAGAAGTGTGGCTTAGGGGCCAAGAGCGATGCTAGAAACTGGGGAATAGCAGCATGCAAGCAGCAAACACCAGGTATCAGATATCCCCAAGCTCCAAGCTCCACACTAATGCATGAGACCTCGTTTCTCTAGAAATGTGTCTTTCCATGCTTCACATCCCAGTGAGAGCTTCTGAAGCTCTCCCAGTAAGTGTGAAGTTGGAGGGAGGTGTTCAGCTCTTCTCCTTATACTGGCTCACTGGCCTTTTTACCAACTGGGGTAATTTAGTCATCTGTGTCCATGGAAAGGAAGAGTGCTAGTCAGGGGGCAGCCTCTCAGACGTCACACTGGGCACTACAGTGAAGCTTTCATTGCTGAGAAAACAGGATTAGAAAGTTGTGTTGTTTTGAAAAGACACACATGGGTCAGAGGGTGGGAAATAAATCCTCTAGCCTCAAAGGGGCCTGTGTTCTTGGAGTTGTTCCCACAGATCCAAGCATCTAGAATTGAAATTCCTTACAATTAAGAAGGCTGAACTCTGTCAAGGCTTCTTTGGATTTTTTTAAATTTTTAAATTTTTTTTAGAGACAGGGTCTCACCATGTTGTCCAGGTTGGTCTTGAACTCCTGAGCTCAAGTGATACTTCTGGGATGTTAGGTGTAAGCCACTGCACCCAGCCCTTCTTTGGATTTTTAAGCAACGTATTTGATTATCTTATTCAAACCATTTACTGGATGACTTGAAAAGATGCCAGCTTTCAGTGGGTCTGAGGACAAGATGAGAATTCCCAGAGTGGCCCAGGCTAGATAACCCTGCTCCCAGGCTCTGATGACCAGAGGTGCTGTGAGCCCCAAGTGGCTTCTGTGGATCAGGATCCCTAGCATGAGGCTATGGGGCACAAGGGGGAAACATCAAAAGGAGACTAAGGAGGCCCCGATTGGGAAATCACAGAGCAGGTCCCTGGATCTGGGGGTCAAGCTCTTGTTGGTATTTATGGCCTGTCCACTGAAGACCAAACATGAGTGAGCCTGAGTTGCTGATCATGCACAGCATGCCCAAGGTATTACATGACCCATGTGGTCTTACAGTTGGGCACACTTAACCCCACTTCATCATCAATTAAGTAGCACACTCAGGCCTGGACCTGAGCAGGCCTGGAAGCATCGGTTGCATACACAGTTTGCTCACATTTCCAGCATGTTTAGCTCTATCTCAACCCAAGCCCATGGCTCCATGGGCATTTTCTGTGCAAATTGATGAGGATGAGAAGACTTGGCCTCATAGAGTTCACAGTGCACTGTGCTGGCCCGAGCTGGAAGTGGACACACAGCCCAGTTCAGACCATTCTAAGGCACAATAGAGGAGAAAGATCACCTCAGGAAAGATGAGCACACATGATGGTTGGCCTGCCAGGGCCTCCTGTGAGAACCTCAGTTCATACCTGCTCAGGGTCAGTGGCTTCACCAGAGAGATGCTCAGGATGGGGAACGAGTGTCAGGGAGGTTGGAGAAGGGTGTGTGTGGATGGACTGCTGCTCTTCAAATGGGTCCAACACAAAAAAATCATCCCATGCAATGCCCTCCAGGAGAGGCCCACTACGGAATCACTGGAACAGCAGGCTCTGCTCCGACCGTGCCAGCTGGCCCCTATTGCTAGCCATGCCAGCGGGCAAGGCAGGGGATTCAGTTATGATTGGGCTTCCCTTCACCAAGATTGACTAACACCTTTGCTCAGCTTGCCAAACCTGAGCCCCTGCTGTGGTACTGCAACGTGGGAAACACCAGACAGCTGCCTGGAGTCAGGCCGACCACATGGGCTTCTTCCAGCATGGAAGGGCAGATCTCTGCTCTCACTACAATAGACCATGATTCTGAGTTCAGATTTGCTTTTCCTGCCTGTTGTGCCTCTGCTCATCTCAGCAGAGTCCCTGAATGCCGTGATGACCGTGATGATATCCCACTGAATGTAGCTTCCGAGAAATCCAGCTCCCCGTGAAAGGGGCAAAGCCATGTGGTGACAGCCAGCAGGCTTATCCCGTCCTCATCAAGCCCAAGTGATTGGCATTAAAGAATGCTGGAATCAACTATGGAAGACTTCTTTATAGGATAACTGGGGCACAGCACATTGAAATGTTACGATGCTCTCTGAATCACACACAAATGTTCCAAGTCAATATCCATGGCTAGAATTCATGGTTCCAGGAACCAAAAGAGGGTAATTCTTCATGAAATTACATCTGCTAAAACATCCTCAAAATTGCTGCATCCCATTCCTGAATCTCTGGGGTCTCCAAGACTTTAGTTCCCAAGGCAGAGTCCTTCCACCTGGAACACCATCGTGCTTCCAACAAGTCTGGAGCTGAGGCTGCCACTGTGGTGCCCACTGAGGCTGCCCATGCTGCTCTGCAAAGGCCCCATGGAGGGTCACTTTGCAGGCTGAGGGACTTGCCCTTGGCTGCCATGGAGAAAATAGGGTTTCTCTACAAAGTGGAGCCAGAAGCAATATAAGTAGACAGACGTTTTGGTGGGGAAGATCCCTGGAGGCACCGCCATGTGCAATGGAAAAGGTGAATGGAAGATGATTAGAGGATGATTAGAACAGAATTATTATAGGCTGAATGTGCCCCCCGCCCAAAAGATGTCAAGGTCCTGACCCCCAGTATCTGTGCATGTGTCCTTACTTGGAAATAGGGTCTTTGCAGATGATCAGGTTAAAATGAGGTCATGAGTGTAGTCCTAATATCCAATATGACTGGTGTCCTTGAAAGAAATTGAGTGTAGTCCTAATATCCAATATGACTGGTGTCCTTGAAAGAAATTGAGTGTAGTCCTAATATCCAATATGACTGGTGTCCTTGAAAGAAATTGAGTGTAGTCCTAATATCCAATATGACTGGTGTCCTTGAAAGAGAAGAAAATTTGGATACAGATACACAAACGCACATTTGGGGAAGTCAGCAAGGTGCAAGCCTAAGAGAGGGGCCTAGAACAGATCCTTGCCTCGTGGCCTCAGCAGGAACCAGCCCTGCTGACATCTGGACCTCAGAGGCCTGGCCTTCAAAACTGAGACAATAAATGTCTGTTGCTTAAGCTGCCCAATCTGGGGTACACTGTTACGGCATTCGTCTGTTCAGACTGCTATAACAAAGTACCTTTGACCATGTGGCTTTATGAACAGCAGAAGTTCAGCCTTCACGGTTCTGGGCCTGGAAGTCTGAGATCAAGGTGCTGCAGATTGGGTGTCTGGTGAGGGCCACTTCCTGGTTTATAGATAGCACCTTCTCCCTGTGTCCGCACATGGTGGAAGGGATGAGCCGACTCTCTTGAGCCTCCTTTATTAAGGCCCCAATCCCATTCATGAGGCTCTGCCCCCATGACCTAATCACCTCCTGCACTTCCCACTTTCTAATACCATCAAGCCTTGGGGGTGAGGGCTTCAACATATGAATTTTGGGGAACACATTCAGCCCACAGCACTCACACAGACAGGACTCAGAGAACCGGAGAATGAAAGTTTGGCTCTCCACCTAGTAAAGAACCTTGACCTCCCGAGAGGCTGGCTGAGGGCAAGGGAAACAGAAACTCATCTGCAACCACAGAAACTTACAGATACCCCACACTTCCTTGTTGGGAGTCAGAGTGCAGGTGCACCGGCCCTGAGTGTCCAAGCAAAGCTCCTGTTTGGCAAATGGTGGGGGGCCCTCACTCCTTCCCTTAGGGATGGACTAAAGGACTGAGAAGGAGGGGCAGTTGTTTCAGCAACTTATTATGACAAAAAGTAAACACGCTCAGGTCCTCTTCCTGACATACGTGGATAGCAGCACCCACTCACCTACTCCAAGGCCACCCTAATATCACCGAGTCCAGAGAGCAAGGTACTGCACCCCCTGCACAGATGGCTGCAGCCCCCACCCTGGAACCCTCTCCTCCCACCACCTCCAACCCTCTAGGGGAAACACTGCTCATTTGTGACTCCTTGTCCCCCTCAGCGCTGATCTTCATGTCAGTGTTGGCAGAAGATGTGAATGTGGTGCTGAGATATGCAGTGATGTGGATGACGACAGAGTGCTGCCTTCGCTCTCCCATCAGGTCACCAGTCTCAACTTCATGGCCCCTAAAGCTTCACTGAGAAATCTCTGGCATGAGGCCGATTGATTAACAGGAGGAAAGATAAATGTATTTAATGTGTATACACAGGAGCCTCCAGAATGAAAACCCAAGGGTACTGGGGAAGTTGTCTATGTCTATGCTTAGGTTCAACAAAGTATGGACAGCTGTGTAGAGAGGGGATTGGACAAAAAGAGCAGGATGGAATGCTGATGGACTGAGTGGGGAACCAGGGCCTGCTGGCCTGGAAGTGCTGGAGAACGAATGCCTCACAAAGGAGCAGCCCCCACTTAATATCTGATGGGCCTTTGGTGTATAAATAACCCCACTCCCTCCCTTTGGGTGGGGAAAGTTTATGGTACATGTTCTACCCTGGCTTGGCCAGAATCCCCATGGGGAGTCAAGCCCAGGTATCCCCCCGGGAGCGTTGCTGGGCCATGCCCCTTTCATCAGGGACCCTCCTTTCCCACCCTCACCGTCACTTTCCAGGACCCTGGTGATGCCTCCCAGGTAACACACCCACACTCAAATGCAGGGGCTGCTGCCAGCAAACCCCAAACTAAGGCAGAACTTAGGAAACTTGTAAACACTGCCTGTTCCATCCTGGGATCAACATCTGCTTTTATTGTTCTAATATGTACATTTTTTTCAATACACACACACATATTTTACAGGTAAGCCTTTTGTTTTGGCTTACTGAAATACACATTATAAAGATGCCGGTGGGATGCTGGCAGAGTGAGCAAAACAGCCACTTGGAAATAAACTTTCTTCATGTTTGCTGCAGAAAACAGTATTAGTACCAACATTCATTTATTCTGAAGGAATAAAATGGGTCCAATTCTTCCCTACTATAGCCAAATGGAACCGTGCTATGGAACTCAATTATTTTTAAATAAGAGCTGCCCATCATCACTGACACTGGCACTGTAAAGACTTGAGAATGCGCCACATGGAGGAATCTGGAGATTCAGTGTGAACATGAACAATCAACCTTAGTCATGGTAATCATCATGGTAATTACTTCCTTTAATGCATATTTAAATCTGATTATTTAGAAATATTACCTGCTGGTATCTATTATTATGCTTTGGATTGACATTCTTATTAATCAAAAGCAAAGTCTTAATTATTAGAATGAAAAGGTTCAGTCTTTCATCCATCCCTGCCTCCAACTCTCCTGAGGAAGAGTGCCAAAGTGAAGCCTTACTTAAACTCTGACTAAGCTGGACATGGTCACTGTCATTCCCAAATATAATCCTATTATTTCTTGGGATTAAATTTCTAAGCATCTGTCGCATGAAGACATTCAGACAGGGGCCACTCAGAGCTCAGAGCCAATTTTTCAGTGGTTTTTGCCTGTTTCTGTATGTTGGTGCTCCACAAAGAACAAATGGTCAAATAAAATGAAAAGTTAATAATTAAAAATCAATGAAAAGGGAATCTGGCCCCAAATATCTGATGCTAAAGAGACAGATGATGATAAAAATAAAATACTGATTCCATTGGTGCACAGTTCAATCACCAAACATATTTCAATGAACATAGTTCTGTCCTTTTCTTACGGAAAATATTCAAAACTCTTCAAAACAAAGTACTTTCTGGCAAACCTAACTTTCTGTGTTTCTCTTTTAGTGACTTTAAAAATTTTTTCCTATCATTATTATGTTTTACAACTCTACGTTTAAAGTAGGCAGAAAATATAAAAGAAGCTATTGGTGGCCAGTTTGCCTTTTACTATCCGAAGAGCGCGGTTGGGGAGGCTGAAGCAGCTCCAGCTTGGACGCTAATCTTCCATGTTGACTTCTAATTAACCCCTGTTCCAGGAAGGCCTCTAAGATTTCTATTTTATTTACTGTTCCCTGGGTAAGATCTTATGCTTGCCATAAATCCTGCCCTTAGGTCAACACAACTTTGACAATAACCCCTGCCTTTGGGCAGGTTCACATAGCACTCTTGCCTTTCCCTGGGGATCTACTTCAATTGTCCTACACATTCCTTCCCTATGCTGTAGAAGCCCTGGACCTGGGGGTCATAGCCCAGGGGGCCACCATCTTGTTTCCTGGCTGCCCAAGACCATGGGTTCTGTTTGTAAGTCCCTATTAAATGTCTCTTCCTCAGAAACCAAATTTGTCAGCCTCTTTCTTTGACCTCTCGGCTTCCTGGGACTTTGGGGGTAGGTTTGCATAGGCCTGCCTGCCGCAGAACAATAATGGCGAGGATTCATCGATTTGCTGAGGCAAGAAGAATTGATACCAGCACAACAGCCCTGACGAATTGCATAGCGCACCCTTGACGTAAGTAACTCCATCTTAGAAAAACACTCCATCTTATACTTCAAAAGGCACCTCATCACAGGAACCAGAAGTTTGCCTCATCAATAAAGACTGCACCAGATAAGGACATTCCCAGGCACACTCTTCCACTATCAGTCTTCACCAGAGGACTCTGTGGCCATAAAGAACATAAAGAGAGCAGTGCTTCACTAGCTGGAAATGGCCATTTCAACAGACACCATCTTGCCATCACTCATGATAAGCACCCAGCATCTGTCACCAAAGGCTCTGCCCACATCAAAGATTCCTTCTTGCATGACGCTGATGCTGACGACCGCCCGGGCCAGGCCAGGACATTCTTTTTGTCCACATCACTCTACCTGGACTGGCCTGTTAGCCCTTTTTCCTATCCTCTTTCTCTTGACGTTAAATGTCACTTTGTTTATTGTAGAGTGTTTAATCTATAACATCTATGTATTGGTTAAGTATACTCTGATGTACAGTTCGCAGTATTGAATGGCTTGTGGCTTGAGCCTGTGTGCCGGTGGCCCTGACAACTGAGTGAATGGAAGCACTAAGAATTGCCTGCTTGGGAACTCCATGTAGCATATGGCTTTATGAGTAAAATACCATCAGTAAAAGTGTGACATTGTAAAATGACGCAAACGTGAGTAGACCTGGTTATCTCCAACCTTGCGCAGCCCACAACACACATCCACCATCTAATCAGAGATGCAGGCAGAGATTCAGGCCCCATTAACATCCTCCCTAGCAAAAGCATTCAATCTAGAATCACACGTTGTGTTTGTTTCTCAGATTCTCTTTAGTCCCCTTCAAAATAAGTCCGTTTCCTCTTTCCCGGGAACCATAACCTTGGGATGTGGGACAATGGCAGCGTATATGATGTTCCTCAATTTGGGTTTGTTTCGTGTTTCCTTATGACCAGACACGGGACCAACATTTCTGACAGAAATCGCACAGAAGTGGCGCTGAGCTCTCGCCATTGGTCCTATCAGGTGGTGCTCAGTTTCCACTCGTCCCGTTGGACTTGGATACTTAAATCTTCCCCCAGTCCAGACTCCCATTCAGCATTTATTCCCTAGAATTGAGATGCCTCCTGGGACCATGACCTTTGGTTTCTGGGATACTTTCTTGGACACATAAAAGCAAGAGAAGGGACTTTTATCCATGACCAGTTATTCTAGTTATTCCCAGTAAAAGTCATTACTTAAGTACTTTCTCCAAGCAGCCTGAAAACAAAGCCTGCTTTTCCTGTTCACAAATGCCTTTGTCTCTCTTTTTCTCGCAAGTTTCTCTATTCACCTCCTGGGGGATTGTGGTTTTAACTCAACAAGCCCTAAACGTGTTGGTTGTCATCAACCAAGGGTGGGAGTAACTGCTGCCCCCTCCTCTCCATATCCTTCTTCCCTGCAGCTTGGCCTCCTCCTCTTCCTCCTTCTTCCTCTTGCTCCCATTGTGTAAAAGGCAACTCAGTGTTGACTGACATAATCACAAAAGATTAAAGATAATGCAACCACAAGGGGGTTCCCAGGATGTGAGGACTGTGGGTTGAACAGAATCGACACCCATGGCTGGAGTTCTAAGAGGAGCTACGGAAGACAGACGTGCCAGGAGATGCACCCACAGCAGATGCTCTTCATGCACCCACAGCAGATGCTTTTTATCCCCAAGGGTGCCTGACATGGGGCAGCAGGGAGGGGAGCTAGGAGGTTCCCTGCAGAGTGAAGCGTGTCCATGGAGGAACCCAGGGAGGAAAACTGCAGGGAGGTATGGGGAGCAGTGTGGAGGTGTCTCGGCGAGGTTCGTGCCTGGAGACTGGAATAAGGATGTTAGACTTGGGCTTTAGAAAGCAGGTACTTTGACCTGGGGACAGGGGCACTTCCATCATAAGAAACTTACTTCAAATTGTTAGAATAACGTGCCCCACACATCCACACCCAGATCGGTCCTGGGAAGCTTTCCCGGGCCTTGAGGAGCAGCGCAGCAGGAGTAAGGTCCAGGGTGGAGCGCTGAAGGATGCAGAGGCGTTTGCCACACAGGTGAGAGTCAGAGAGCACTCCAGGCCTGAGGGACTGTGTGACTCAGCCTGAGGCCAGGGAACCAGGTGCGGGAGAGAGAGCAGGGCTCCCCGATTATGACCTCCGGGCATCCACAGGACCCCACGTTTGTGCAGGGCACACTGGGGTTAGCGGGGGTGGTCTGGGCACCTAGAAGAGGCTTGGTGGAAAAAAATTGTTGCATTTCCTGTGTATAGGCGGAAGAATTATATATGAGAAAAGTAAAACAGGAGGTATCAGGGAAGGTATTGAACTGAATCAAACTTGCAAGCGGAATCTCTTCACTTTTTAAGTAGAAAACTGAGCTTGCATCCATGAACGTAGCTTTTTATATCTGGTATTAGGCTGGGAGTGGCTCTGTGGAATCCCCTTGATGAAGACATCTCCCTGTGTCGGAGCGCCGGCTCCAGCACCCGGAAGGACCCGAGAAGGCGGAAAGGCACCCTTGGAGCCCAAGACGACAGCCGCCCTGAGCTCCAAAAGGAAAGCTGTGAAGAAACCCAGGCGGCCATGACTCGACATCAGGAAACACTTCAGGCCACGCTGTCTAATGAACACCCTGTGGGCATTTAGAAGTAAACGGGACAAGCACTTCGCGTGCATCGGCCCCAGCCAGCCTTGGTTCGGTTCTGGCTGGGCCTTGAGCGCTGGGCTCGGGCAGCTCCACCTCCCGCAGATCTGGACTTCAGCAAAGCATCTCGCAGATTCCTTTAAAATCTCCTGAGAGGCCGGGCGCGATGGCTCATGCCTGTAATCCCAGTACTTTGGGAGGTCGAGGTGGGCAGATCACCTGAGGTCAGGAGTTCAAGACCAGCCTGGCCACCATGGCAAAACCCCCTCTCTACTAAAAATACAAAAATTAGCCAGGTGCAGTGGCAGCCACCTGTAATCCCAGCTTCTCGGGAGACTGAGGCAGGAGAATCGTTTGAACCCAGGAGGCGGAGGTTGCAGTGAGCCAAGATCGCACCATTGCACTCCAGCCCGAGTGACAAGAGTGAAACTCTGTCTCAAAAAAAGCAGAAAATAAATAAATAAAATCCCCTGAGATAAAATGGCAAATGTAGGCCGAATGACCCTGCTGCTTAGGTAGATTCCTTGCTGATTGAGTCACTTTGTACCACCAGGAATGGGAAGTGATATTTTTGGTGTGAAAAGAATTGATTAATGAAATGCTACATGATCGTGCCATTGGCCTTGTGCTGGTCAGAATTATTTTAAATCAATGAGTTGCATGCAAAAGGGAAAGATGATTATCAAACCTGCTGAATTCTAAGATCTGTGATGGACAACAGATGCTACAGATAGTGCTCAAGGTTCCATATTATCTCATGTGGTTGGAATTCTGAGCTGAAAACAATAAAATATGAAGATAAGGAAATTAGAAACATGTAGGTTTCCAGGGCTCTGTCTGGGACGCTGCTGTCCAGCAGGGATGTAACGTGAGCCACGTATGTCATTTTAATTTTTTAGCAGCCACATTCAAAAAAGCAAACCGAGGCCGGGCGCAGTGGTTCACACATGTAATCCCAGCAGTTTGGGAGGCCAAGGCAGGTGGATCACCTGAGGTCAGGAGTTTGAGACCAGCCTGGCCAACATGGAGAAACCCCATCTCTACTAAAAATACAAAATTAGCCGGGTGTGGTGGCGCATGCCTGTAATCCCAGCTATTTGGGAGGCTGAAGCAGGAGAATCTCTTGAACTCGGGAGATGGAGGTTGCAGCCTCCGCACTCCATCCTGGGCAACAGAGCAAGACTCCATCTCAAAACAAACAAACAAACAAACAAAACAAAGCAAACTGAAATTATTAATTTTCCAAATATTTTTATTTTAACTTGATATATCTAAAATATAATACATTCAACATGTAATCAATAAAAATTGTCAGTGAGATCGTTTAGATTTTTGTAGAAAGTCTTCAAAATCAGGTGTGTAGTTTATATTTATAGCACATCTCACTTCAGACTAACATGCTTCAAGCACTCTGTAGTCACACATGACTGGTGGCTACCATGTTGGATGGCACAGGTAGGGAAATTGGTATACATAAAAGTGATCAGACGAAGGTCATAGGTCACAAGTCTGATATAAGTCCCTGTCACAGATAATCCAGTCTTGGGCAGTGCTAGTAGTAGGGTGTATGAATTATCTATTGCCAAAACAACACTGCCCGAGAAACAACCCTAAAACCTCAGTGACACACAGTGATAACCATTCAACATTGCCCCCAAGTCTCCAGGGTGGTCCTAGGGCCACTATGACCTGGCCCAGCACACTCCCTGTCTGGTCAATCGGTCAGCCAGTGCAGGCTGGTCCAGAATGGCCTTGACAGGAACAACTCTTGTACCTCTTGTGCTCTGTCACCCTCATGCAGGCCAGCCCCAGCCTGCTGTCATGATGGAAGCTGGTTTCCAGCAGGGACCTGGTGGCACAGACTGGAACTGGCACAGCCTCACTTTGCTCACATTCCACTGGTCAAAGCAAGTCTCAGGCCAAGGCAGACTTGGGTGGGGAAGCAGACCCTCCACCTGCAATGGGAGGAGCTGTGGACCACATCCCAGAGGATGGGAGTGCCAGGAACCTATGCATGGGGGCCATCGGCACCATCAATCCACCTTAGCTGGTATTCCAGACGTGGACAGCAACAGGCCCACAGATTGCTATGCTCATCAGTAGAGAAATGGATCATTTCTTCCAGACCTGGACACCCTATCTTAGAAGTGATGTGAGTTGCGTTCAGAAACGCAACCTGAACGGTCACACATTGGGGACCATGCCTTTCCACAGCCACACATCGGGGGCCACACCCCTCTATAAAGAATTATAGCAAGTGAGTGTGTTTAGTCCCAAAATGAGAAAATTAGGGGGCAACATGAGAGCTACCTTCAAATTTTAAAGAGCTACTGTGTGGAAGAAAACAGTCTTGTTCTCAGTTCCCCTAATATTTTCTGAGGGCTCATTATATACTGTACCAGGAACTATGCTAGGTGCAGAGACAAAAGTAGAATAAGGGAAGTTTCCGTAGATACCAGCTCATCCAAAGAAGGACTTTCTAACACATGAATAAGTCACTACTATCCAATAATTCACTTGCCACAGGAGAGCTCTGAAACTGAAACTACTCAAGCAGCTGCATTGTCAAGGGAATTTCTTGCCCAGTTGTTGGTCACTGATCTACCTTCTAAGGGGTCTTCCAAATCTCAATGCTATAAGCTGGCCTTACGTGTGCCTGTTTGGCTTGTGGGGATATAATGTATCATACTTTACATGTACAGACACATCTAATATCTAATAGAGATATATCTAATCAGATATAACAACCTCAAGCAAACCCCAAGTTGCTAGGTGCTTAGTAAATTATTTTGTTACACTGAAGGCTGAAAAAGCACAGAATGATTAAATGACTCAAGATCACGTGAGACAATGGGATAAACTGGAACTGAAACAGACTGTGGGGTGCTGGTCTACGCAGTTCACAAAGCCCCCATTGCTGACTAACCACAAGCCCAGAGGGAAGGCACATAGACTACTGTGCCCCTGCTACTGGTTAGGTTTTTCTTTTACACAGAGAAATAATTTGACTTTATCTAGGCTGCTACAAAGCCAATTGTTAACAGAACTAGGATTAGAATTCAGAAGTACTAGGTGTCAGGTTTCTGTACAAAGAGCAATAGTATTCCACTGAAGCACTTCTGTTTCCCTACAAATACAACCTATCTGTGACTGTGAAACCTCAAGGAATTTGTATTGAGAACCGCTGGCGCGAAGCGGGTGATAACGATAAGAACAGGCATTGTGCACAGCTAGAGGAGCCGTCTGTGGAATGCCGATGGTCGTCTCTTGGTAGAAATAGTAAGAAACCTTAGAACTGATCTTCTTCATTCTGGAAGGCATGGAAACAGAGAACAAGCTGGCCACTGCAGAAAGTTGTAAGACCTTTCGAGGCTGGCTCGACTGCAGCTGCGTTTTGCTTGGCTGTGAGTTTGCAGAACTTTGAGGCTTTCGGGGGAAGGTAGCTAAATCTGTATCAGGGCCAAGGGCACCCCTGGGAAAATTAAGAAACACCTTCTCTTTTGAGGTTTAACTCGACTAAAACCTCTCTGATGATTAGGATGGCCTCAACGGAAGCCCACTGGCCAAAAGAACATCGATAGTTCCCAGGGGAAATAAGTCGTGAGGGAAGGAAGGGTCAACAGGAAACCAGGACTCAGGATCCTGGGCAGAGTCGGCTGGTTTCAGCACCGTCTGAGGCTCATCAGGAAGCTCCTCTCTCACCGACCGTGGCTCTCAGCACTCAGGGAGCGCCACTGAGCATGCGTGAGAACAGCCGCCCTCAGCTCGCGGGGGTGTCAGCTTCCTTTGAAAACCCCCTCGGGTCTGTGTGCACAAGGCTCTGAACTAACCCTAGTGGGTCACCACGCAGGGCCCCTTCTCAGCGCCTGCTCTCCGCTCCACGTGAGGGAAGCAAGGGCAGCGGAGAACGCGTCCCACGCAGTCAAGCCAGGGATGGGCCTCGGGCTTCCTTTCTCTGTCCACGATGCCTCTGGAAGCAGGATACGGCCCTCGAGGCGGGCTCCTGGGATTCCTGGGAACACGGGAGGGTGAGCTATGAGCAGGCCGGGGCAGGGCAATCATGGAGACTGGACTTTTGCTCATATGGGCAGAAGAGTGATCAGGAAATTATTCTGAATGTGAAAAGACATGGCCAGCGTGTGACCGGCAGATGTGTATCCTCCAGTGCTCTGGGAGAACGCAGCCCCGGCTGGTAGCCCGGGCCCGTTTCTGTGAGGTCAACACTCACACCACGGCCAATGTCAGGCAAACAACCCGGTGTCACCGAAGCAGGGTTGGTAAGAGAAGCACAGCCTGCCCCAGCTGATCGCAGCGCAGCCCAGGAGGCGAGGCCACCGCCCAGAGGATTCTGGAAACAGCTCGCCGGGGCGAAGACGCAGGCACAGACAGTGCCTTCCGTAGGGTTCCAAGTATGCAAAACCCTAGGGGAAGCCTCTTCTATTTAGTCACAGAAAACAGGTGAGCAGTTGCCTGGAGCAGGGAGAGACGGGGAGGGATTGACAGGAAGGGAGCTCAGGGAAGCTGGTGGGAGTAGAAAGTTCTAGATCTTGATTGGGGTTGCAGTTACACTGGAACACAGTCGTTGTCAAAACTCACTGAAGTGGACCCTGAGAATGGATGCATTTTGCTGTATGTAAGTTATCCCAATAAAGCTGATATTTAAAAATATGTAACACCCCTCCAAGCCAATGCTGATATTGTAAGGATGATTTTCAGTACTGGGCACCGAGCTTCAGTACTGGGCACCGAGCTTCAGTACTGGGCACCGAGCTTCAGTACTGGGCACCAGGGTAGGAGTGAGGTTCCCTGATTTTCAGTCTTTACGGAGCTTTTACCCAGAGAGCTGCAGAGGCAGCACTGGCCAGAATTACTTTGGAACGCACCGTCTGTTTCTTCCTTGTTGCTTTTCACTGGTTAGTAAGAAGATTCACGAAGCTCCTCTGCCTGGCCACCTCCCCCCAACATCAACACACACTGGCACAGGTTCTGGAGGGCATCATTCAGACCCATGCTGTAAACACCCTTTACAGGCTGAGCCCTGAGTCCGTTTCCTCAGCAAAGTACCACAAACAATGTGGTTTAAAACAACGGAAACCTACTTCCTCACTCTTCGGGGGCCAGAGGTCCGAAATCGAGGTGCTGTCAGGGGTGGCTCCATTTGGAGGCTGTGCAGGGAACCGTCCCCAGCCTCGCTTCCCATTTCCGGTGGGGTCTGCAGTTCCTGGTGCCCCTTGACTTGTGAATGCATCACTCCAATCTATGCCTCCGTCTTCACAAACCCTCCGTCTCTGCGTTCTCTCCTGTTTTCATAAGGCCTGCCCTGAATGCAAGATAATTTCACTTTGAGTCCCATAACTAATTGCAACTGCAAAGGCTCTATTTCCAAATAATATAAAATAATATTCCAAATAATATTCTGCGTGAACATGAATTTTGGGAAGACACTATCCAGTTAATAATCATATTAACCGACTCCACTCCTACACGCTGTCTTCAGCCTAGAGCCTCCTGTGGAACTCCAGACGCCGACCCCCACTCAGAGTATTCAGAAGAGTCTCAGATCTGAAGCCAAACTCAATTTCACTCCCCAGACCTGTTCCTCCGACATGTGCTATCATCAAAGCAACAGTCAGTCCTTCCAACTGCTCAGGCCCCAAACCTTGCAGTCGTGCTTGGATTCTTTCTCCACATCAAATACGTCAGCAAAATCAGCAAATGTTCCTGGCCATCTCCAGGATGTATTAATAGTGTATATCCCACATTCATAGCCAGTCATTCCCACTCCTTCCTGCCCCAAACTTTTGCCCTCCAGAGAAGGCAAAGCTTTAGCATGATTCAAATCATGTCTGGATTCTGTTCTGAGCTCCCCAGGGCACCCCACATGCGCCAGGATAATGCCCTGTGTCCTCCCATGACTTAGAGGCCCCGTGGAGCCCTCGCCCTTGCCCTGCTCTCCTCCCGCTGCCCTGTGTCCTTCCCAGCTCTGTTGTTTATGCCAGTTGCCCCGGCAATCACACTGTGTCTGGGATCTGTCCAGCCGGTCCCTGCTCTAGGGCCCTGGTCCTTGCTGCTTCTCTCCCAGGTTGCTCTCCAGACAACCACACTGTCGGCCCCTTGGGTGTCTCAGTTCAAGCTTCCCTGACTACCCAGCTTAAAAGAGCTTCCCGATCCCAACTCCCTTCCTGGCTCTGATGCTGCTTCCTTTTCTCCTGGGCACTGGTCCCCTCCTGGCACGTTGTCGCTTGGATGTAAGGCCCCATAGAGAAGGCGCTTAGCCTGCATTCCTGCCTACCCAGGGTCTAGCGCAGACAGCAGGCGCTCAAGAAAGAGTTGCTGAGTGAGCGTGTGAATGAAGACTTGATGACTGACATACAAAATTAAAGAATCTGGGGTTTTTTAAAAGCTTATCTCATTTTTTGCAACAATCTTTAGACCTGATCTTCGATCAGCCTTTAGCTGATGTATAGATAGGGTGAGGTTGCCACAATCTGGGGTAGATCAGCTTTGTGACTTGTCATCTAAAAAGGGGAAGAGGTTTAACTTGAAAGAGAAAAAAAAAACAGTAGACGACCTTTATGTGGAACAGTTACGCGAAGCCTCATCGGTGGCCAGGCAACTTCCTTTCCAACTTCTTCTTACTCGGGACCCTCTGCCCATGTTTACATCTTGCCAAAGACCATGGAAACTGGTAAACATCTTGCCAAATAAAGCTGTTTAGACTGACTGAACATGCAAAGACGCCCTCTGTCCCTTGGACAACTACAGGTCAGGGAAATGAATGGAAGTCACATGAGACTCTACTCTTTCAAATTCCCTTTTAAAGTGGAAATTCCCTCGCTTGGTTATAGTATTAAAGGGAACAAGCCTAAGAAGTGGAATTACAGGAAAAATGGGCACGTGAGGATATGAGAGTATAGATGGTGTACGCTCATAGATGGTACAGAGTAGATGGGCATCATTTGGATAGAGAAACACAAAACACTCTTTGCTGAACTTGAAGATGATATTGCTGGTTAAGAGCACAGACTTGGGAATTATATCAGCATTTGAATCTCGACTCTTGACCCTACTACTTCCTAATGGGGTGATGTGTGTAAAGTTGTTAATCTTTCTGAGCCCTACCTGCCTCATGTGTGGTATATAGAGATGCAGGCACCTCAAAGGCCTGAGTCTGACACACAGTGGATGGCGAAAATTGGAGAGCTGGAGGAGGAGAGGCACATAGGTCATGCCTAAGTCATGAGAACATACAAACAACAAAATCAACAATAGAAATCTAGCTTCACTTGATTGATCCAGCTTGTCGGAAGATTGCTAAGAGATTCCACTCAACAACTAAACCGCCGTTCCACACTATGATTGCTGACTTGAGGCTGGTAACACCTTTTGGGAACGCTGTCTTGGGAACGTTCACAGGAAAATTGCTCCTTTGGGTACAAGGTTTTGAGATACAATCTCTGGGTCAATGAGTACTTTACATACAGGAACCCCAAAATGGAGGAAGTAGGCTATGGAGGAACAAGAAAAGAAGGGAAAAACA
Source organism: Homo sapiens (assembly GCF_000001405.40). NCBI lineage: Eukaryota > Metazoa > Chordata > Mammalia > Primates > Hominidae > Homo > Homo sapiens. The sequence goes on along the minus strand of NC_000006.12, from coordinate 167,090,404 downwards.
AAGCAGCCACAGAGGCGAGGTGGCTGCTCCCCTTCCTGCCACCTGGAGGAAGTTGGAGGCTAGTTCTGGAGACATCACAGTTTCTATTACTTTGGTTACTTGGCAGAGCCTAAAAACTTCCTCTTGTGTGGAAGAAAGAAAATCCTTTCTGTGTTGCTCCCTGGAGGGAAGAAAACCAGGCTGACTCTTGCTTCCATTTGAGGAGCTCAAAGGAAGCCATTTCCCACGATGGTCCCCCAGGCACAATCCTGCATGGAGCCCAGCCCTGGCCCACAGCTCCTTGACTACAATCCCCTTGACCCATTCATCACCCTTGCCACTGGCCCTATTCTTTGTGACTTGGCTCAACACTGGTGACTTCTTCTGCTGCCCTATTCACCTCCAGTCTGAGACTCAGGAGCATGTGGCCACCTGCTGCCACAGAGATGCCACACACATGGCCCAACGCCAACGGGGTCGCTTAAAATACATTGCTGATCTGTGGCCTATGTCTGGAGGAAAGGGGCCGGTGGGGTCCTACAGTGACCCGAGAGGCTCCTATTCTGAACCACAGAGAGCACCACACCAAGAGGCTGGTGTGATATGCTGCTGGGCCCACAGTTTTCATGGGCCCCATGTGCCTGGAGTGAAAGGTCTTTAGATCAATCAAAGAGATCCAGTGTCTGGGGAGTTCTTGTTTCTTCACACTGACCACTTCAATAACGCAAGGACGGGGATTTTCTTGGCTTTGACCAAGGCTGCAGTCTCTCCAGAGCTGAAAACTCAAGTTACTTCTGCCTGGTTCTGGCCTCCCCTGACTCGGCTCTGCCATTAACCAGTAAAACTAGTATCTCCTGTTCTAGAGGGAGGTCGTCATCCTGGTAGAGGGCCATGTGTAAGGATCTGCACCCCTCTGTTTAATTCTCCAGGAAGGTCACTGCAGCTGAGGTCAACTTCCTCCCCAGAGAAGCAAAACCTGTTGGCTGCAGAGGCTGCTTGTTAAACAGAGAGGCGTTACCTCCAGGAGATGTGTGACATCAGACTTTTCAGGGATAGTGCCCAGAAAGCTCAGAAACTTTGCTTAACAAACTCTTCCAGGTGATTCTGATATTAGCTAAATCTGAAAACCACAGAATTAAATGATGTTAGTTTTTTTCCCTCGAAATTTAAGTTTCATACTGACCCTTGAACTACTTATACTGAAAACATTTCAAACATTGATAGTTCATTGATACTAGCAACTGATCTGAAATTATTACTTTGCCTAAAAAAAACTGACAATTTCAGAATATTATCATTCCTTAGTAGTTTGCATTTATGACATTAGATAGTTCCAACTCCTTCCTCCACTTTGTGCAAATGATTTCATGTATCTTATTTCTACATCTGTCATAAACCCTGTTTACTATTTTTAATTTAGTTAACAATTTTTTTTTTTTTTTTGAGACAGGGTCTCACTCTGTTGCTCAGGCTGGAGTGCAGTGGTGCAGTCATGCCTGACTGCAACCTCACCCTCCTGGGCTCAACCTCCTTGCCTCAGCCTCCTGAGTAGCTGGGACTACAGGCATACACCACCATGCCCAGCTAATTTTTGTATTATTTGTAGAGACAGGGTTTCACCATGTTGCCCAGACTTGTCTCAAACTCCTAAACCCAAGCCATCTGCCCATCTCAGGCTCCCAAAGTGCTGGGATTACAGGCATGAGCCACTGCACCTGGCCACCATAGTTGACAGTCTTTTAAAGAATCAGCCATGAGAAAATGTTTTTAATATCCACTTTTACTATTTCTGGTGCTCACTTCTCTGTGTAACCCCAAATTTTTATCTGGTATAATTTTCCTATAGCCTAAAGAACTACCTTTAACATTTATTGTAGCACAAGTCTCTCAGCAGTGAGTTATCTTAGTTTTTCAGGGTCTAAAAAGCTTTTATTTTTGCCTTTAATTTAAAACAATATTTTAATGGATCTGTAATAGAATAATAGAATTCTGGATTAATTGTTTCAGTACTTTAAGATGTCAGTTCATTAACATCCAGCTTACATGTCTGACAAGAAATCTATTACAATTATCTTTCTTCTTGGGTATGTAATGTCCCCCACAACTCCCAAATGCATTCTACATTTTCTCCTTATCTTTGGTTTTAAAAAGTTTGATTTTATGTGTCTAGGTGGGGTTTTTTTTTTTTTTGGTATGGAGATTTTTTATTTGTTTTTGTATTTATACTGTTGGGATTCCCTGAGCTTCTTGGACCTGAGGTTTGCTGTCTTGCATTATATTTGCAAATTATCTCTTTAAATATTTCTTCTGTTTTATTCCTTGCTGTTTGTTTGCTTGTTCTGGGACTCCAACTGCATGTACATTAGATGATCTCACAGCTCTTGGAGGCCTTGTTAGACAGAGTTTTTCCCTCTATTTTATGTTTTTTTTTTTGTTGTTTTTTTTTTTTTTTTTTTTCTGAGACAAGAGTGTCACTCTGTCGCCAAGGCTAGAGTGTAGTGGTGTAATCTTGGCTCACTGCAACCTCCGCTTCCTGGGTTCAAGCAATTCTCCTGCCTCAGCCTCCCGAGTAGCTGGGACTGCAGGCATATGCCCCCACACCAGGCTAATTTTTGTATTTTTAGTAGAGATGGGGTTTCACTGTGTTGTCCAGGCGGGTCTTGAACTCCTGACCTTGTGATCCACCTGTCTTGGCCTCCTGAAGTGCTGGGATTACAGGCATAAGCCACTGTGCCCAGCCCATTTTATGTTATTTGTGTGTCATTTTATATGATTCCTGTTGACCTATCTTCAAGTTCCTTAATCTTTCTTCAGCTGAGACTAGTTCACTGATAAGCTTTCTGAAGGAATTCTTTATGTCTTATATATTTTTTGTAGCATTCCCACATGTCTTTTATACTCTCTATCTCTCTGCTGAAATTTCCCATCTGTTCATGTATGCCATATGCCTTTTCCTCTAGATCATTTAACAAATTCTTCAGGGCTTTTTTGTATTGTTTTGTTTTTGTTTTTGTTTTGTTTTGAGATGGAGTTTTTGTTCTTGTCGCTCAGGCTGGAGTGCAATGGTGCAATCTTGGCTCACTGCAACCTCTGCCTTCTGGGTTCAAGCAATTCTCCTGCCTCAACCTCCCTAGTAGCTGGGACTATAGGCACCCAGCACCACGCCTGGCTAATTTTTGTCTTTTTAGTAGAGATGGGGTTTCACCATGTTGGCCAGACTGGTCTCGAGCTCCTGACCTTAGGTGATCTGCCCACTTTGACCTCCCAAAGTGCTGAGATTACAAGTGTGAGCCACCATGCACAGCCTCATCAGAGTTATTTTAAAGCCCCTGTCTTAGAGTTCCCACATCTGGGCCATCTTGAATTCTGGTTCTATTGATTGATTGCTTTATAAGTTGACTATGAGTTGTTTTTGTTTTTGTTTTATTTTGTTTTCTTAACTGTCATTTTTTGATTTACTGCTGGAAATCATGTGTAAAAGTAGACACTGTTTATGCCCTTAAAAAATAGTTTCATGTCAGGGTGAGGCATCGCCTCACCCGGGAAGCACAAGGGGTCAGGGAATTCTCTCTCCTAGCCAAGGAAAGGGGTGACAGACGGCACCTGGAAAATCGGGTCACTCCCACCCTAATACTGCACTTTTCCGACAGTCTTAGCAAACGGCACACCAGGAGATTATATCCTGTGCCTGGCTCAGAGAATCCCATGCCCACGGAGCCTCACTCATTGCTAGCACAGCAGTCTGAGATCAAACTGCAAGTTGGCAGCGAGGCTGGGGGAGGGGTGCCCGCCATTGCCAAGGCTTGAGTAGGTAAACAAAGTGGCCTGGAAGCTCGAACTGGGTGGAGCCCACCGCAGCTCAAGGAGGCCTGCCTGCCTCTATAGACTCCACCTCTAGGGGCAGGGCATAGCCAAACAAAAGGCAGCAGAAACCTCTGCAGACTTGAATGTCCCTGTCTGACAGCTTTGAAGAGAGTAGTGGTTCTCCCAGCATGCAGCTGGAGATCTGAGAACGGACAGACTGCTTCCTCAAGTGTGTCCCTGACCCCCCAAGTAGCCTGACTGGGAGGTACCCCCCAGTAGGGGCAGACTGACATCTCACACGGCCAGGTACTCCTCTGAGACAAAACTTCCAGAGGAATGATCAGGCAGCAACATTTGCTGTTCACCAATATCCGCTGTTCTGCAGCCTCTGCTGCTGATACCCAGGCAAACAGGGTCTGGAGTAGACCTCTGGCAAACTCCAACAGACCTGTAGCTGAGGGTCCTGACTGTTAGAAGGAAAACTAACAAACAGAACATCCACACCAAAACCCCATCTGTACGTCACCATCATCAAAGACCAAAGGTAGATAAAACCACAAAGATGGGGAAAAAACAGAGCAGAAAAACTGAAAATTCTAAAAATCAGAATGCCTCTCCTCCTCCAAAGGAATGCAGCTCCTCACCAGCAACGGAACAAAGCTGGACGGAGAATGACTTTGATGAGTTGAGAGAAGGAGACTTCAGACAATCAAACTACTCCAAGCTAAAGGAGGAAGTTCGAACCCATGGCAAAGAAGTTAAAAACCTTGAAAAAAGATTAGACGAATGGCTAACTAGAATAACCAGTGCAGAGAAATCCTTAAAGGACCCGATGGAGCTGAAAACCACAGCATGAGAACTACGTGACAAATGCACAAGCCTCAGTAGCCAATTCCATCAACTGGAAGAAAGGGTATCAGTGATGGAAGATCAAATGAATGAAATGAAGTGAGAAAGGAAGTTTAGAGAAAAAAGAATAAAAAGAAATGAACAAAGCCTCCAAGAAATATGGGACTACGTGAAAAGACCTAATCTACGTCTGATTGGTGTACCTGAAAGTGACGGGGAGAATAGAACCAAGTTGGAAAACACTTGCAGGATATTATCCAGGAGAACTTCCCCAATCTAGCAAGGCAGGCCAACATTCAAGTTCAGGAAATACAGAGAACACCACCAAGATACTCCTCGAGAAGAGCAACTCCAAGACACGTAATTGTCAGATTCACCAAAGTTGAAATGAAGGAAAAAATGTTAAGGGCAGCCAGAGAGAAAGGTTGGGTTACCCACAAAGGGAAGCCCATCAGACTAACAGCGGATCTCTTGGCAGAAACTCTACAAGCCAGAGGAGAGTGGGGGCCAATATTCAACATTCTTAAAGAAAAGAATTTTCAACCTAGAATTTCATATCCAGCCACACTAAGCTTCATAAGTGAAGGAGAAATAAAATCCTTTACAGACAAGCAAATGCTGAGAGATTTTGTCACCACCAGGCCTGCCTTACAAGAGCTCCTGAAGGAAGCACTAAACATGGAAAGGAACAACCGGTACCAGCCACTGCAAAAACATGCCAAATTGTAAAGACCATCGATGCTAGGAAGAAACTGCATCAACTAACGAGCAAAATAACCAGCTAACATCATAATGACAGGATCAAATTCACACATAACAATATTAACCTTAAATGTAAATGGGCTAAATGCTCCAATTAAAAGACACAGACTGGCAAATTGGATAAAGAGTCAAGACCCATCAGTGTGCTGTATTCAGGAAACCCATCTCATGTGCAGAGACACACATAGGCTCAAAATAAAGGGATGGAGGAAGATCTACCAAGCAAATGGAAAACAAAAAAAGGCAGGGGTTGCAATCCTAGTCTCTGATAAAACAGACTTTAAACCAACAAAGATCAAAAGAGACAAAGAAGGCCATTACATAATGGTAAAGGGATCAATTCAACAAGAAGAGCTAACTATCCTAAATACATATGCACCCAATACAAGAGCACACAGATTCATAAAGCAAGTCCTTAGAGACCTACAAAGAGACTTAGACTCCCACACAATAATGGGAGATTTTAACACCCTACTGTCAACATTAGACAGATCAATGAGACAGAAAGTTAAAAAGGATATCCAGGAAATGAACTCAGCTCTGCACCAAGCGGACCTAATAGACATCTACAGAACTCTCCACCCCAAATCAACAGAATATACATTCTTCTCAGCACCACACCACACCTATTCCAAAATTGACCACATAGTTGGAAGTAAAGCACTCCTCAGCGAATGTAAAAGAACAGAAATTATAACAAACTGTCTCTCAGACCACAGTGCAATCAAACTAGAACTCAGGATTAAGAAACTCACTCAAAACTGCTCGACTACATGGAAACTGAACAACCTGCTCCTGAATGACTACTGGGTACATAACGAAATGAAGGCAGAAATAAAGATGTTCTTTGAAACCAATGAGAACAAAGACATAACATACCAGAATCTCTGGGACACATTTAAAGCAGTGTGTAGAGGGAAATTTATAGCACTAAATGCCCACAAGAGAAAGCAGGAAAGATCTAAAATTGACACCCTAACATCACAATTAAAAGAACTAGAGAAGCAAGAGCAAACACATTCAAAAGCTAGCAGACGGCAAGAAATAACTAAGATCACAGCAGAACTGAAGGAAATAGAGACACAAAAAAACCCTTAAAAAAAAATCAAGGAATCCAGGAGCTGGTTTTTTGAAGAGATCAACAAAATTGATAGACTGCTAGCAAGACTAATAAGGAAGAAAAGAGAGAAGAATCAAATAGACGCAATAAAAAAATGATAAAGGGGATATCGCCACCAATCCCATAGAAATACAAACTACCATCAGAGAATACTATAAACACCTCTACGCAAATAAACTAGAAAATCTGGAAGAAATGGATAAATTCCTTGACACATACACCCTCCCAAGACTAAACCAGGAAGAAGTTGAATCTCTGAATAGATCAATAACAGGCTCTGAAATTGAGGCAATAATTAATAGCTTACCAATCAAAAAAAGTCAAGGACCAGATGGATTCACAGCCGAATTCTACCAGAGGTATAAGGAGGAGCTGGTACCATTCCTTCTGAAACTATTCCAATCAATAGAAAAAGAGGGATTCCTCCCTAACTAATTTTATGAGGCCACCATCATCCTGATACCAAAGCCCAGCAGAGACACAATAAAAAAAGAGAAGTTTAGACCAATATCCCTGACGAACATCGATGCAAAAATCCTCAATAAAATTCTGGCAAACCAAATCCAACAGCACATCAAAAAGCTTATCCACAATGATCAAGTGGGCTTCATCCCTGGGATGCAAGGCTGGCTCAGCATACGAAAATCAATAAACGTAATCCATCATATAAATAGAACCAACGACAAAAACCACATGATTTCTCAATAGATGCAGAAAAGGTTTCCGACAAAATTCAACAGCCCTTCATGCTAAAAACTCTCAACAAATTAGGTATTGATGGGACGTATCTCAAAATAATAAGAGCTATCTATGACAAACCCACAGCCAATATCATACTGAATGGGCAAAAACTGGAAGCATTCCCTTTGAAAACTGGCACAAGACAGGGATGACCTCTCTCACCACTCCTATTCAACATAGTGTTGGAAGTTCTGGCCAGGGCAATTAGGCAGGAGAAGGAAATAAAGGGTATTCACTTAGGAAAAAAGGAAGTCAAATTGTCCCTGTTTGCAGATGACATGATTGTATATCTAGAAAACCCCATCGTCTCAGCCCAAAATCTCCTTAAGCTGATAAGCAACTTCAGCAGAGTCTCAGGTTACAAAATCAATGTGCAAAAATCACAAGCATTCTTATACACCAATAACAGACAAACAGAGAGCCAAATCATGAGTGAACTCCCATTCACAATTGCTTCAAAGAGAATAAAATACCTAGGAATCCAACTTACAAGGCACGTGAAGGACCTCTTCAAGGAGAACTACAAACCGCTGCTCAACAAAATAAAAGAGGATACAAACAAATGGAAGAACATTCCATGCTCATGGGTAGGAAGAATCAATATCGTGAAAATGGCCATATTGCCCAAGGTAATTTATAGATTCAATGCCATTCCCATCAAGCTACCAATGACTTTCTTCACAGAATTGGAAAAAACTACTTTAAAGTTCATATGGAACCAAAAAAGAGCCTGCATCGCCAAGTCAATCCTAAGCCAAAAGAACGCAGCTGGAGGCATCATGCTACCTGACTTCAAACTATACTACAAGGCTACAGTAACCAAAACAGCATGGTACTGGTACCAAAACAGAGATATAGACCAATGGAACAGAACAGAGCTCTCAAAAATAATGCCGCATATCTACAACCATCTGATCTTTGACAAACCTGACAAAAACAAGAAATGGGTAAAGGATTCCCTATTTAATAAATGCTGCTGGGAAAACTGGCTAGCCATATGTAGAAAGCTGAAACTGGATCCCATCCTTACACCTTACACAAAAATTAATTCAAGATGGATTAAAGACTTAAATGCTAGACCTAAAACCATAAAAACCCTAGAAGAAAACCTAGGCAATACCATTCAGGACATAGGCATGGGCAAAGACTTCATGTCTAAAACACCAAAAGCAATGGCAACAAAAGACAAAATTGATAAATGGGATCTAATTAAACTAAAGAGCTTCTGCACAGCAAAAGAAACTACCATCAGAGTGAACAGGCAACCTACAGAATGGGAGAAAATTTTTGCAAGCTACTCCTCTGACAAAGGGCTAATATCCAGAATCTACAATGAACTCAAACAAATTTACAAGAAAAATACAAACAACCCCATCAACAAGTGGGCGAAGGATATGAACAGACACTTCTCAAAAGAAGACATTTATGCAGCCAAAAGACACATGAAAAAATGCTCATCATCACTGGCCATCAGAGAAATGCAAATCAAAACCACAATGAGATACCATCTCACATCAGTTAGAATGGCGATCATTAAAAAGTCAGGAAACAACAGGTGCTGGAGAGGATGTGGAAAAATAGGAACACTTTTACACTGTTGGTGGGACTGTCAACTAGTTCAACCATTGTGGAAGTCAGTGTGGAGATTCCTCAGGGATCTAGAACTAGAAATACCATTTGACCCAGCCATCCCATTACTGGGTATATACCCAAAGGATTGATTATAAATCATGCTGCTATAAAGACACATGCACACGTATGTTTATTGCCGCACTATTCACAATAGCAAAGACTTGGAACCAACCCAAATGTCCAACAGTGATAGACTGGATTAAGAAAATGTGGCACATATACACCATGGAATACTATGCACCCATAAAAAATGATGAGTTCATGTCCTTTGTAGGGACATGGATGAAGGTGGAAACCATCATTCTCAGCAAACTATCGCAAAGACAAAAAACCAAACACTGCATGTTCTCACTCATAGGTGGGAATTGAACAATGAGAACACATGGACACAGGAAGGGGAACATCACACACCAGAGCCTGTTGTGGGGTGGGGGGAGTGGGGAGGGATAGCATTAGGAGACATACCTAATGTTAAATGATGAGTTAGTGGGTGCAGCACACCAACATGGCACATGTATACATATGTAACAAACCTGCACGTTGTGCACATGTACCCTAAAACTTAAAGTATAATAATAAAAAAAGAAAGCTTCATGTGTGGTGCAGGGGATGAAGTGTTTGCCCATCTAGTCAGGAGTGGAGCTGGATTTGATTTTTTCTTTTATAATTATCACCTTCAGTGCACCACAAGCTTCAGAACCCTCCGGTGATAGATGCTGGGGCTGACATGGGGCTGACCTATGGAGGGTTTTTCTCAGGATTCTCTCTCCATCTTCCACTTTCAGCCATTCCCACGGAGGACCAGGAAGTTGCGGCTGTTTTCTCCAGTGACCCCATTCGAACGCTGCTGCAGTGACTGATTTCAACTGAGAAAGGGTGAGGCCTAGACAGGCAAGCATGAGATGAGGGACGCGTCTTCGGGTCACTTGTTGGGGCTGAACGCTGTGTCATTTGCTGTTCTGTAAGGAACGCCTGTAGTGGTTCTTGGGGACCAGAGTGGAAGAAAAAAAAACATTCCTCCTTCTCTCAGAAGTTGAAGATTCAGGGAACGCAAAGCCATTTTCATTGATTGGCTGTGCAACTGCCCATTTCTTAATGAGAACCCTAGAAAGCATAACTTCTAATTCAGAAAGGATGCTGAGGTGTTCTCTAGGCTAGTGTTTCTCAAGCTTTCATGTGCAGACGAAGCACTGCAATGTGAATTCATGTGGATTCACTGGTTCTGATACAGTAGCCCTGGGAGGGCCTGAGAGCTCCAGGTGACAGCAAGGCCCTGGCCTGGGGCCACACTTTGGGCAGCAAGGCTCTGGCACACACAATGAGAGCCAGACCCGGGACCCGTGGAGCACTTCCCGAGGATCTGAGGCTCTCATCGCTCTCCACCACAAAACGCGCTCTACTGGAGGCAGTGACACAGAATTAGAAACTCCACAAGTTGACTGAAAGGATGTCTCAACTTGAGGACCTGAAACTGAGACGTTTATCAAGGGCCCCACTGGAACAACGGGGACTTCCCCAGGTTTCCAAGACAGACCAAAAAGCACAGCAACAGCACAAATGGCAGTGCCCCTCAATGGCTGTGAGTGACATGACATGTGGCAAGCCCTGCTCTGAGCCAGGCCGTAAGCCAAGCATGTTTAGGAACGTACAGCCTCGTCCCAGGGTTCATGGTGTACTTGCTTTTCAAATGAATGTCTCATCTGCAAATCACATATTATCATGCCTGGAGAACATGATAAATGTGTTGTTCATATTTCATTTTGTTTTCTATAAATATTTCATATCCTCCTCTGAAGCCCAGGAATCTACCTTGCCGGCCATAGGACTTCCACTTTTCATTCCCATTATTCACAGACCCGCTAGAGGTTCTGCCTGTGTGTGTCCCTCTATATTAAGGAATATTTCATTCCACTTATGCTAGAGCACAGTAGACATCTGCTGCTACATGAGTGTTTCTAAAGCTTCCACCTCTGTGAAAATGTGCATACTGGGGATCTGTGCTATATTTAAAGGAAGATCTTAAGAAACGCCAATTCCCCATCGTAAGATAGAACTCAGGCAGTGTCGTCTAATAACAGATCATCCAATGACATGAAAGTTTTCACCAAAAGAAAAGGAGTTCCTGCTGATGCTTCCATGGGAATAGGGTCTATAGGAATCTGCTGTTCTTTCTGAAAAGGTTTCTTATCAGCCCCTCAGCAACACTCTGTAGGAAATCCTCACTTGCTGTTAGAAGCAACTATACTCAGATTTTCATTATAGAAAGAGTATTGCTTCAGGCTCCAAGTCTACAGTCCCAAACCCAACTTTATCTGATTATTAGTTCCTAGAAAAAGGTGTTCCTAGAAAAAGGTATTCCTAAATATCACTTTAAATTAGACCATAAAATGATGAGTCTTATTTTGAATTTTCTTCTGGGAATAAAAAGCTGTCATCCATTGTGACATCTCACATGGCACAGGCATTTATAGAACGCCAGAGTCATGTTATCTGAAAGTGAAATTAGTGTGCTCCAGAATCTCTCATCTTTCTCTGTGTCTGTGGGGCAGTCATTCGTGTTTCATCAGTATTTCCAGGTCTCCGCCTTCTGAGCACGGAACAGATCAGCCTTCATCACTGTCGGGGGTTACAGGACTTGCTCTGCTAATTTACTGAGACGAAGGCAATGTGTGCACTTCTGAGCGAAGCCTTCTGGTTCTGGTGTCCAGTTTGCTCTGTTCTTTCCTCTCCCTGGTACCCCACAGGGTGGAACCACGTGCAGCACCTCCAAGTGACAGCCCTGTGGGGCAGGCCTGGGAGGACACAGAGCCAGGTGAGACATGAGGCTGCTGGTTACTGTAGGAGAGTCTAGCCTCTCCTTACTGGTATGGGTGTTTTATCATAAGTAACAGGTTTGGAAAAATCCAAAGGCAAACAAAGATTTGCATAAAGATAAACAGTCTTAAAACTGTCTTACCCTTCTAGAGCACTTCTGCAAGAGAAGCTGCAATGGACTGGATTACGTCTCTCTAAAATGCAATATGGTGTAATGGGCTGAATATCTGTGTGGTCCCCAAAATTCCTATGTCAAAATCCTCACCCTTAAAGAAAGGGATGCTATTAGGAGGTGGGGCCTCTGGGAGGTGATTAGGTCGTGAGGGTGAAACCCCATGAATGGGCTTAGTGCCCGTATAACAGACCCCTGAGAGCTCCTTCGTCCCTTCTCCCTGTGAGGATGCAGTGAAGGCAAGAAGGTGCCGTCTGTGAACCAGGAATTGGGCCCTCACCAGACATCGAATCTGCCGGCACCTCGATCTTGGACTTCTAGCCTCCAGAACTGTGAGAAATAAATGTCTATTGTTACAACAGCCAGAACGAACTAAGACCAAGATGTGTTTTTGACAGACTCTGAAGGCTATTTATGTGCTGGGATCATTGCAATCTGTTCTTCACCTTTTTAAGAGTGTGGGATTTCACTTCCTAGATGTTATCAAACAGGCTGCATTCATAATTCTGGCTAACTATATGTGAGTGATTTCTCTGTACCCAGCAATGTGCTAAGTACTTTGCATGGAGTAATAATATTTCTCTTAATAAACCTATGCAAAAAAAAAATATTACAGATGAGGAAAGTGGAATTGAGAGAGGAAAGAAAACATACCCAGAGTCACAGGCCTGTAAGCAATGAAACTAGGGTCAGAGCTCAGGCCTATGTTCTGCTCTTGGTAAACAGAGAAGCTGTGACCTATGGATCTGTCTCTACACCTGCGCCCTATGTCTGGAACATACACCATTGAGAATTGCTGGCTCTGTGTGGCGGCCCCACAGACAATTGTTAACAGCCTTACGCATTGCTGAGGACTGACGGACCTTGGCAAGAACTCGGTCCTCTTAACATCCTCGACAGCTTGGGAATCGCAGAGGTGAGCAGAAAATAATAAAGTCTGAGAACCCACTATGTATTAGATATGGTTTTCCCATTTAAAACTCACAGCCTTTATGCAAGCTAGGTGTTATCTCCATTTACCGATGCGAAACTGAGACTCGGAGAGAGTGGAAATGGTTTGACCCTAACACAATCCGTGCACTTCAGAATTAGATTTCAACACAAAATTGGCCTGTTATGTACTGACCCTCTTTCCCCACATGACGGTACGAGTTATAGGACTGGATTCCAGGAAGGGCAAGCCATTCTGGAGGTCACTGGAAAGGTCAGATGCTGAACAGCTGCACCGTGAGGAATGAGGCTATGGGGCACTAGGGGGAAGCGTCAAAAGGGGACTCAGGAAGCTGATCTGCTTCGTAATTACATCTCCCAGGCCAGGTGCTTTGTCTCCAACTCACATCTGACTTAGTCACCACATTGTCCAGGTTATTTTAAGGAAAAATCAGAAACTGAACCGATTTTTTTTGCCAAACTGCTGAGGCTTTGTTATAAAGAAAAAACCAATGTAACCACCTGCTGGCTGTTCCCCCAAATCCATTCTCCCCTTCTTTCTGGAGAGCTGGAGAATGAATTTTCAAAAATTGACACATCAACTTGATTTCTATAATGGTTATGTTTAATTAAGATCCAAGGATTTACTATTTTAGTTTAGACAAGATCTATCCAAAATTTTAAGGACTCTGGTAACTAAGATTTATAAAATACAAGTCTAAAGTATTCCACTCTAAAGAGTTTAGCAGATAAAAACACTATAGGTAAATTTCCAGGAGAAAGAAGATGAGAAAATAGGTCTTAATTCCGAGTCACCAAGTTTCACCACCCCTTTAGTACTGCCTCAAAATCTTGACAAAATTAGGGGTTGCCTCACCTTCCTGGACAAAGTCTAACTTAGATTTATTTCCTTGCAATGAGGCAAGTTTCAGGACACTCAGAGGCAGAGTCCAGCCCAACAATCTTGCTCTGCCTTTGTCCCATAAGGTACAGTTTTCACTGGGGTGCAGATAGCATCTGCTTTGCTTCCAGCCCCCTGTTGAAAGTGGAACCTTTTCCCTGTTTCAATAGCCCAACTCAAAACACTTCACCCCACCCCACTCGCTGGCATGAGCCCACCTGGTTTCAGGGACAGACACTGGGAGATGCTCTGATCATGGCTGGGGTCTGTGGACTGTCCAGGTGACTCCTTCAGAAAGGGGAGGTTTTCTGATGTCTTTGAACAAGTTCTACTGGGCAGAAATGGTGAACTAATGTTGCCATTTAAATATAACTCTCTGCTACTTTTGGATAAACGTTCGATGGAACACTAAATCATTCTTCTCATGTCATTTGAAGCAAAAAAAGGAAGGAAGGAAAGAAGGAAAGGGGAGGGAGGGAGAGAGGATGGAAGGAAGGAAGGAAGGAAAGGGGGAGGGAGGGAGAGAGGAAGGAAGGAAGTGAGGGAGGGAGGGAGAGAGGAAGGAAGGGAGTAAGGAAGGAAGGAAGGAGGGAGGGAGGAAGGGAGGATGGAAGGAAAGAAGGAAGGAAGGAAGGAAGGAAGGAAGACAGGGAGACAGGTAGATCCCTTTTCTCTAACAGAAAAAAATACCTAGCAAGTATGTTTCTAAAAACATGAGATGGTCGGGTGCAGTGGCTCATGCCTGTAATCTCAGCACTTTGGGAGGCCAAGACGGGCGGATCACCTGAGGTCAGGAGTTCGAGACCAGCCTGGCCAAGATGGGGAAACTCCGTCCTCACAAAAAAATAAAAATAAGCTGGGCGTGGTGACTTGTGCTTGTAATCCCAGCTACTCAGGAGGCTAAGGCAGGAGAATCACTCAAACCTGGGAGGTGGAGGTTGCAGTGAGCTGAGATCACGCCACTGCACTCCAGCCTAGGCATCAAGCAAGACTCCATCTCAAAAAGGAAAAAAAAAAACCAAAAACCATGAACTGATTGAACTGATTAAATAGGTATGATTTCCCATTTTTAGATAATGAAACTGAGAGATTAAATAACTGTCTCAGAGTTTAACCAGAGAAGCAAAACCAGTAGAAAATCTATTCGGAAGGTAAGTTTGTTTTCTCTCCATTTGATGCTGGTGCTTCAGGTTGGCAGGGCAGGCAGTCAGGAACGAAAATGGATGTCGAGTGGGAAAGAAGGGAGCAAACTGGATGTAAAGCATGAGAACCAGCTGGACCCTGAGTCAGCTCTAGTTTCCTCTGACCCAGGTGACAGAGAATCTTTGTCACAGAGCTAAACACTAGCTGAATACACTGAGTGAACAGTGTGAGAAATTGGAGGGGGATCAAGGTTGTCTGGAATCCTAAGGCCAAGGATTTCTACATAGAAAATCACCAAGTCTGTGAGTAGGAACAGTTTTGTATCTTCTTTCAAATCTGTAAGCTTTTCTTTCTTTTTTTTATTGCACAGGGTATCACTTCCAGTACAATATTGAGCAGGAGTGATGAGAATGGACAGCTTTGGAAGGAAAGCATTCATTCCTCCACCATCATGTTAGCTGTAGGTTTTTTGTGGACATCCTCTATCAGGTTGAGTAAATTCCCTTCTATTCCTAGTTTGTTGAGAATTTTATCATGAATGGCTGTTTAATTTTATCAAATGAATGATTTTTCTACATAAATTGGCATGATAAGGTGGTGTTTCTTTAGAATGTTAACATATTGGATGGCATTGTCTTTCAAATATTGAGCCACCCTAGCACTCCCCCAGAAAAACTCAATGTAGTCACCATGTATTATTAATTTTACCTATTGCTGGATTTCATTTGCTAATATTTTTCCACATTTTTGTATCTGTGTTTATGAGGGACATGGGTGTTGGGGGGTTATTTTAGTGCACTGTCCGTCTGGTTTGGTGTCTGTTGAGAAGTGCTCCCTCTTCCTCATTTCTGCAAGACTTCGTGAAGGATTTCTATTATTTCTTCTTTAAATGATTGGTAGAGTTAATCAGTAAAATCATCTGGATCTAGAGTTTCCTTATTTGAAAGATTTTGCTGTTAAACAAATTTAATTTCTCTAATAGACGTAGGACCATTTAGGATACCTATTCCTTCTTGAGTAAATTTTGGTAATTTGTATCTATCAAGGAATTTAGACATTTTTCCCAAGTCATCAATTTCATGTGTAAAGAGTTTTCATGGTATGCCTTTATGAGCCTTTTTATGGGGTCTATCGTGAGATTTGGTATTTTATTCATTTTATTAGCAATTTCTGTCTTCTCTCATTTTCCTTTGTCTTGCTAGAGCTTAATGAATTTTACTGATATTTTCAAAGAATGAGATTTTGGTTTCACTGATTCTATTGTTTTTCTATTTTTAACTTCATTGATTTTGGTTTTTATCATTTTTGCATTTATTTTCCTCTTCTTTTTGAATAAGATTCTATTTAAATCCCTTCTTTTCTAATATAAGCACTGAATGCTTTATGTTTTCTGCTAAGTACTGCTTTAGTGTATCCCATGTGTTTTGATATATTTTCATTTTCATTCAGTTCAGAATACTTTCCAACATCTGTTGAGACTTCCTCTTTTACCCAAGGACTATGTAATGTACAGTTTAATTTCTAAGTGTTTAAAGATGCTCTTGTGATAGCTCAAGAATAGTATCTTGTCAGCATTTGAGAAAGCCAGCACACTAAACATACCTACAACCAAGGACTCTCACACAGTCTGCTTCACTCCCCTGCCACCTCCACCAGAGCAGGTGCTGTATTCATGGCTGGGGGACCTGAAGATGGATTGCATCACAGGACTCTTTGCAGACACCAGCCCAAAGCCCAGTAGACCTGCTGGGTAACTAGACCCAGAAAAGCAACAACAATTATTGCAATCTGGTTCACAGGAAGCCCTATCCCTAGGGTGAGGGGGAGTGCACCACATCAAAGGATCATCCTGTGGAACAAAAGAATCTGAACAGCAGCCCTTGACTTCCAGATTTTTCCACTGAAATAGTCTATCCAAATGAGAAGGAATCAAAAAAGTAATTCTGGTAATATGACAAAACAAGGTTCTATAACACCCCAAAAAGACCACACTAGCTCCCCAGCAATGGATCAAACCAAGAAAAAAAAATCTCCGAATTGTCAGATGAAGAATTCAGAAGGTTGATTATTAAGCTACTCAAGGAGGTACTAGAGAAAGGTAAAAACCAACTTAAAGAAATTTAAAAAATAATACAAGATTGGGAGAAAAAAATGCTCCAGAGAAATAGGTATCATAAAGAGAAAATAATCACAACTTTTGGAAATGAAAGACACACTTAGAGAAATACAAAGTGCACTGGAAAGTTTCAACAATAGAATCAAACAAGTAGAAAAAAGAAACTCAAGGCTCGAAAACAAGGCTTTTAAATTAACCCAATCCAACAAAGAAAAATAAAAAATAACTTTAAAAAATTAACAAAGCCCCCAAGAAATTTGAGATTATGGTAAATGAAAAATCTAAGAATAATTGGTGTTCCCAAGGAAGAAGAGAAGTCTAAAAGTCTGGAAAACATATCTGAGATAATAATTGAGGAAAACTTCCCCAGCCTCAATAGATACCTAGAAATCCAAATACAAGAAGCTCAAAAGACACCTGGGAAATTCATTGCAAAATGATTATAACCCAGGCACTTAGTCATCATAGGTTATCTAAAGTCAAGATAAAGGAAAGAATCTTAAGAGCTGTGAGGCAAAAGCATCAGATAATGTATAAAGGAAAACCCATCATTAACAGCAGATTTCTTAGCAGAAACCCTATAAGCCAAAAGGGATTGGGGTCCTATCTTTAGCCTCCCTAAACAAAATAATTTCTAGTCAAGAATTTTATATGCAGAAAAACTAAGCTTCAAAAATGAAGAAGAAAGAAAGTCTATTTCAGACAAATGCTTAGATAATTCACCACTACCAAGCCAGCACTATAAGACATGCTAAAAGGAGTTCTAAATCTTGAAACAAAACCTCAAAACACACCAAAATAGAACCTCCTAAAAGCATAAATCTTACAGGAACTAAACAATAACACAACGAGCAACAACAACAACAAAAACCAAGGTATTCAGACAACAACTAGCACAATGAATAAAACAACACCTTACAGCTCAATAATAACATTAAATGTAAACAGCCTAAATGCTCCACTTAAAAGGTACAGAATGGCAGAATGGATAAAAATCCACCAACCAAGTATCTGCTGTTTTCAAGAGACTCACCTAACACATAAGGACTCATATAAACTTATGATAAAGGGGTGGAAAAACATATTCCATGCAAATGGTCACCAAAAGTAAGCAGAAGTACCTATTCTTATATCAGACAAAACAGACTTTAAAGCAACAACAGTTAAAAAAGACAAAGAGGGACATTATATAATGATAAAATTACTGGTCCAAGAGGAAAATATCACAATCCTAAATATATATGCACATAATACTGGAGCTGCCAAAATTATAAAACAATTATTACTAGACATAAGAAATGAGATAGATGGCAACACAGTAACAGTGGGGGACTTCAATATTCCACTGATAGCACTAGACAGGTCATCAAGACAGAAAGGCAACAAAGAAACAATGGACTTAAACTGTACTCTAAAACAAATGGACTTAACAGATATTTACAGAACATTCTACCCAACAACTGTAGAATATACATTCTTTTCATCAGCACATGGAATATTCTTCAAGATAGACCATATGATAGGCCACAAAACAAGTCTCAGTAAATTAAAGAAAATTGAAATTATATCAAGTACCCTGTCAGGCTACAGCAGAATAAAATTGGAAATTAGCTCCAAAAGGAACCCTCAAAACCAGGCAAATACATGGAAATTAAATGATCTGTTCCTGAATAATCTTTGAGTCAACAGTGAAATCAAGATGTAAATTAAAAATTTTTTTGAACTGAACGATAATTATGACACAACTTATCAAAACCTCTGGGACACTACAAAAGTGGTGCTAAGAGGAAAGTTCACAGTATTAAATGCCTACATCAAAAACTATGAAAGAGTACAAATAGACAATCTAAGGTTACATCTCAAGGAACTAGAGAAACAAGAACAAACCAAACCCAAACCCAGCAGAAGAAAAGAAATAACAAAGATCAGAGCAGAACTAAATAAAATTGAAACAAAAAAAAATACAAAAGCTAAATGAAACAAGAAGCTGGTTCTTTGAAAAAATAAAACAAAATTGATAGACCATTAGTAAGATTAACCAAGAAAAGATGAGAGAAGATCAATTAGAACTGAAATAGCTGAATTAGAGCTGAAATGGGAGCTACTGCAACCAATACCACAGAAATACAGAAAAATCATTGAAGGCTACTATAAACACCTTCATGTGCACAAACTAGAAAATCTAGAGGAGATGTATAAATTCCTGGAAATATACAACTCACATAGATCAAGCCAGGAAGAAACAGAAACTCTGAACAGACCAATAACAGGCAGTGAGATTGAAATAGTAATAAAAAATTGCCAACAAAAAAAGTCCAGGACCAGATGGATTCACAGCTGAATTCTATCAGGCATTCAAAGAAGAATTGGTACCAACCTTACTGAAACTATTCCAAAAGATAAAGAAAGAGGGAATTCTCCCTAAATCATTCTATGAAGCCACTAAAACCCTATCACCCTAATACAAAAACCAGGAGAAAACATAACAAAAAAAAGAAAACTACAAACCAATATCCCTGATGAACATAGATGCAAAAACCCTCAACAAAATACTAGCTAACTGAATACAATAGCATATAAAAAAGATAATACATCATGATCAAGTGGGTTTCATACCAGGAGTGCAGAGATGGTTTAACATATGCAAGTCAATAAATGTGATGCATCACATAAACAGAATAAATTAAAAACAAAAGTCATATCATCATCTCAATAGATGCAAAAAAAGCATTTGACAAAATCCAACATGTAGATGTAGAGATGGTGAAACCCCATCTCTACAAAAAAAAAAAAATTAGCTGGGCGTGGTGGCGCACGCCTGTAGTCCCCGCTACCCAGGAGGCTGAGGCAGGAGAATCGCTTGAACCCAGGAGGCGGAGGTTGCAGTGAACCGAGATAGCACCACTGCACTGAAGCCTGGTGACAGAGCGAGACTCCGTCTAAAAAAAAAAAAAAGCAGGGCCAGGTGTGGTGGCTCATGCCTGTAATCCCAGCACTTACTTTGAGAGGCCGAGGCAGGCGGATCACGAGGTAAGGTGATGGAGACCATCCTAGCTAACACAGTGAAACCCCGTCTCTACTAAAAATACAAAAAAATAAACAAAAAACAAAAAACAAAAGAACAACAACAACAAAAACCCTCAGCAGAATCAGCATAGAAGGGACATACCTCAAGGTAATAAAAGACATCTATGACAGACCCACAGCCAACATTATATCGAATGAAGAAAAGTTGAAAGCATTACCCATGAGAACTGGAACAAGACAAGGATGCCCACTTCTACCACTTCTATTCAACATAGTACTGGAAGTCCTAGCTAGAGCAACCAGACAAGAGAAAGAAATCAAGGGCATCTAAATCAGTAAAGAGAAAGTCAAGCTGTCACTGTTTGCCAATGATATGATTATATACTTAGAAAACACTAAAGACTCACCAAAAAGCTCCTAGAGCTAATAAATGAATTCAGTAAAGTTTCAGGATACAAAATCAATGTATCAGTGTACATAAATTAGTAGCACTGCTATACACCAACAATGACCAAGGTGAGCATCAAATCAAGAACTGAACCCTTTTGACAACAGCTGCCAAAAAAAAAAAAAAAGAAAGAAAGAAAGAAATACTTAGGAATATACCTAACCAAGGAGGTGAAAGATCTCTACAAGGAAAACTACAAAACACTGCTGAAAGAAATCATAGACAACACATGCAAATGGAAATACATCCTATGCTTATGGATAAGTAGAATCAATATTGTGAAAATGACCATATTGCCAAAAGCAATCTATAAATTCAATCCAATTCCCATCAAAATACTATCATTATTTTTCACAGAACTAGAAAAAAACATTCTAAAATTCATATGAAACCAAAAAAGAACCACATAGCCAAAGCAGGGCTAAACAAAAAGAACAAATCTGGAGGCATCACATTACCTCACTTCAAACTATACTACAAGGCCATAGTTAATAAAATATACTGGTATAAAAATAGGCATGTAGACCAATGGCAAAGAATAGATAACCCAGAAATAAAGACAAATAATAGAGAACCCAGAATTACAGCCAACTGATCTCCAGCAAAGCAAACAAAAACATAAAGTGGAAAAAGGACACCTATTCAACAAACGGTGTTGGAATAATTGGCAAGCCATGTGTAGAAGAATGATGCTAGATCCTCACCTCTCACCTTATACAAAAACCAACTCAACATGGATCAAAGACTTAAATCTAAGACCTAAAAATAAGAATAAAAATTCTAGAAGATAACATCAGAAAAACTCTCCTAGATATTGGCTTAGGCAAAAAGTTTATGACCAAGAACCCAAAAGCAAATGCAACAAAAACAAAACTAAATAATTGGGACCTAATTAAACTAAGAAGCTTCTACACAGCAAAAGAAATAATCAGCAGAGTAAACAAACAACCCACAGAGTGGGAGAAAATATTCACAAACTATGCATCTGACAAAGAACTAATATCCAAAATCTACAAGGAACTCAAACAAATCAGAAGAAAAACATAATAATCCCATCAAGAAATGGGCAAAGGACTGAAATAGATAATTCTCAAAAGAAGATACACAAATGGTTACAAATGGCTAACAAACATATGAAAAAATGCTCAACATCACTGTCAGGGAAATGCAAATCAAAACCACATGAGATACCACCTTACTCCTGCAAGTGTGGCCATACCTTAAAAATCAAAAAATAATATTATATATGTTGGTGGGAATGTGGTGAAAAGGGAACACTTTTACTGCTGGTGGGAATGTAAACTAGTACAACCACTATGGAAAACAGTATGGAGATTCCTTAAAGAACTAAAAGTAGAACTACTGTTTGATCCAGCAATCCCACTACTGGGTATCTACCCAGAGGAAAAGAAGTTATTATATGAAAAAGACACTTGCACACACATGTTTACAGCAGCACAATTCACAATTGCAAAAATATACACCAGTCTAAATGCCCATCAACCAACAAGTGGATAAAGAAAATGTGGTATATATTTACCACGGAATACCACTTAGCCATAAAAAGGAACAAAATAATGGCATTTTTGGTAACCTGGATGGAGTTGGAGACCATTATTCTAAGTGAACTAACTCAGGAATGGGAAACCAAACATTATATGTTCTCACTTATAAGCAGGAACTAAGCTATAAAGACGCAAAGGAATAAAATGATATAATGGACTTTGGGGACTTAGGGGAAAGGGTGGGAGAGGCTGAAGGATAACAGACTACACACTGGGTACAGTGTACATTGCTTGGATGATGGGTGCACCTTAATGTCAGAAATCATGACTAAATAACTTTTCCATGCAACCAAATACCACCTGTTCCCCCAAAACTATTAAAATAAAAAAATTTTTAAAGAATATTATCTTGTGATAATATTAAAATATTTAGTTATTTTCTGATTTAAAATTATGTGGGCAGAAACATACTTCATATTTTTCAGTTCTTTTAAATTGGTTAAGTGTCTTTTAATAACGTAAGATGTGCTCTGTGTATGTGACTATTCCATGTGCACCTGAAAAGCACGTTTATTCTGCTGTTGTTGGGTGAAGTGGTCCACAATTGTCAATATGGTCCAGCTGAATGGTGATGCTGTTTGCCTCTTCTTTATCCTTGCTGATTGTCTGCTTATGGTTCTATCAATTACTAAGCCAGGCATGTTGAAATATTCAACTATTATTGTGAATTCGTTCTTTACCTTCAATTTTGTCAGTTTTTCTTTTGTGCAATTTGAAGTTCTGTTGTTAGGTGTCTTCTTGGTGAACTGACACTTCTGTCATTAGGTAATGTCCCTTGTAATCCCTGGTAATTGTCTTTGCTCTGAAATCTATTTTGTCTGATACTAATCACCCAGCTTTCTTTTGATTTGTGTTTACACAGTATATCTTTTTCATCCTTTATTTTTTGCTTTTTTTTCTTTTTAGGGTTAGGTTTAACAACTTTATTGAGATATAATTTGTATACCATACAATTTCTTGGTCTTTTAAGTTGTCTTTCCACTTAAACTATACAATTCAGTGGGTTTTTTTGTTGTTGTTGTTTTGTTTTGTTTTTTGAGATGGAGTCTCGCCCTCTCACCCAGGCTGGAGTGCAATGGCACAATCTCAGCTCACTGCAACCTCAGCTTCCTGGGTTCATGCTATTATCCTGTCTCAGCCTCCCGAGTAGCTGGGATTACAGGTGCCTGCCACCACAGCACAGTAGCTCATGCCTGTGATCCTAGCACTTTGGGAGGCCGAGGCAGGTGGATCACTTGAGGTCAGGAGTTCGAGACCAGCCTGACCAACATATTGAAACCCTGTCTCTACTACAAATTCAGTGGGTTTTTAGGATATTCAGAGTTGTACAACCATCACCACAGTCAACTTTAGGACATTTTCATCTCAAAAAGAAACATCATACCCTTTAGCACTCATCAGCTCATCCTCACCCCCACCATTCCTAAGCAGCAATCACTAACCTACTTCCTGTCTCTATAGATTTACCTATTCTGGACTCTCATAGGAATGGATATATACATGTGGGCTTTGAGTTCCATCCAAGTTGTAGCATGTATCAGTAACTTATTCTTTTTTCTGGCCAAATAATGGATATACCACTTTTTTCATGCTTCATTTATAAACATTTGGGCTGTGTCCACCTTTGGCTATTATGAATAATGCTGCTATAAACATCCGTGCAGCAGTTATTTTGTGGTCATGCTATTTGTAAATGGAAAAAACACAAACTGTTTATTTTCTATATTCTCACAGCATAACTGCAATCAACACAGAAGACTTCTGTGACCAAATGTTGGAGGGTTTTCTCCACACACCAAGCAAGCAATCAGTTCTGCAGTGGGCTGGTGTCCTCCAATTCAATTCTGACTCTTCCTGGAGGTAGTGTCAGATCCCAAAGGTTGAGGGCTGAGTCCCAGAAAACTGTCACCACCTTCAGGCACCAGTCGCAGGTCTGGGCCTCTGGAACTTCTGACCAACCAGCTTTAAGTTGAGGTTCCCATGACCCTCTCTTTAAATTAGATAAATTGGCTAGAACAGCTCACAGGAGTCAGGGAAACACTTACTTACATTTACCAGTTTATTATAAAGGATATTACAAAAGACACAGATAAAGAGATGTATAGGTTGAGGTATGAGGAATGGGCTCAGAGCTTGCATGTCCTCCCCAGGTGCTCCACTCTTTAGGAACCTCCACATGCTAAGTGATTCAGAAGCTGTCCAAACCCTGTCCTTTTGTGTTTTTATGGAGGCTTCATTATGTAGACATTTTATTAAACTGTTGGCCACCGATGATCAACTTAACCTTCAGCCCCTCTCCCCTCCCTGGAGCTAGGAGTGAGCTGAAAGTTTCGACCTCCTAATTTTGCCTTGGTCTTTCTGTTAACCAGCCCCCATCCTGAAGCTACCTAGGAGAAGCCAACCATCAGCCAATCATTAGCATACAAAAAGACATCACTTTGGAGATACTAAGGATTTCAGAAGTTGTATGCCAGGAAATTGGATCAAATACCAAATGTATATTTCACAATATCACAATTTGTCTTCACAATTTGTCTTGGATATATAGCTATGAGTGGAATTACTTGGTCGTATGGTAACTCTATGTTTAATCATTTAAGGAACTGCTAAACTGTTTTCCAAAGTAGCTATGATATTTTTCATTCTCAGCAGCAGTGTAGGAGGGTTCTGATTTCTCCATATCCTTATCAGCATTTGTGATTATCTGACCTTTTCATTCTAGCCATCCTAGTGGATAGGAAGTTGTATTTGGTTGATTTGCATTTCCCTAATATTCAAGCATCTTTTCAAGTGCTTGTCGTCCATTTGTTTATCTTCTTTAGAGAAATCTATTCAGATATTTGCCCATTTTTCAACTGGATTATTTAGGGTTTATTATTATTGAGTTGCAAGAGTTGTTTATGTATTCTAGATGCATGTACCTTATTTGATTTACAAATATTCTCTACCATTCTTTGGGTTGTTCTTTTCATGTTTTTTCTTGATGTCCTTTGGGTCACAAAGATTTTAATTTTAATGAAGTCAAATTTATTTTTCTTTTGTTCCTCATGCTTTTGGTATCATATCTAAAAATCCTTTGCGAAATCCAAAGTCATAAAGATTTCTCTGTATGGTTTGTGATGGTTAATATTGAGTGTCAACTTGATTGGATTGAAGGATGCAAAGTATTGTTCTTGGGTGTGTCTGTGAGGGTGTTGCCAAAGGGGATTAACATTTGAGTCAGTGGATTGGGAAAGGCAGACCCACCCTCAATCTGAATGGGCACCATCTAATCTAAACACTGAGCTGTCAATATGGCACCATTCCTTGGGATGATCAGCCAGCTGGTTGGTGGCAGGTTGATTATACTGGCCATTTCCATCATGGAAAGGACAGCACTTTGTCCTCATCAGAATAGACACTTACCCTGGATACGGGTTTGCTTATCCTGCACACAATGCTTCTGCCAAAACTACCAACTGTGAACTCACAAAATGCTTTATTCACTGTGATGGTATTCCACACAGCATTGCACTCACTTTACAGCTAAAGAAGTGTGACAGTGGGCTCATGCTCATGGAATTCACTGGTCTTACCATGTTCCCCCTCATACTGAAGCAGCTGGATTAATAGAACAGTGGAATGGCCTTTTGAAGTCACAATTACAATGCCAACTAGGTGACAACAGTTTGCAGGGCCAGGACAAAGTTCTCCAGAAGGCTGTGTATGCTCTGAATCAGCATCCAATATATGGTACTGTTTCTCCCATAGCTGCAATTCACAAGTCTAGGAATCAAGGAGTGGAAGTGGAAGTGGCACCACTCACCATCACCCCTAGTGATCCACTAGCAAAATTTTTGCTTCCTGTTCCCACAGCATTACATCCTGCTGGCCTAGGAGTCTTAGTTCCACAAGAAGGAACACTGCCACCAGGAGACATAACAACAATTCCATTAAACTGGAAGTTAAGATTGCCACCTGGACACTTTGGGCTACTCCTACCTTTAAGTCAACAGGCTAAGAGAAGGGAGTTACAGTGTTGGCTGGGGTGACTGACTCGAACTATCAAGATGAAATTAGTCTACTATTAATTTCACTACTAATTTCACTCCACCGTGGAGGTAACGAAGAGTATGTGTGGAATACAGGAGATCCACTAGGGCATCTCTTAGTATTACCATGCCCTATGATTAAGGTCAATGGGAAACTACAACAGCCCAATCCAGGCAGGACTATAAATGGCTCAGACTCTTCAGGAATGAAGGTTTGGGTCACTCCACCAGGAAAAAAACCACGACCTCCTGAGGTGCTTGCTGAAGGCAAAGGGAATACAAAATGGGTAGTAGAAGAAGGTAGTCATCAATACCAGCTATGACCACATGACCAGCTGCAAAAACAAGGACTGTAATTGTCATGAGTATTTCCTCCTTCGTTAAGAACACGTTTGTGCATGTATACACTTGTACTAAGAAAATATCTTCATTGGCCGGGCGCGGTGACTCACGCCTGTATTCCCAGCACTTTGGGAGGCTGAGGCGGGTGGATCACGAGGTCAGGAGATCGAGACCATCCTGGCTAACATGGTGAAACCCTGTCTCTACTAAAAATATAAAAAAACTAGCCAGGTGTGGTGGTGGGTGCCTGTAGTCCCAGCTACTGGGGAGGCTGAGGCAGGAGAATGGCGTTAACCCGGGACGCAGAGCTTGCAGTGAGCCGAGATCGCGCCACTGCACTCCAGCCTGGGT
The DNA here is from genome assembly GCF_000001405.40 of Homo sapiens. NCBI lineage: Eukaryota > Metazoa > Chordata > Mammalia > Primates > Hominidae > Homo > Homo sapiens. The sequence continues at coordinate 167,063,677 of NC_000006.12, read as the reverse complement.
GACAGAGCAAGACTCCATCTCAAAAAAAAAAAAAAAAAAAAAGAAAATATCTTCATTTTATTTCCTTTTTCCTTTAGTGACATAAGATTTATTGACTTCATATCAACATTTAAATGTTGTTAACTTTATGTAATAGCATTTGAATTGGGGATTGGTGTGTTTCTGGTTGTATGAAGGATGGTTGTATTATGTTAGGCATAATTATTATTACCTTATTATTGTCTTTATTTGCAGATTATGTATGATTTCAGGAGATGTGTATGGGTTCAAGTTGACAAGGGGTGGACTTGTGATGATTAATACTGAGTGTCAACTTGATTGGATTGAAGGAGGCAAAGTATTGTTCCTGGGTGTGTCTGTGAGCCTGTTGCCAAAGGAGATTAACATTTGAATCAGTTAATCAGTGAATCAGTGGGTCTGGGAAAGGCAGACCCACCCTCAATCTGGGTGGGCACAATCTAATCAGCTGCCAGCTCAGCCAGAATAAAAGCAGACAGAAGAATGTGAAAAAACTAGACTAGCTTACCCTCTGAGCCTACATCTTTCTTCCATGCTGGATACTCCCTGCTCTCAAACATCGGACTCCAAGTTCTTCAGCTTTGGGACTGGGATTGGCTTCCTTGCTCCTCGGTTTGCAGATGGGCTATTGTGGGACCTCACCTTGTAATTGTGTGAGTTAATGCTCCTTAATAAACTCCCCTTTACATCTACATCCATCCTATTAATTCTGTCCCTCTAGGGAACCCTAACTAATAGATTTCTTCTAAGAGTTTTAGTTTTTTTGTTTTACATTTAGATCTTTGATCTATTTTGAGTTAATTTTTTATACAGTGTGAGGTAAGGATCAAGCTTCATTCTTTGGATGTGACTATCCATTCCACCTAGTATAATTTGTTGAAAAGACTATTCTTTCCCCATTGAACGGTCCTGGAGCCTTTTTCAAAACTCAGTTGACCACAGATGTATGGATATACTTCCAGACTCTCAATTCCATTCCATTGATTTGTATTTCTATCTTTATGCCAGTACCACACTGTCTTGATTGATTGCTATCGCATTGTAGTAAATTTTTAAATCAGGAAGTATGAGTCCTAGTTTATTCTTCATTTTTAAGATTGTTTTGGCTATTGTGGATTCCCTGCAATTCTATATGAATTTCGAATCAGTTTGTCGATGTCTGCAAAAAATCTCTGTGATTCTGATAGGGATTGCTTTTAACCTGTGTAACGATTTGGGGAGTATTGTCATTTTAACAGTGTTATGTATTCTAATCCATGAATATGAAATATATTTCCTTTTGTTTAGATCTTTGATTTTTTCATTATGTTTTATAGTTCCAGAGTATAGTAAGTTTTGCAATTTTTATGTTAAATTTATTCTTAAGAATTTATTTTTGATGCTATCATAAACAAATATTTTTAATTACATTTTCAGATTGTTCATTGCAAATATGTAAAAATACACAATTGATTTTTGTATATTAATCTCATATCCTGCACCCGTGCTGAGCTTGTTAGTGCCAATAGTTTTTTTAAAGTGAATTCCTTAGACTATTATATATACAAGATCATAACATCTACAGTTTTATTTCTTTCTTTCCAAACTGATGGCTTTTTCTTTTTATTTTTGCCTAATTGCCCTGGCTAGAACTTCTAGAACAATGTTGTATATAAGTGAAGAGAGCGATCATCCTTGTCTTATTTCTCATCTTGAGGGAAAGCATCCATGTTTTCACAATTAAGGATAATAGTAGCAGTGAGTTTTTTATAGTTACCTTTTATCAGGTTGAGGAAGTTTTCTTCTATTCCTAGTTTCTTGAGTATTTATATTATGACAGAGTGTGGATTTTTCCAAATGTATTTTCTGCATCTTTTGAAATGATCATGTAATTTTTGTATTTATTCTGTTGTTATTATGCATTACATTAATTGATTTTTCAAATGTTGAATCAACTGTGCATTCCTGGGATAAAAATTCCACTTGGTCATGGTGGATATTTCCTTTTATATGCTGTTGGATTTGGTTTGCTAGTATTTGTTCATGATGTCTGCATCTATTCATAAGATATATTCATCTTTAGTTTTTATTTCTTATGAGGTTTTTGTCTGGTTTTGGTATCAGGGCAACTAGCCTCATAAAATGAATTGTAAAGTATTCCCTCCTCTTTTTTAAGAGAATTTGTAAAGAATTGGTGTTCATTTAAAAAAAAAAAAATTTAGTAGAATTCCGTGGTGAAACCACTTGATACAGGGCTTTACTTTGTGGGTAGATTTTTTGCTTAGCTATTCAATCTTGATTATTATAATTCTTTTTAGACTTTTGATATTTTCTTAAATCAGTTTTGGTAGTTTATATCTTTCTAGAAATCTTCCCACTTTATCTAAGTTATTTCATTGTTGATGTACAATTGCTGTCATATTCTTCCTTTACAACCCTTTGTATTTCTGTCAAGGTCAGAAATAATGTCTTCTCTTATTTCTGATGCTAGGAATGTGAATCTTCTCTTTTTCATGGCCAGTCTAGCTATAGGATTGTCAGTTTTGTTGGATTTTTTTCAAAGAACCAGTTTTTTAATTTTATTGATTTCCTCTATTGTCTTTCTATTCTCTATTTCATTATTTTTCATTTTAATCTTTATTTTCTTCATTTTGCTTGCTTTAGATTTAGTTTGCTCTTCTTTCCCCAGTGTCTTTAAGTGGAATATTAGCTTATTGATTTATTTTTTTCCTTCTTGATATAAGCATTTACAGCTATAAATTGTCCTCTAAGCCCTCATCTGCTTTCACTGGATTCCATAAGGTTGGTGTGTTTTATCTTCATTTTCATACATCTCCAAGTATTTTCTGATTTCCCTTTTGAGTTCTCCTTTGATCCATTGGTTATTTAGGAGTGTGTCTTTACATTTCTATATATTTGTGAGTTTCCCAGATTTTTTCCTGTTATTAATTTCCTATTTTATTCCAAAGTGACTGGAGAACATACTTTGTGTTATTTCTGTCCTTTTAAATATATTCAAGTTTGATTTTGGCCTAACATATAATCTATCCTGGAGAAGGTTTCGTGTATATATATAGAAAAATGAATATTTTGTTTTTGGCTAACGTGCTCTATAGATGTCTGTTAGCATTGATGTATTTGCCTTCAGGTTTACCATTTTGTTATTTGTTTTGTTTTATCTTCTGTTTTTCATTCTTGTTTTCTCTTTCCTACCTTCTTTCCAATTATACAAACATTTTGTAGCATACTATACTTATCTGTTGTATATTTAACTATGTATTTTTTCATAGTTTTAAAAGTGTTTACTCAAGGAATTACATTACACAGTTAACAAAATTTTCACAGTCTACTTAGAATCAATATTTTACCACTTCAAGTTAAATGGAGAAAGCTAAGCATCATATGGGTACCTTTATCTCTCATTGTTTTTACTTCTAACATGTATGACACCAATATGTGGGCTTTTTCTACACCAGTGAACAATATTTCAACTCTTCTGACACCAACTGGGTGTCCAGCTATATATAATAAAGAACATATATTTGGTCTTTATCCCCAGTTCCTGGCACAGAGCTCCTAAAATTCTTGTAATTTTCTGAGTGATAGGAGTGGGAGAACCATCTTTTGTTATTGACAATAAGCCCTTTTCAACCATACCTGAGTTTATGCTAGTAAGATGACTCTTGGTAGGCCCCCAGATGGCTCCAGGATGGGGTCTGGTTATCAGACAAAACAACTCTATAATCAGAGGGTTGGACTTTCAGCTCCACCTCCCCCTCCAACCTCTGGAAAAGGGAGAGGAGGTGGATACTAAGTCACCAATGGCCAGATTTAATTAATCATGTTTTTGTAGGAGAGCCCTCAAAAAGCCCTTAGTAAAAGGGTTTGGAGATCTTCCAGGTCAGCAAATGCATTCGCATTCCAGATAGGAGGTGCACCCCAACTCCATGAAGACAGGAACTCTTACGCTCAGGAACCCTTTGGATCTTTCCCTATGTACCTCTTCATCTGGCCGTTTATTTACATACTTAACAATATGGTAAATAAACTGTTTCCCCTGAGTTCTGTGGGCTGGTCTAGCAAATTATTGACCACAAGGGGCGGGGGGTCATGAAAATTCCCGATTTGGAGCCAGTTGGTCAGAAATGTAGAAGAACTGGAAGTTGTGATTAAAATTTGAAGTGGGACATTCTTGTGGGACTGGGCCCTTAACCTGTGGGTTTTGACACTAACTCTAGGTAGTCAGTGTCAGAATTAAATTGAATTGCTGGACACCTAGTTGGCATCCAGCGAGTTGGAGAATTGGTTGCTGGTGTGAAAACAAAAACATGTATTTAGTGCCAGAAGTGTTAGGAGTAAAAATAATTCATCATATTACATCTACATACGATGCATACATTGGAAACCCCAACAGATATTGTAATTGTTGATTTCAACCATCAAATTATAATCATTTTTAAAACCCAAGAGAACAGTCTTATATTTCCTTATATAATTACCATTTCTGATGTTTAATGTTTTTCTCTGATAACACATCTCTTTTGACTGAAAAACTTTCTTTAGCAGTTTTTTAGAAAAGACCTCCTACCAATGGATTTTCTTTCTTTTCCTTAATTTGGGAATATCTTGATTTCACTTTCATTTCTGGAAGACATTGTCCCTGGATACAGAATTCTAGCTGATAGTTCCTTTGTTTCAGCACTTCCTTCTGGTCTTCATGATTTCTAATGAGAAATCAGCATCCCTTTGAATCCTTGTTTCTCTAATAAGTAATGAATTATTTTACTGTGGCTGTTCTCAAAACTTTTTTTGTCTAGTTTTCAGTAGTTTGATCCTGATGTATCTAGACATGGATTTATTTGGATTTATCCTGTTTGGGGGTGCTGAGGTTCTTGAATCTGTAGGTTTAAGCGTTTCTGCTAGATTTGGAAAGTTCTTCACCATTATTTCTTTAAATATTTCTTCTGTACTCATTCTTTCTCATCCTCTCCTAGTATTCCAATAATACAAATGCTAAGCCTTTTGGTAGTAATCCAAAATTATCTGGTTCTGTTCATTTTTTTTAGTTTTCTTTCTCTGTTGTTCAATTGGATAATTTTGTTGGTGTGTCTTCAAGTTAGCTGACTCATTCCTCTTTTATCTTTGTTGTGTTTTTGAACCTGTCAACTAAAAATGCAATTCTAAACCCTGCAACCGACTGAATGGACTCCCTCTCTTGGCCAAAGGCATTCCAAAAAATCCTGAAAATGTAGTTCAGGCCATGATGTGAAGGGGGAGTGGCGGGGCAGGGGGACATGCCTCATTATACTCTCCTCCCTTTGAAGTTCTGGCACAGCTGACTGGCATTAACAATAAAATAGAGCCTTTTTTTTTTTGAGGCAGAGTTTCACTCTTGCTGCCCAGGCTGGAGTGCAATGGCGCAATCTCGGCTCACTGCAACCTCCACCTCCTGGGCTGAAGTGATACCCTGCCTCAGCCTCCCAAGTAACTGGAATTACAGGCGCCCACCACCACACAGGGCTAATTTTTGTATTTTTAGTAGAGACAGGGTTTCACCATGTTGACCAGGATGGTCTTAAACTCCTGACCTCAGGTGATCCGCCTGCCTCAGCCTCCCAAAGTACTGGGATTACAGGTGTGAGCCACCGCACCCAGGCAAAACAGAGACCTTAAGAATAACAAAATAGGCTCTTTGTACCAGTAAGATACCAAATTCCACATCACATGACATAGCAGGCTATGAAATAAATCAAAAATATTTTACTCCAGAAATCAAAAAATATTTTACTCCAAAATATATTTCTTCAACGTATTTTGAAGTGGGCCTGTAAACTGTCTCTTGCAAAGACGAGAAACATCTTTAAGAGGCCATTTCATTCCTTTACTTTCTGTACCAAGTCCCCTTCCCTTTCCAGTCCTTTTTTTGATCCAGAGAGATTTAACTAAGAGCCTGGCAACTTTTAAAGTCTGATGATCTATTGTCTCTGAAGCCTGCTATCTGGAGGCTTCATCTACATAACAAGAATCTTGGCTTCCACAACCCACCTTACCGTAACCCCAAACATTTATTTCTGCTGACTTCAACTCATTAGGCTCTTTCAACCAATTGCCAATCAGGAAATCTTTGAATCTACCTATGACCTGGAAGCCTCCCACTCCACTTTGAGATGTCCCTCCTTTCTGGGCTGAACCAATGTAAACCTTATATGTATTGATTTATGTCTTTGCCTGTAATTTCTGTCTCCCTAAAATGTACCAAATCAAGCTGTAACCCAACCACCCTGGGCACATGTTCTCAGGATCTCCTGCGGCTATGTCATGGGTCATGGTCCCTCACATCTGGCTCAGAATAAACCTCTTCAAATATTTTACAGAGTTTGGCTCTTTTTATCAACAAATCCATCCAGTGAGAATCTATTCCATTTATTGAATTTTTAGTTCCAATTTCCACTTAGTTTTCTTGATGTCTTCTCTCTTTGCTGAGAATCTCCTGGCACACATTTAGCCTGATATTTTATGATTCTTAGAAAATGGAAAATATATGCTAATTGAGGTGTAAGTTAAAATCTCAGTGACTAAGCACACTAGAACCTTCTTACACACATAAAAACCCAATCATCTAATCAGCTTTTCTGAGGAGGAGAATCTGCTCCACACAGTAATTCAGCACCCAGGCTCTTTCCCACTCCTGGTTCCCCCATTCTCTATGGACTAAGGGTAACCCAAAGGTCACAAACAAGTTAACAGCTGGGAAACAGCAGCCTTGGGAGGCTTCATGCAGGACTTTCTCTTCTCTCCTATGGCAACAGCTGAAGTATTAAACAATAACTGATATTTAGGATGATGACCCTGATTAATAAAAGGTCTTAAGTCATTAAAAAGTTAAATCATTAAAGAATAATTATGAAGTGTACTAATGAATGTGCTTGCATTTTAAATATGTATTCAATAATAAAGTTTCCAAATATTTCATTTAAGAAGAAAATTCAATTAATGAGAGCACCCGTCTCTGAGTCAGCTCATTAACCAGGGTTTTACTTTATCCAAGTATGAGTGGGCACTGACAGACAAGCACATCCACAGTATGGTTGCTGTTACATAACAGTACACACTCTCAGTGCACACATTAGCTCTGAAACCACAGAAGTCAAACCACAGTGGAAAATTCAGCTACCCTGGAGAGAAATGGCAAGATAATCTTCTGCAAGGCTTCCTATTCTGGTCTGCACTCTATGGTGGCCTATATTTCTACTACTTCTTCAAGCCCACACAATTAAGGAAAAGTTATTAATTCTGCAAATATATATATGTTCTCAAATGCTCATGAGAACATATGGTATATTAAATAGTGTCTGCAATACTATGGTTTGTAGAAAACAATTAGGAATCCTGGAAGTTAGAGCTTGAGAATATACAGCTTGGCTCTATATTCCATCTCACAGGAAGGCTTTAAGTATTATCAAGATAATTTAAATATTTCATATAACTTAAGTTTTTGCGGCCGGCTGCAGTGGCTCATGCCTGTAATCCCAGCAGTTTGGGAGGCCGACGCAGGCAGATCACTTGAGGTCAGGAGTTCGAGACTAGCCTGGCCAACATACTGAAATCCCATCTCTACTAAAAATATAAAAATTAGCCGGGTGTGGTGGCACTTGCCTGTAGTCCCAGCTACTCAGGAGGCTGAGGCGGGAGAATCGCTTGAACCCAGGAGGCAGAGGTTGCAGTTAGCTGAGATCATGCCACTGCACTCCAGCCTGGGCGACAGAGTAAGATTCTGCCTAAAAAAAAAATTTTTTTTTAAATGTATAGAGAGAGAGCTCCTTTTTCAATACACAAATAAATCTCTGAGAATTCTGAAAATCTTCAACTCAGTTTTAGAAAATTATTTAGGTTGGGAGGTAAACATCACCTATAAAAATAATCTGTTGAGCATTCATTTCTGTATATATTATGCTTTCTATATATTATGCATATACAGTCAGCCCTTGTATCCATGGGTTCTGCATCTGTGGATTCAACCAATCATAGACCAAGATATTTTAAAAGAATAAAACAAAAGGTGATACAACAATAAAAAAATACAAGTTAAAAAACAATAAACAACTATTTACATAGCATTTACATTGTATTAGATATCATAATAGAGATTTAAAGTACACAGGAGGATTTGCATAGGTTACATGCAAATATGATGCCATTTCATATGAGAGACTTGGTATCCTCAGGCGTCCTGGTACCAAGCCCCATGGGTACTCAGGAATAACTGTATTCCATATGTATTACAGTATTCTCAGAACTAGGATGTGGAAAGTCTACAGGATTTTATTCAGTCCTGAAGCAAGCACCTTACAAGAAGAGATTATTTTTTCCACACCAGTGCAGTTGAGAATATTTCCTCCCAGGAGGCTTCTGTGACTAATAAATACAGTAAAGTCAATCACTGATAGAAGTGATAAGGGTATTGTGCGTGGTGGTGACACATGAATGCCATGGCAGCAATATCGGTCGATAGCCCCTTCTGATAAGAGCAGCCAAAAAACCCCAATTATTGCAATGAGCGCAGAAATCCATTACTGTTCGCTTTCTTTCCCCTTGGGAGCACTGACTCGCAGTGGGCTCACCCCCACCGTGTCCAGCGTGTCCTCTCCTGCCCTTCCTCCTCCCCTGTCTCCAGCTCCTCCTCTCCTTGTTGAACTTTCTCCTCCTGGCCCTGGATTCTGTCTTTCACATTCTGTTGGGCTCTGCCACTTTCCGTCTCCATCTTCACTTCACCTCGAGAAATCAACCAAATCGTTGTTCTTGTAAAGTTGCTCATTTAAACACTATTTTCCTCTAAAAACCCATATTTTTTTCCAAGTCTTCTAAGCCCTCAACTTATTTCCTCAGTAGAAAAATAAATGTAGGCCGGGCGCAGTGGCTCACGCCTGCAATCCCAGCACTTTAGGAGGCCAAGACAGGCAGGATCACCTGAGATCAGGTGTTTGAGACCAGCCTGGCCAACAAGGTGAAACCCTGCCTCTACTAAAAATACAAAAATTAGCTAGACGTGGTAGCGCAACTGTAGTCCCGGCTACTCAGGAGGCTGAGGCAGGAGAATCACATGAACCTGGGAAGCAGAGGCTGCAGTGAGGCGAGATCGCGCCACTGCACTCCAGCCTGGGCGACAGAGCAAGACTATGTTTCAAAAAAAAAAGAAAGAAAAGAAAGAAAAATAAATGAAAGGCTTTCCACTGTTTCTTAGGAGATGCATTGCCAAATATTTTTCTAAGCCCATGGCAATGTTTTTTGTTTCTCTTTTTCAAAGAGGTGGAAATAGCTGCTGATAAACCACTCCCACAACTCAAGTGGTTTGACTTGAAAATATGAGCTGGATAAATGACCTATTTTTTCTTTTTGCTGCTAGTAGTTATTTTATGTAGATGATCTGATTTAAATACCTACCTAGAAGTAGAAAAACAAAGTAGTTTTAGCATTTTGGGAGAGGAGGTGTTTTTAAGATATAAAATAATTTTAGTCATCACTTTCACTGACTTTGAACACAGCTTCCCTAGACATGAGCAGGCACGCTTATCTTCTAACAGAGGCCTGAACGGTCTGCCAGAGCATCAGGATTTGATGTTACCTCAGAACACGTTCAGCTGGCAACACAGAGGTCCCACTGGTCTTCTCTAGAAAGCTTTGCTTTCCTTCCCAGGTGATCACACCATCCAGGCAGCTTGCTCACTGCAATCCTAACTGAGGCCAGCCACTCGGTGGAAATGGACAGTTTCTAAAGTGCCAGAAAGTTGGGGCTGGGAGAACTTAGTCCAGTAGCTTTTCCTAAACCAGTTGTTTAAGGAGAATTGCTCTTTGTAAATCTTAGGGGAAAAGTGCTGTTCCTCTCCCTGTCCACAGCCCCCTGAAACACCCTGAGAGCCCTGGGGCTCCAACAGCCCAGAGTGGAAACAATGAGAAACAGTTCCGCTCCCGCTGGTGAAAGGTGGAGCCCGGGGAAGCCAACCAGGCTGCCAGCGAGTGGCATGGCAGGATCCGGAACCCTAGGATTCCGACCATGGCCCACAGTACTTCCCTTTAGATAAGACCACCTCTTATTTCCCATGAGCACTCATTCGTTCATGTACTGTGTTTATTTGCTATTGCACCTAAAACATAGATGTGTGCAAACTGACAAACTGTTTTTCCAAAGGCTCATTTTAACACCTATTCTGACTTAGCACTTAAAACTCAGAATGTTCCCATTTCTAGGGAATGTCTAGACTTTAAGAAATCATCATTTGATTTTAAGGTAATGTATGGGTCAATGAAGCCCAGAAGACATTCATTAACTATTATCAATTATAGAACACATGCCTCCTCCATTGATACAGAGTACAACAAAACAAAGTTTCTCAAGCTTCAGTTTTTGAAAGGTTACATTTCAAAAGTTCCCTGGTATGTCAGTGGGTTATGTACATCTCTCTATAGGAATATGTGTGCTAAAATGTAGAAAACAGGGTCCAGGCCGGGCGTGGTGGTTCATGCCTGTAATCCCAGTGCTTCGGGAGGTTGAGGTGGATCACCTGAGGTCAGGAGTTCAAGACCAGCCTGGCCAACATGGCAAAAGCCGTCTCTACTAAAAATACAAAAATTAGCCAGGCGTGGTGGTGGGCACCAGTAATCCCAGCTATTCGGGAAGCTGAGGCATGAGAATCACTTGAACCCAGAAAGCAGGGTTGGAGTGAGCCAAGATCGTGCTACTGCACTCCACCCTGAGGGACAGGGCAACATTCTGTCAAAAAAAAAAAAAAAAGAAAGAAAGAAAGAACAAAAAAAGAAAATGGAGTCCAAACTCCAAAAGCATATTCATCTTCTAATGTACAAGTGTACTTCTACTTCCTGCTCTGAGGCTTTGCAGAACATACATCCTTAGAACTTATCATCCTGTACATGTTCACATTTTTTAAAAGATCGCAGACAGCCATGAAAGGTTTGTGCATAAAATTTATTTAATTTCAACTGAACAAAACCCAGACTGTAGGCAACTGCAGTAAGTGGAACAGTATTTGACTATCGCAATGAAGTCTGTCATGAAAACTATGAGTACGTGGAGCCATTTTGAAATCCGCAAAATCGAGAAGTTCTGCCGCCAGTATAGGGTCACTTGGTGAAAGGCAAGGGATGTCCTCCAGGATACACTGTTCTAATAAGATGCAGGGAAGAGGGGGATTTCATCTTCCAAAGAGTTGTCACTGGGAATTTACAAAGGCCCCTGGAAATAAGCTCAGGGTATCCACTAAAGGAGGTGGAGCCCCCTTTCACACACTTTTCCTTCCTCTTCCTTCCTTCCTGCACGCCCTATTTCCCTCACTTCCAGTCTCAGGTTCTTTAAAAAACATAAAATTATATAAATAAGTAGAATAGTATTCTTGGGCTTGTAACATATACAGAGGTAGTAAGTATAACAATAATAGCACAAAAACAAGTGAAGAGGACCTAGAGCTATAAAGAAGAAATGTGTTTCTATCTCACTGGACATAAGTTAGTATAAACTTAAGTAGATTCTGATAAACTGAGAAGGAGATTGTGAGCCATCAAGCATTCATTAAGGAAATACGTAAAAATATAGTTAAAAATAATTTAAGAAATTAAGTTGTTAAACTAGAAAATACTTAATGCAAAAGAAAGCAAAGAAGAAGAAGCAAAGCCACAAAAACACGAGACATATAGAAAACAAAAATTAAAATTGCAGACACAAATCCAGCCATATCAATAGTAACACTAAAAATGAATGAATTAAACAATCCAATCAAAAGAACTAAAAATTATCCAACTATATGCTATCTACAGGAGACAAACTTTTGATTCAAAGATATAAATAGGCTAAAAGAAAAAGGTATCATACAAATTGCCACAGTAAGAGCAAGAATAGCTATGCTAATATCAAACAAAATAGACTTTAAGTCAAACAGACAAAAAATACTAGAGATAAAAAGGAATATTTTACAATGATAATAGTGTATTTTACAGTGATTACAATACCAATCCATCAGGAAGATATAACAATTATAAATATGTATGCACCTAACAACAGAGTTCCAAAATATAAGAAGCAGAACATGACAGAACTAAAGGAATAAATACATAATTTAACAATAAAAGTTTCAGATTTTGAAACTGCCTTTGTAAATTTTAACAGTGAGAAAATTATAACAGTGAAAGAGATCTGATCTAACCAACTCCATCTTGACTTTAATCTCCAAATTGCCCTTGGTCATTCCTGGGCATGGGCCAAGCTAACTTTGGGACAAACGATTATAGTTTATAGTTTAGATGATAATAGCCCTGCCCCCCAAAATTAAACTGCCTTTGTAAAACTAATGAAAGGCTACCAGGTTAGGAGGAAGTGAGGGGCCTGAATTCTACTAAGATATAGGTGTAAAGATTACCACCTATTTTCTACAGAGGTCACAAGATTTGCAACTTTCCCAATTACTATAAATAACTTGACTATTGTAGAACCTAACATTTGAGATGACTTTCCAGGCTTTTGCATTTCTGACAACCAGATGGCCCTACTTGAACCTGTACCTCTTGAATTCTTGGCTCAACTGGTCCTCTGGCCCCCACCCAGAAGCTGACTTAGTACACAAGAAACATTTAGTTTCTTAGTACACAAACCCCTGCCCACCAAACTATCTTTGAAAAGACCTAGCCTCCAAATTTTTGTGGAGGCTGATTTGAGTAATAATAAAACTCCAGTCTCTTGTTTAGCCAGTTCTACATGTATTAAACTCTTTCTCTATTGCAATTTCCCTGTCCTCATAAATCGGCTCTATCTGGGCAGCAGGCAAAATGAACCTGTCAGAAACTTACAAATCCAATGTCTCATTTTCTTTCTTTTTTTTTTTTTTTTTTTTTTTCTTTTTTGAGTCTCACTCTGTCACCCAGACTGGAGCGCAGTGGCATGATCTCAGCTCACTGCAAACTCTGACTCCAGGGTTCAAGCAATTCCCCTGCCTCAGCCTCCCAAGTAGATGGGACTATAGGCGGGCACGCACTGCCACACCTGACTAATTTTTGTATTTTTAGTAGAGACAGGAGTTCTCCATGTTAGCCACGCTGGTCTCGAACCCCTGACCTCAAGTGATCTGCTGGTCTTGGCCTCCCAAAGTGCTGGGATTACAGGCGTGAGCCACCACGCCTGGCCAATGCCCCATTTTCAATGATGGATAGAACAACTAAGAGTAAGATCAACAAGGAAATAAAAGACGTGAACGACACAATAACAAGACCTAAAAAACACCTGTATTAGTCCGTTCTCACACTGCTATGAAGAAATAGCCGCAGCTTGGTAATTTATAAAGGAAAGAGGTTTAATTGACTCACAGTTCAGCATGGCTGGGGAGGCCTCATGAAACTTACACTCATGGCAGAAGGCAAAGGAGAAGCAAGGCACCTTCTTCACAGTGTGGCAGGACAGCCTGAGTGCAAGCAGGGGAAATGCCAGATGCTTATAAAACCATCAGACCTTGTGAGACTCACTATCATGAAAACAGAGTAGGGAAAACCACCCTCATGATCCAATTACCTCCACCTGGTCCCACCCTTGACACATGGAGATTATGGGGATTACAAGTCAAGATGAGATTTTGAGTGGGGACACAGCGAAGCCATATCAACATCTATAGAACAGTTTACCCAACAACAGCAGAATAGATATTAATATTTTTAAGTGCACATAAGACATGCTCCAAATGCAAATCTAAACCACAAGAGATACAATGTCACACCTGCCAGAATGTCTATATCTAAAAAGAGAGAGAATAAGGAGTATTCGTGATGATGTGGAGAAACTGGAAGCTTCATGCATTGCTGGTAGGGATATAAAATGGTGCAGCTGCTTTGGAAAACAATTTAGCAATTCTTCAAAACACCAAACATAGAGTTATTATATTACTCAGAGGCTCCACTTTTATGTACTCAAGAGAAAATAAAGCATATTATATATCTACACAAACACTGCATATGAATGTGCTTAGCACTGTTATTCACAACAGCAGAAAAAGTGGAAACAACCCAAATGTCCATCAACCAATGAATGGATAAAGTGTGGTCAATCCCTACAATGGAGTATTGTTAGGAAACAAAAATAAATGAAGTACTGACAAATGCTACAACACAGATGACTCTTGAAAACATTATGCTAAGTGAAAGAAGCCAGTCATAAAAGGCCACATAGTGTATAATTCCGTTTATATGTAATGTCCAGAAGAGGCAACTCTGAAGAGACAGGAAGTGGTTGCCAGACAGGGAGCTGAGAGGAATGGCGGAGCATAGGGAGTTACTGCCAATGGATACAAGGTTTCTTTTTGGGGTGAATTTTTCAAAATTTACTGTGGTAATTGTTTTATAGCACTTGAAGTTCATAAAATTTAGAGTTGCCTTCTTTTCGAAAGTGAATACAAAAGTATATAAAATTACCTGTGAATGAGGAACAAATCCCAACAAATCACAAATTTTAAAAATCTGACAAATACCACAAACGTCACAAAATCCAGAAAACTAAGATATCTATAACTGCCTGGCATGGCTTTTTGATACATCTGTGCTACATTAAACAGCAAACGTTCTATATGACTTTTCCATAGGACAATGATTTTAAAAATATCTTTCAACAGAGATAAAAAATCAGTTTACTCTGTTGATCAAAAATGATTTTTAATTCTTGAGAGGTTTTAAGGGTTTCATCAGTCTTTACAATCCCTTTTTTAAAATGTCATGAAAGTACTAGAATTGTCACATTTCTGGAAACCTTTTTCAAGTTCTTTTTCCACATATGAGTTTAGAGGCTATTTCACACTTTCAGTGACTAAGAACATTTAGTGATGTACATGCTCTTTCAATGACATTCATTAACCAATTTTTCATTAATGTCATCATAATGGCATATTACAGTTTTATGTTATTTACATCAATATTTTGTGTCAAATCAGTAATAATTTGAATATTTTTACCATGTATTTGCATGGTGTCTTCCCCTTCAGTAATTGCACTGTCAAATCATAGAAGAGCTCCTCATGATCTCTGGGCAACATGGAATTTATGAATCACTGTTTTGATATAATTTGAAAGATAGTTTGTTACAATTAGTTCTTTTTTTTGAGATAGGGTCTTACTCTGTCACCCAGGCTGTAGTGCAGTGATGCAATCTCAGTTCACTGCAGACTCGACCTCCCCGGCTCAAGCAAACCTCCTGCAATCCTCCTGCCTCAGCCTCCCGAGTAGCTGGGACCACAGGCATGTGCCATCATGCCTAGCTAATCTTTGCATTTTTTTGTAGAGACAGGGTTTCACCGTATTGCCCAGAATGGTCTCAAACTCCTGAGCTCAAATGATCCTCCTGCATCAGTTTCCTCAATAGCTAGGACTACAGGCACAGGCCATGATGCCTAGCTAATTTTTATATTTTTTGTAGAGATAGGGGTCTTACTATGTTGCCCAGGCTAGTCTCACAAACTCCTGAGCTCAAGCAATCTGCCCGCCTTGGTCTCCGTAAGTGCTGGGATTACAGGTGTGAGCCACCACGCCTGCCTACAATTCAGTTTTAATGTCCAGATGATTTCTAACGTTGGATCACTCATCTTTATCATGCAGATATCTAAAAGCAGAGCTAAATAAAGATGCTCATCGTGTGAGTTAAAGCTTGTCTGTTATTCCTAGGCACCACAGTCTGTGGTATACTAAGAATTGTTGTTTTTCTAGTCTCATAATTCTCTTGTGAACGAAATGAAAATGCAGGTTTTCGTGAAAATCCTTTTCAGTGTAAACACTTACGGCATCCACCGTGAGGTTCCTCTGAGTGGTAGTGGAGTCAAGACCAGAAATCCATGGTTTCTGATTCTGTGTCTCATGTTCTTACCACATACCGCTAACAGGGATATGAGAAAAAAGCTGCCAGGTCATAAAAATACATCACAGTAGCTCGGCGCGGGGCGAGAGCTTTGAGGAGGAAGTGACATCTGAATTAGGTTTTGAAAGGGGAACAGACATTCATCAGAAACTGAACAATCATCCGAGAAGTATTCTCTCTTCTCCTTACTCTCAACATCTAGTTAAGACACTAAGTCCTGTGAATCTTACCTTCTTAATAAAAATAGTATTTACTGAGTACTAGTGACTTGCCAAGAACAATGCTAAGCTCTCTGTGGGCATTACTTAAGACCAGGGCAGCCCTGTAAGGGAAGGAAGTATTTAATCCCCTTTACAGATGAGAAAACTGAGAATACTGATATTAAATAACTTGCCCAACATCACTCAGCCAAGTTGCCCATCCAGGCTTCTAGCCACTGTAGTGGAGTTGCATGATTTACATTCAATTACTCTGCTTTTCCGTTTTCCTGCACGTGCCTGCTGCCCCGACAGCACCTCCCTGTCAGTAGGGGACCCCTCCTGTCTAGGGTGGCCTGTGCTCCTCCCTCGTGATTCTATGAAGGCTGCCAATCATGGGCAGACCCCATCAGCCCATCAGTTTTTCAGGTCCCAATGTTCAAATTTCGCATTGAACATCCCCTCTCTGAAGAAGGTTTGCTCACACCTTTACATCCCCATGCAGAGCACACAGGCATTCTCCCAGCCAGGTTTCCACGTGGACATTGCAGGCAGCGCCCCCTATTCAGCACATGCTGGAGAGCCAAGTGCTTCCATGGTCCCCACTCCTAGGGGTCACAGATTGGGCTCCCCAGGAAGTGGACTCTGACCCCCAGAGATTGAGTTTCCTGCCAGGAGTTTATCAAAAGTGCCCCAGAAATCAACGCCTGCTGGAAGCTAGAATTGCAAGAGTAACTTGCCAGGCAAGCTCTCAGGGAGCTCTGGAGCCAGAATGGACTCAGGCTGAGAGGGCCGGGCCTCTTACCCTGAGGCAGAATGGTCGTTGGATGGAGCCCCCTGAGAGGGCCTGGCCTTGGTGACATAGGTCTCTACAGTGGAGGCCATCCCTGGAGAGGCCATGAGAATGCCCACAGCAGCCAACAAAGCCCTTCACTGAAAAGGGATGTGGTGGCACATCACAGGATGGGGCCACCTCTGCATCTGCAGGTGGAGTGGACAGAAGAAATCAGCCAACTGCTTGTTGAAATGTACGGAGTGTTAATTTGCATAAGCAGTTCTAATTTAGAAATTAGGCTAAGAAATTCCATTTCCAAGCCTGTAGTTTAACTCCAGAAACACACCTTCTGCCAGAACTTACTACAAAGAGGTTTAGGTTTGCAGGAACAAATGGCTTTCTTCATTCTTTCCCTTCCTTCCTTCCTCCTTCCATTTTTCCCTTCCTCCATTCCATTTTCCTTCCCTTTCTTCCTTTCTCCTTCTCTCCCTCCCTCCCTTCCTTCCTTCCTCTTTCTTTCTTTCTAGTGTGATGGATATTTTCTTGGAAATGTGTGTTAAGTTGGGGTAGATCAAATAAGTGAACCCTGCAATAAATCATGACAAATAAAAATATTGGAGAATGTAATTCACGCTCAGATATGATCTGCCATATATACCTAACCTCTATAAATGTAATTAATATATAATTAATATATTGACACATAATAGTGTATGTTAAAATGTAAAGAGAAAACTAGAGGGAAACGTGAAGTTCCAACACTTACCGGCAGGGAGAGCACTGCCCCTTGGTGGAGCAATGCCCGCAGCAGGGATGAACCCATGAGAGCTGCTAGAAAAGGCCTGGCACTGGGGCAGTAGGGGTGCTGGGGCAGGAGAGGCGCATGGGCAGTAGGGGTGCTGGGGCAGGAGGGGATGTGCAGGATGAAGCATGCTTCATTCATTAAAAATTTTCCTTTCAGAAAGCTACTAGTGCTTTAGAAACCACAAAGGATTTCAAACAAAGTATGATTAAGAGGTATATCCAATAGTCTGGCAACTTACAAAACATGCCAAAATCGTTTTTTCGTTGTTGTTGTTGTTTTTGAGACGGAGTCTCGCTCTGTCACCCAGGCTGGAGTGCAGGGGCGTGATCTGGGCTCACTGCAAGCTCCGCCTCCTGGGTTCACGCCATTCTCCTGCCTCAGCCTCCCGAGTAGCTGGGACTGCAGGCACCCACCATCGCACCCAGCTCATTTTTTTTCTGTATTTTTAGTAGAGATGGGTTTTCACCATGTTAGCCAGGATGGTCTCGATCTCCTGACCTCGTGATCCGCCTGCCTCGGCCTCCCAAAGTGCTGGGATTACAGGCGTGAGCCACCGTGCCCGGCCCAAAATTGGTTTTTAAAGAAAATACAGGGCTGGGTACAGTGGCTCATGCCTGTAATCCCAGCACTTTGGGAGGCTGGGCCGCGGGGGGGGCGGGGAGGGGTGCGGATCACCATAGGTCAGGAGTTCAAGACCAGCCTGGCCAACACGGTGAGATCCCGTGTCTACTAAAAATACAAAAAAAATTCGCCGGGCATGGTGAAACACATCTGTAATCCCAGCTACTCAGGAGGCTGAGGCAGGAGAATCGCTTGAACCTGGGAGGCAGAGGTTGCAGTGAGCCGAGCTAGTACCACTGCACTCCAGCCTGGGCGACAGTGACTCAGTCTCAAAAAAAAAAAAGGAAAAAAAAAATACAAGTGTCTGAAAATTTAACATTTATGGAAAAAAAGTTTCATCATCAAATCTGATGATTCTACAAACTACCAAAAACAAACCTCCAGCTAAAACCGCAGAATGACTGGCCTCCTGCATGCCACTGTCCACGCTCCTCCATGCAGTACCTCCTGCCTCCACCCGGCCCACTAAGCTCAGGCCCCAGGCATGCCCTCTCCTCTTCCCCGGTTCTTGGGAAGCCGGTCTGGTGTGCAGAGGGCAAACCTTGCCCAGTGCTGCTGTTAAACTAAGAGGCAGAGAAGTGGCCAAGCACAGCATGTGCTAGAAGCGGGGCAGGAGTTGGGAGCCCGGCCCCTCCTCCCAGGGCTGTAGCAGAGCACACGTTTCTGCAGGCAGGGCCACAACGCAAAGTCGGATGACACGAGGGGCCAGCTCGACCTTACCTTGTTCGGGGGTTCATTTTCTAAGGGCAGCAAGATTCATTTTTAAAAACATGTATCAGGGAATAAATTTCACATTCAAAAACGCTGTCCCTCCTACCTCAGAGGCCTTGCTGTTTCCTTCTGTCTGCCACTCTCATTCACCCGGTGCACACCCAGGTTTCCTTGAACCTGAGGACACTTTTCCAATCTGACTTCCTCGGGGAAACTTTGTCAGCCTGGAGGTCCTCTGGCCAAGTCTCCTGGCGCATCTTGTCATCTTGGTCTTCTTGCTAAACATAAAGATTTCTTTGAAATTGCCTTTGAGCTTACTGATTTTGAGTCATCCCATTATTCAGCCCTGCTACTGAATTATCTTAGGCCAACAATTTTTTAGTCAAAAATCATTTTTATTATAACCTCTTTCATATAGCCTCTTTTAGATTCAAATGTTACCTCAAATCTCGGAGTGGCATAATCAGGTTTGTCTTAATCCATTCAGGTTCCTAAAGTACCTTGGACTGGATAATTTATAAAGAATGGAAGTGTAGGGCTCACAGCTCAGATGGCTTAAGTCCAAGATCAAGGTACCGGCAGGTTCACCATCTGGGAGGGCCTGTTTCCTCATAGGCAACACCTCCTCACTGTGTCCTCACACGCTGGAAGGGGCAAAGCAGCTCTCCCGGGCCTCCTATAAGGGCGCTAATGATCTCATCAACTTCCAGAGGCCCTACCTAATTCCATCCTATGTGGGATTAGGTTTCGACATACACATTTTGGGGGACACATTCAGTCCTTCACAGGTTTTTGTTCTTGAATTATCTCGTTTCCTGATTACATTTTCTTCAAGATCAGTTCTTTGTTCATCTGTCTTTCATGACATACATTCACTTTCCTTAAATGTCAGATGCTTGTTGAACGTGTGGAACTCTGAACGCAGCATTAGGACAACTCACAAAGGTAGCTGCCCTGGATTTCCTCCCCAAACACGTCCCTTCCTAGAGCAGGAAGACTAGGCCGGGCACCGTGACTCACACCTGTATTCCCAGCACTTTGGGAGGCTGAGGCGGGTGGATCACCTGAGGTCAGGAGTTTGAGACCAGCCTGGCCAACATGGTGAAATCCCGTCTCTACAAAAAAATTATAAAAATTAGCTGGGCATGGTGGCAGGCACCTGTAATCTCAGCTACTTGGGAGGCTGAGGCAGGAGAATCACTTGAACCCAGAAGGCAGGGGTTGCAGTGAGCCGAGGTCGCCCCATGGCACTCCAGCCTGGGCAACAAGAACAAAACTCCACCTCAAAAAAAAAAAAAAAAAAAAAAGAGGACAGGGACACTGGGAGCACGGACTGCTCGGAGGGCAGGGGTGAGACTAGCACCCATGGACAGAGAACTGATGGCGGGAATCCTCCCCACCCAATGCCACAGGAGGGCTCCAACTTGGGCTGGGTGTGTTTTTCTCCAGGAAGAGCTGCCTCTCCTGTCCTGCCCCCCTCCCATGTCCTTCATGAACCAACACCACAGCAGAGCCACACAGAGGGCACCTCCTTCAGAGGCCCTGCTCCAGCTGAGCTTGGTGGGTGGGGCAAATTCACAGGACGGCCTTCTCCTGAACCAGATCCCCTTCCTGCAGACTTGAACCTAGGGACCTCCCCAGGTTTAGGGTAAGGACAGCTTTCCCCTCAGATTTTGTAGATTGTTCCAGCTGCCTAGCCAGAAACCACATTCTCCAGGCCCCATGTCAGTGCTCAAGCCTGTTTACAGCCCCAAAGATGCCAAGCTCATACTAGGGGACAAATGTTGTGCCAGGTACACAGCAGTTTAAAAGAAAATCCCTGTTCTCACGAGCTCATAGTTAAACACACACACACACACACACACACAAAATAAGCAAGACCATTTCAGAGTATGCTGAGATGAATAAAATAAAAGGGGTAAATGCAAGTGGTGGGGCAGGGACAGGGAGGAGAATGGACATCTCCCTTAGGTCTGGAAGCGTCTTTGAACATGAGACTGAAATAAACCAGCTTCATGCAGTTCTAGGGGAAGGACATTCCAGACAAGGAGGGGCAAATATCACACCTTGAGACAGGAAGGGCTTTGGCAAGCTCAGGTGCAGAGGCTGTGCAGCAGTGGGCTGGCACAGCTCTGGTGCATGGGCAGGAGAGGGAAGTAAGGAGGGGAGGAAGAGCTGTGGGCAAGCATGAGGCAGGGACTAATGGCATCTACACAACTGCCCACAGGTTGTTATCCAACATAAAGTATAAAAGCACAACCGAATATCAACAAAGAGAATAAATGCTTTTTATTCATTTGTAGTTATCAATAAAATGAAAGAAAGACCTAGCATTTTTAAAACTCCACTGTAAAACATAGGTTACCATAAAAATGTATTTAATGGGTTAATATTTCAATATTTATTTTTTAACAGAAAACACTCATCACATGCAAAACCTGTCACTTCACATCTTCAAGTTTCATAAGTTGATAATACCTAATCAAAAAGTACATGTGAAAAGAAAGCTTTTTCATAGTTGAACTTTAAGTCATTCAAAATCATTCAATAAAATGGATGTAGTACTGGCCAGGTGCGGTGGTTCACGCCTGTAATCCCGGCACTTTAGGAGGCTAAGGCAGGAACGAGGTCAGGAGTTCAAGACCAGCCTGACCAACATGGTGAAACCCCATCTCTACTAAAAATACAAAAATTAGCCGGGCGTGGTGGTGTGCACCTGTAATCCCAGCTACTCAGGAGGCTGAAGCAGGAGAATCGCTTGAACCCAGGAGGCGGAGGTTGCAGTGAGCCGAGATCGCATCACTGTACTCCAGTCTGAGTGACACAGTGAGACTCTGTCCCCCCCGCCCCCCGCAAAAAAAAGATGTATGTAGTGCTGACAAAAAAGTTTCATATTTGGCATATTTCTTTTACCCTCCCAAATATTATCAAAAGGTCTGATTCTCTGCGTAACAGAAAAGTGACAAATTTCAGTTGCTACTGTTCGAAAGTTTCATAAATTTAAAAAGCCACATCCTGCTATGCTTTCAAATCATTTCACTGAAACCTAGTTCCTATCAAATATTAAAAATAAATCATACATGTGATCCAGATTCCAGGGGACCAGAACTATAGTGCTTTTAGAAAGTGACTGTTTACAGAGATGACTTACAAAGAAATGCATTTTATAACAACCACACTGGGGGACTGCAACAAGATTACATCTGCACGTGGTGCTGTTTACTAAGACATGAAGAGCTGAAGGAGACTGAGATAGCAGCTCACAGACGGAGGGCAGAAATACACAGGGCTCCCAGGCTGTACCGGCCCAGTTTATGTCCTACTTCCTCTTGATGTTTACAGCTTAGTTTCACTTAAATTTTAAAAAGCCAGATTCTGTTACACAGCCTTAATCCTTACATTTTCATTTCCTCTACATTTTAGAGCCCAAGGAGTAATTTCTGTAATATTTAGGCTAATATGAAATGAGAAACTGGCATTACACAAGTCATGCAGTCTGCTCACTTAACCGAGATCAATGAATTAGGTCTAATTTGCTCCTTTTACTAATAAAGTTAACTTGTAGTAAAAAGCCGCAACTTAATTGAAATTATAAAGTGCAAAAACAGCACAATCCTGCTTTACTTATATATAAATATGCATGCATCACTTTCTACTGTTTTTTCTACTTGCACATTTTAAAATACTTTAGTATTATAAACATCCGTGACCTACATAATAGCAATAATGCTTTAACCGTATAAATGAGACTGTGGAAATTCTATTATTGGCTCTATTTTTAAGGGTTACAATGAAATTATGTACAGTATATAAAGCTTGTCAAACTGAACATGGTCTTAGGCCATTACTACTATTTCATTCCAATTTGGATTTTAATACAATTAACTTACAGATCTGAAATAAAAGCACTGCTTAATGGTTTCAGATGCATTTAAGTTTCAAGGAATCTTTACAGATAATAAATTATAATGAAGAGAACCTACGACTAAAGCTGCTTACATGGATAACAGGAGGAATGACGATTGCAAATGTTATGTTATTGACAATTCTATGAATTAAAACTCATAACCACTTCTAGATTTCTTTAAAACAAGCAAAACTAAATAGCACACACAAGAGTACTTTAATATAACCTTAATGGTCTAACAAACCTTCCAAATGGAAGGAAATACAAAATAAAGTTGACACATCAAATTTAACTTATACTAATATACTTCAGCATTACAAATTTACCAAGTCATTTTGCCAACTATGTGTAGAACCACCTAATATCAAAATATACTATGGTGGGTAAGCTCTGATTCCAGAGGGCTAAAGCCAAGGTTTTCAAAGATCACACGTACCAGCAGCCACACACACAAAGGGTTGCGCGATCCTACGGCTTTATTGACACCTTTCATCATGCTCTTAACACTGATGTTTTCATGGGTTCCTTCCCTGTAATGAAACTGAGTGTAGATAATCAATTTCCATAAAGAAATGTACAGTTAAATTAAGAATATTAAATCTTCCACACATGGGCTCAAATAGGAAGTATTTTGTTTAGTAAAATGAAAATTACTTTTAAAAAATATCTGCAGTGTTTTTGAAATGCAAGGCACCAATAGAGAGCAGACATTCCAGCTGAGTGATTGTCTGGAAAAAAAAAAAATGGAACCGGTCAGTCCTCTGTCCTTGTTAATTAGAATACTTCCTTCTTCGTGTCTATGCAACATCTTCCAGATAATCCGCAACATCACTGAGCTGGGATACAGTCAGATCTTGTGTGAGGTCATCAAGCTTTGTTGTTCAAAAGAAAGAAAATAATTAAGTGTCAGAATGTGAGTAGTCTTAAGTTATTTTAAAAAATCAAAGCCACAATGAGATACCACCTTACTCCTGCAAGAATGGCCATAATCAAAAAATCAAAAAATAATATAAATGTCAGTGAAGATGTGGTGAAAAGGGAACACTTTTACACTGTTGGTGGGAATGTAAACTAGTACAACCACTATGGAAAACAGCGTGGAGATTCCTTAAAGAACTAAAAGTAGAACTACTGTTTGATCCACCAATCCCACTACTGGGTATCTACCCAGAGGAAAAGAAGTCATTATATGAAAAAGATACTTGCACACGCATGTTTACAGCAGCACAATTCCGAATTGCAAAAACATGAAACCCAGCCCAAATGCCCATCAATCAACAACTGGATAAAGACATTGTGGTATATACATACCATGGAATACTACTCAGCCATAAAAAGGAACAAATAGGCCAGGCGCAGTGGCTCATGCCTGCAATCCCAACCCTTTGGGAAGCTGAGGCAGGCGGATCACCTGAGGTCAGGAGTTCAAGACCAGCCTGGCCAACATGGTGAAACC
Source organism: Homo sapiens (assembly GCF_000001405.40). Taxonomy (NCBI): domain Eukaryota; kingdom Metazoa; phylum Chordata; class Mammalia; order Primates; family Hominidae; genus Homo; species Homo sapiens. The sequence continues at coordinate 167,039,319 of NC_000006.12, read as the reverse complement.
CTGTCTCTACAAAAATACAAAAATTAGCCAGACAATATAGCGGGTGCCTGTAGTCCCAGCTACTTGGGAGGCTGAGGCGGGAGAATCGCTTGAACCCAGGAGGCAGAGGTTGGAGTGAGCCGAAATTGCACCACTGCACTCCAGCTTGGGTGACAGAGCGAGACTCCGACTCAAAAAAAAAAAGTAACAAAATAATGGAATTTGCAGCAACCTGGATGGAACTGGAGACCATTATTCTAAGTGAAGTAACTCAGGAATGGAAAACCAAACATCACATCTTCCCATTAATAAGCAGGAGCTAAGTTATGAGGATGCAATGGCATAAGAATGATACAATGGACTTTGGGGACTCCAGAGAAAGAATGAGAGGAGGGTGAGGGATAAAAGGCTCAAATTGGGCCCGGTGTGTACTGCTAGGGTGATGGGTGCACCAAAATCTCACAAATCACCACTAAAGAACTCATTCATGCAACCAAACACCACCTGTTCCCCCAAAACCTATGGAAATAAGAAATAAAAAACTAAAAATTAAAAAAACTGTTGCTGTAAAGTATTACTTTATACTTCATAAACCAACTCATATTTAAAGCTGTGTTGAGAAGCGATTTGCCTAAAATCATGTCTACTAAGTTAGTACAATCTTTAGAGCCCAATGTTTTATGATTATTCTCAAATATTTCAAGTGAAAATTTAAAATAAAACACATCTTAGCCATTATTCCAATTTAATCTAAGAAACAAATTAGTGAAAAACTGTATTAAACTTCTTTACCTGAGCATAGTCCCAATGTATGATTCTGTTCACAGGAAGTATCACTCTATGAATTGCTAACTCTAAAACCATAATTTACCCACGTTAAATTTCACGAAAATTCATTAAAATGTATAATTTGGAAACGATCCCTTCTTATGTTTTCATATGACGGTATAGAACGTTAAGTTTCTAACATCAAACTCGACATGGTGTGACACACTTTAACACTGTGCCACCTGAAGCCAGATCATGAAGTGAAAACAGAAGGGCAGACAGGACGGCCCATGGAGTCTCAGACTCCCAGCCCCGGGTTCACAAAGTGTTGTAAGAAACGACTCATTTCTACTTCTGTTTAAACTACTTGTAAACTAGAAAGTTAACCTATTAACCAACTTATATCTATTCATTTGTATAAACAACTCATGATAATGGAGAAAGGAAATATTAATAGATATGTAAGCATAATGCAGGCTGGGAAAACATTTCTTAACTAAGGAAAAAACCACGGGTGAATATACAGGCTCCAGAATATAGAACATACAGCTGGGCAGGTCCCACTGACAGCTGAACAAGGACAGAACCCAACCTTCCCAGTCCCACCTAGACTCATTGTTGTGGCAACAGACCAGGGGACAGTCACAGCCACACCCACACACACACTCTTAGGCATCGTCTATGGCTGTCTTCTCCATGCAATGGCAAGGTGGAGTAGTTATGGCCTGCAAAGCCTAAAATATTCACTATATGGCCTTTTAGAGAACAAGTGTGCCAACACCTGGGCCAGGTAATAACGCACAAGAATAGGAACATCTTGTAGAGATGCAACAGTTTCATCCCGAGATACTGTGAGATGCTTTTATTTGTCTGTTCATCTGCCCCCCACATATCCTCTCATTTTGTTATTCTTCGGATATTCAGAAATTTAAGTTGTAAGTAAAATCCTTTTCAACAAATAAGTCCTTGCCCTTTCTCTTGGTCCAAACATAGTCCTGCTGTAAAACTATCTCACAAAGAAAATTATTAGGAATCTTAATTACAGTTCTTATGCATTCAATTCAAATCCAATTTACACAAAAACTGAAAAGTCAGAAAAGCTTGCAGACAGACTGTAAAACAAACTGATACCTTGGAACTGTAATTTTCTCTTCCCATCATTATTACAGAGTGAAATCAGTAAGGTATTCCATCTCGTTTACAAAGTAATTGAGTGTTATATTAATACAAATGCTAAACTACAGACAAGAGTGAATACAGGAAAAATCGTGGACTGAAAACGATCTTAATCTAGATAATTCAGTTATTGGAGATCATTAATTTAGTTTTGCTTTAAGGCAAAGAAAAGACCACAATAATAACCAGAAACTTCCAAGAAGAACAGTTTCATTTAAAGTAGTTACCAAGAAAGAAAACTGAATGAACAAAAGCTAACTAGAAATAAATGGCTATTTAATAAAGCCTTTCCGCCGGGTACAGTGACTCACGCCTGTAATCTCAGCACTTTGAGAGGCCAAGGCGGGGGGATCACAAGAGGCCAGGAGTTTGAGACCAGCCTGGCTAACATAGGTGAAACCCCATCTCTACTCAAAATACAAAAACTAGCCGGGCATGGTGGTACATGCCTGTGGTCCTAGCTACTCAGAAGGCTAAGGTAGAATTGCTTGATCCCAGGAGGCAGAGGCTGCAATGAGCCAAGATCCAGCCATTGCACTCCAGCCTAGGCAACAGAGTGAGACTCTGTCTCAAAAACAAAAACAAAAACAAAAACAAAACTAATAAAGGCGGCTTTCATGCCTCCTTAGTTTTAGAATAAGAACTCAAAGTGACCAACTTAGTTCAAAACTATAAAAATAGATTTTACATCACAAAATAAAAATATCTAAAACGTACATTTTGAGTCTTGAAAGGGAAACAAAGGATCCCTGTGATAGCAAGCTTCATACAAATCGACGGGAACTTGTAAGATTTTGAAAAGTTTTATGAAGTGTAAATGTTCACGTTTGCTGAATTAGATTGCTATGCATTAACAGAAACCTGGGATGCACACTTATGTTCTGTCCCTTAGGAACGTGTGGCCCTCTTCCTCCAACATCTACCTATGTCTTTGCTCGTGCTGGCTCCCGTGCAGAGACTACCCTCCCCAGGGCCTCTGCTCCTAGTTCATCCTCTGTCATTTCTGGTTCAAAGTCACCTTCTAACAACCCTGCTCCTCCCAACATTCTGTCTCTTCACACAGCACCCTCCAGTGAAGCTCTGGAATCAGGGCAGCACTGACATGTCCCGGGATCTCCCTTCTGTTCTCATGGAGCTTACCATGTTCCTCCTCAGCCCTCGCAGAACCAAGTCAGAGTCATCTTTCAAAATCCCGGTCAAATATTAGTTCCTGCTTCTGAATTTTCATGGCCCATGAATGACTGGCATTTTATGGCACCTGTCACTTTTTATCTTGATTTTCCTATGTTTGTGTACATGGCTTTTCTCTCTCTGATCCTGCATAAATTTGAGGGAAGAAGTCTATATCTGTGCCTACGACAGAAATGTCTATTGTGACTACAATGAATAATAGTATTAGATACCATTTATTGAATGCCTGTTCTGCTAAGCACTGAGCTATATGCTTTACACGCTTATCTCTAATTTTCACTACCACCATCTCTCTTGCAAAATAGATGTGAGACCCAAGGCCCCAAAAGTTAAATAACTTGCTGGGCGCGGTGGCTCACGCCTGTAATCCCAGCACTTTGGGAGGCCGAGGCAGGCAGAGCACGAGGTCAGGAGATCAAGATCATCCTGGCTAACATGGTGAAGTCCTGTCTCTATAAAAAAATACAAAAAATCAGCTGGGCGTGGTGGCAGGCGCCTGTAGTCCCAGCTACGCGGGAGGCTGAGGCAGCAGAATGGCATGAACCCGGGAGGCGGAGCTTGCAGTGAGCTGAGATAGCGCCACTGCACTCCAGCCTGGGCAACAGAGCAAGACTCTGTCTAAAAAAAAAAAAAACAAAAAAAAGTTAAATAACTTGGCCAAATTTGTGAGTGGTAAGTAGCAGCTCCAGAACTCAAACCCAGATGTGATGAACTTACAGAACTTGCCCATTCCACTGGGCTATCTCCTTCCTCACACCCCCACATCCCCAGCCCTGTGCTCTCTAAATAGTAGGTGCTTAATGGACACTGGTTTTGGTCACCTTGGCTGAAAGGTGACCAGATTGTCTGCTGTATTCTTACTGCAAAGAATACAAATGCTTTTGTGTTCCCCAGGTGCCCAGTAGCAATTCTCTACACAGAAGGCTTTAGAAAATGCTTCCTGATGAAGTACAGTGACTGTCAAAGTCCAATCTATGTAAATGGCAAAATTATCTAAATTTAAGCTTTTAAGTGAAAACTCCTAGGAACATTGATGTGCCAAACCCAGTGAGTAGGACCCAGTGAGAAGCAGTCTAACAAAGCCCAGACTCCTGGACGCCATCCAAGGCCCCCAATGGCAAAGGGATGCCACACCTCCTCTTCAACCCACGTCATTTCACAAATCCTAGTTTAACAGTCATTTCTTCGAGTCCTCTCCCTCATATTTAAAGAATCCTTCATAGTTTCTTTGGTATAACTTTAAAGCAACATTCTTCAGGCCTCTTTAGGATGATGCAGGGTGAAAAGAGAAAGCTAAATTTATAATTATAAGGGTATATAATACATCAGGAATTAGAGAAGTGCTTTATATATTATCATTTAACCTTCAAAATAATCCTATCACATAGGTATTAATACTTCCATCTTACAAGTAAAGAAACTGAGAGTCAAAGGTTAAAGCTTAAATAAGAAAATATATGAAAGAATAAGAATGCAAACACGGATGCTGCTGACTTAGATTGTGTGGTTGCATTGTAAACGCTACCTCTCTCAAAGGCCTTCTCCCTGTGTGACAATCACAGCGCTTGGAGAATCCCACCATGTTCTGGAAAGCAAGTCCCCACCCAGCCATGGCAACCTCCAACCTGACTGGTAGACTCCTCTGAGCTGGGGACAGCTTGAAGTGGGTACTGACAGGTGACCCTGCAATGCTACAGCTCACCATCGAAGGATCTTCTGTTCTCCACCCACATAAAAAGGTAAAGTTTGGATCTCAAATACGGACTCTAACTTTATGGCCTACTGTCTTGTCTCCTGTGGATTTTAGCCCAGTCTGGCTTGCCTGTTCAGATGTCACAACTGGCCAAGATGACCACACTCTCTGCACTCCAGGCTCAGCTTCCTCCTGTGATCACAGTACCCTATACTGACTTCCACCTATGGCACCAGGTGGTCAATTCTCACTAAGCCTGACCCACCCTGATCCCTCTTAATCCACAGCAATCCCAGTGCCCCAGGAATAATCCTCAGGCATTTCAGCAGCGAGACTTGCATACCAAAGGAAGTGACAACCAAAACCAATCTTACACATTCATCAAAGACATTCTTTATAAACTCGAGCCAGGTCTCTGTCATGACTTTTCATAATTTTCAACTGTTTTTCTACTAATTAGTATGAATTTTGAAGCTTTACAGTAAATCGACAAATAGGTTAAAAAAAAAAAGCACTCTATGGGAAATGCAGAACACCATACCTTATCACTGGTATTGATGTCATCTATTTCCACAGAAAGGTCTTCTTCTATCTCTTCACCAATACTTATCTCACTTTTCTCTGAGCGATGGCTGGTACTAATTTCAGAAGGGGAAAAAAAAATAAGAACTCTGAAAATAAACATTTAAAGAGATTACTATTCTTTAAACATTCAGATATTTCTTTTAATCCTTTAAGTAAAATATAATATTAACTATAATTAATTTCATACATATTGTCTTGCTTGACCCTTAAAATAATGTAGCAAGGGCAGCAGCAGTCAAGTCAATGTAACAGATGAGGAGACAAAGGTTCAAAGCAGTGACTTTGGTCACAATAGCAAGAAAGAAACAAACCCAGATTTTTACAATTTCATCTACTACATCATGCTCTTTCTCAAAAACTGTATAATAAATTATAAAAAAAAATACAGACTTCCAATTGGAAAGATAACCTGTCAATTAAATAAAATTCTCAGGCATCTAATTTAAAATTTCGAATCATATCCACAACAAATATTACTTCTACATTACATATTATCTTTCTGTGTATAAGAAAGGAATCGACAGGGCATGGTGGTTCTCGTCTGTAATCCCAGCACTTTGGGAGGCCCAGGTGGGTGGATCACGAGGTCAGGAGTTCGAGACCAGCCTGGCCAACACGACAAAACCCTGTCTCTACCAAAAATACAAAAATTAGCCAGGCGTAGTGGCACGCACCTATAATCCCAGCTACATGGGAAGCTGAGGCAGGAGAATGGCTTGAACCCGGGAGAAGGAGGTTGCAGTGAGCCCAGATCGCACCACTGCACTCCAGCGTGGGCAACAGAGTGAGACTCTGTCTCAAAAAAAAAAAAAAAAAAAAAAAAAAAAAGAGAATGGCAATCTTATTAGGGCAGACCACATATCCACATATTAGGAAATGTGATCTGAATCAAAAAACTAATTTGAGAGCATAATTATTTTAGGTCAATTTTGAGACAATTCCCGCCACAAAAAGGTATGGAAGGAAGAGAAAATCAGCACTTATGACACGGCAACTGAACTGCTTCTAAATGACTTCTCAGTTAATTCTTCAATTGTTTCTCTTCTTCTTACCAAGTTTCCTGAACATAATGTGACTGTCTATATTCTAATGTAAAATCAAAAACATGCTCTAAAATCAAATATTTAATTTTGGATTAACTATCTTTTCTTCATCTTCAATCAATATGAACAACAGAATCAAATACATTAAAATAAGCACCAAATGTAATTTTGTCTTGTCTGTGTTCGGAAATTGTTTACAAATAACGTATATATTTATATATTTGCCCAATAGTTTTTCTTACCTATTAAAATCATCAACATAGTCATCATCTTCTCCAGTTCCTGATAAGTTTAAGAAAAGATATGTTATATCTAATGTGCGTCACAATTTACCTACCATTAAACACACATTTCCTTAAAAAAAATTAATTATATTGCATCATTTAAAAAGTCCCAGACTAGAAATAACATTTTAAGCATATATAATATGAAGACAAATGACAAATGAAATACCTAAGAAATAATAAACTGTTACAAGTGACTATAAAATGTGGTTAACACCTCATCTTTACTCCGGGTACTCTAAGGCAATTAACATGGGGCACACTCACCATTAATAAGGTCCCTTGACTTAATGGCGTATAGCAATAGCAAGTCATCATCAATCCCCTCTAGGTACTAGATGAACTACTGAGCGTTTTCAACATGCTAATTGTTTTGTTATAAAAGTTAAAAAACACTCATGAGGTGTGAAGAGGCCATGAAGCACAGCAAATAAGGGCACCTTCAGTCAGACAGAGCCAGGCTCAGGCCTCAGACCTGCCACTCAACAGCTCTGTGACCTGGGAATGTGAGGTGCCCTTTCTGGGCCATGTCCTCTGCTCTGACGTACAGCCAAAGCCACACCAATCAGAGTTAACATAAGGATTCAGGTACATGATGTGCTTAACAGAGACCTTGGTCCACAGTAAGATCTTAATAAAAGGCAACTGAATGAAGGTGGGATGGTGAATAGTGAGGCAGTGTTACCAGTTTCTCAAAGTGCACCACAAGCCTCTGACAGAGGGGGCACCTTCAGATCAACTTAAGGCTATAAAGGACAAATTTGCAAATCAGCAGCCCTTCCCTCCCAGGACTTCTGAGGGCTAGATGAGGAAAAAGAGTTGTCAGCCTCAAAGCAGACTTGGAGGCACATGAGAGCCAACTTAAAATGTGAATGGATGGCCTATGAAAGACCCAGGAAGCATGTACAGCCACATGCAGAAGATGCAGATCACAAAAAGAAGACCTGGCATGACAGAGAGCCGTTCAAAGACCCTGCGGGCCTTGTCCTCGATCTTCCCTCAGATAAGGCTGGACTGTCTCTAAATCGGTCAGACTGCTGAGGGGATTCAAGCTCTGTCCAGACAGTTAGACAATGTAATTCTCTTACAGCCAAATCATATGATTAATTTATCAACCAGCTGAGTGATGACTAGGTCCCCTAGAGGTATAGCAATGACTAAGATGGTATCTCTGATCTCAGGGAGCAAACACTCTAGTGAAGAGGAACAGTGGAACAAACCAAATACTGCTAGTGCAATTGGGAAGAACTCCAAGGTAGCAACTGAGTGGAAACCTAGGTTGCAGAGGTACAAATTACTGGGGACAGTGTGTTCCAAGAGGAAACATGTGAAAGGCCCTGAGGTGGGGGAGGGTGCGGTGGTTTGAAAAACCACCAGTGCAGCCCAGAGCAGTGACGCACATCTGTAATCCAGCTACTTGGGAGGCCAAGGCAGGAGGATCACTTGCACCCAGGAGTTTGAGACCAGCCTGGGCAACATTGCAAGACCCCCTCAAAAATTAAAAATTTATTTTATTTTTTAAATTTTAATTTTTAAAATACTGTCTCAAAAAAAATGTAAAAACCACCAGTAAGGAAGCCATACAACCATAAAACAATGAATTTGGGGGACAGAATGGGTGGAGGAAGAAAAAAGGAGTGGCGATCAGAAGGGTTGGCAGAAGCCGGATCATTAGGGCTTGGTTGGTTGCAATAAGGATCTTAGCCTGAATACAAAGGGAAGCTTTGTACAAAGGGATGGGGTGGGGTGGGGGAAGACAGGAGTGAAAAAGTGCAGGGTAGCACTACCTCACTTCTGTTTTCCCAGAGATAATCGTACCACCGCCAGAAGAAATATGTGTACAGGAGGCAACAATGAAAGTAAGGAAAGCAGAAGGCTGTCAGAAAGTCCAGGCCAAAGAGAACAGGGGTAAAAGGCTTGGGTCAAGGCAGGTGTCCCACAGATAAGACAGACGGGTAGATGATATGGGGTGGGAAGAATATCAGCAAACGAAGAAAACATGAGTCCTTGTTCCTGCTACATCCAAACCTTGCCCAGTAATGAACTGGAAATCCCTGATCATAAGCAGTCAGGAGGGACATGTCAGGAGCTTCCTCTCCTCTTGAGAATCAAGAGCTCGTCTCCACTGTAGCCTCAAAGGTTAAAGGGCTGCAAGTGCTTGCCAGAAACCAGGCACTGTCAGGGCCGAGAAGGAGAAGTGGAAATCTGATTAAACAAACTACATATGTGGCTGGTTTGCAAGCGCTAAGTAAAACCAGGAGTGGCAGCTACTAAAATGTCAGCCTCCAAGGACCCATTGTAGTGTTCCTATGTGTGAAGGCCAGTGAGGAGAGCAGAGGTGGACACTGAGCTGAGACAGCGAGGACGGCTGTGGCTGCAATGTGGATTTAAAGAAAGCTAACTGGATTCCCCACCTGGCAGCATTTGTAGCCAATTCAAAACACAAGATTGTCAGGCCTCTGAGCCCAAGCTAAGCCATCATATCCCCAGTGTCCTGCACGTGTACATCCAGATGGCCTGAAGCAATTGAAGATCCACAAAAGAAGTGAAAATAGCCTTAACTGATGACATTCCACCATTGTGATTTGTTTCTGCCCTACCCTAACTGATCAATGTACTTTGTAATCTCCCCCACCCTTAAGAAGGTTCTTTATAATCTCCCCCATGCTTAAGAAGGTTCTTTGTAGTTCTCCCCACCCTTGAGAATGTACTTTGTAAGATCCAACCCCTTCCCTCAAAACATTGCTCTTAACTCCACCACCTATCCCAAAACCTGTAAGAACTAATGATAATCCACAACCCTTTGCTGACTCTCTTTTCGGACTCAGCCTGCCTGCACCCAGGTGAAATAAACAGCCATGTTGCTCACACAAAGACTGTTTGGTGGTCTCTTCAGACAGACACATGAGACAAAGATATTTACTGAATAATGTGCTATAACACATCAGATTCTGACTTCTTGGTTATGTATTGTTTAGTATTACAATAATTTAAGCCAGTGTCAAAATGATTAACAGAATACATACAGGTTAAGCATCCCAAATTCAAAAATTTGAAAACCAAACTTGAATAAAATCCAGAACTTTCTGAGTGGGGACGTAATGCTCAGAGAAACTGCTCATTGGAGCATTTCGGACTTTCAGATTTTCAGATTTGGGATGCTCATCTGGTAAGAAAAATGCAAACATTTCAAAATCCAAAAAAATCCAGACTCTGAAATACTTCTGGTCCCAAGCATTTGCATTAAGGGATACTCAACCTGTACTACATTACTTTAAGGGTCAGCAAATTTTGGCCCTCAGGCCAAGGATTCTTGTTTTCTTCATTTTTTGACAGTCTCTCCTCCCCATCCCATACCCTCTGTCTTATCTGCCCTTACCCCAGTCATCTTTGGCCCGGACTTCCTGACAGCCTTCTGCTTTCCTTACTTTCATTCTTGCCTCTGGCTGATGACCTGCTTTTGTTCAGCCTGTGAACTAAGAATGGCTTTTACATTTTTAAAGATTGTTAAAAAACAAAAAAACAAAAAAACACACAAAGACTATGTGAGAGACAGTACATGCCATCCACAAACCCTAAAATATAGACTATTTGGCCCTTTACGGAAAAAGCTTAGCAACTCTTGCTTTAAATATGCAAAGTACCTATCTATAAACACTCCTTTTGGGCACCTTTAATTAATATTTGTCTGCCAAACTAAAATAGATGGTGCTCTAAAGCTTTATTTGTAGATTATTTATTTGGAACTCAGAATTTATGTTCCCATTGAAATGATTATTTCAATATGTCTAAATAACATACAGGCAGTAAAACACAGTGGTGAGGGCTCTGTGTGATGCATCAGGACTCTAAAAGCAGCATGACCTTGGGCAAGTTACTTAACCTAGATTCTTCATCTGTAAAAATGGAGATAGTAATAAAACCTACCTCATAGGATATGAATTAAATAAAATAATTCCTTGGTACAGTGCCAGGCACTTACCACTAACATCATTATTCTCCTAGGCTGGTCCACTAACATCTGTCTACATATTACTCAAAATACCTAGAGTACTGTATATTTAAAATGTAAACAACCCAAACAGAAAACAACATTGTTGCAAAACGAAATAAAACTTTATTTCTACTGAATCCTAATGCCTAGCTAAATGACAAACATCCAGCTAGTGAACTGGTAGTTCTCACCTGCATAACTACCCCAATTCCAACCCGAGATATGCCTAAGTCCCAAGACAAAGTGAAGTGAAGGAGCACACCACCCTCCTGCCTGTACCCAGCAACTCTGCAGCCCCAGCAACGACATTCCCTCCTGAGGATGACAATTCTCGGCAGCTCCCCACTCAGAAACAGGAGGGAAAACCCTCGCTTTGGTAAGAGAATAGAGCAGTCAGAGAAAAAAGCTAAAAGGTTTGGCAACAGAGTGAAACACCACAAAAGTGAAAAAAACAGAACACAAAGGGGACAAGGCGGCCATCACGGTGCAGAGGTCAGGAGTAAAGTCTCTGGTGGCAGTTAGCCACTGAGATTTAGTGGAAAAGAACATCTAATGGCAACCATGACCACAGCTGACAGGAAAAGCACAAGGGAGGGAAAGGAGGCAGGCCCACCTAGCTGGCCAGCCAGCAACCAGGACGCACAAAGAGCAGATGGCAGCACAACCAGCAACTCAGTTACCAGGACTCCAGGGCACTGTGCGGAACAAGAATCCGGGCAGCTCAGGGAACATTTATTCTTCTGCAAATGGGGGGAAAAGTAACGTAAAAAGAAAACTAACATTTACTAGGCACCTACCATGCCAGCCACTGTACTTTAATTTACATATGAAGAGATATTTAAATCCTATTTACTCTTTAAAACAAGGCAGATGTTATTAGTTCCACTTAACAGATGAGGAAATAGCAGTTTAGTTTATCTCCCTACGCTACCCATCAATCAGTGCCACATCTGAGATGTCACTTCTATCCAACTCCAAGCCCAAGTTCTTTGCACTATCCAGAATGTCTCTCCAGAAGAGGGAAGGGCATTCTCGGAGCTGCCCCTTGGACAGGGCTGGGTTTTAAAAGCAAATGGGGACACACCTTTCTTTCTCCCTAACCTGCCTGTGAAGCTCTTCCAATGCTTCCATGTGAGTGATTACAGACCAGGAAGGGATCCCATCACATCCACAGAGAGCATAGGAAGTGGCCATTGAGAACCTGGCTGCACCGTTTCCTTCAGGTCACCAAGTTTGCCTTTACATAAATGAGTTTGCCTAAAGTATGCCTGTCACACTGCTACAGTCTTGCACAGAACAGAACACTGAATGAGAAATGTGCTCTCAACATATGGCCCAGGGCTCGGTAATGTTCACATCGACACTCTTACTTCCATAGGAATGAATGTACTTACATGGCAGGCTTACCAACTTCTGCTCCATAGAACAGAACTGAACACATCTCACAATTTTTCTTTCAATAAGTCTGTTTCCCCACTAGACTGAATTCTCTGAGGCCTGGACCATGTACTACCAGCATCTAGCAAATGGCTCTGCCTCTGCCCAAATTTTTCTCAGTCTGAACTGAAATATCTTCCCTTCTCTCTTATACATGTACTTAACCATGAAGCTTCTGCACAGAAGTCACTTCTTATAAGAAGTCTTCCCTGAATGCCAAGACTGGACAAAGGTAACCTACTAGCCATTTCTATACCCATATATACTGACCCTTTTACAGTCAAAATATCTGTAGATGCCCGTTTAATGTTCATATTCCTGACCAGAATTTAAACTCCATGAAGACAGAGGTTCACGAGAACATGATGGCTGTTGCTGTAGCCATCTCTCGCATAGCGTGTAATCCTGAACACATAAAAGCCATTCAAACACCTGCTGAATGAGCAGCAGCAGGAAGGTGCTCAGCGTAGGCAGACGGAGTCACTTCTTTTACAGCCTTACCCTAAAAATAATCACTTTAAAACGATCAGCACAAAAACTAGAAATCTAATTACCTAATCCAAGTGATCCAATTTTATCACTGATCAATTTCAGATCTTTCAAAACTGTATTTCCCCTTTTACCTGTGAACAGGAGAAAATATTAACATTAGAGTGACTTAGAATATAACAGTCTCTAAACCACATCAATTTTTGTCGTTGTTCAATATGGGGCTTCTTTATGACAGGAGCATAATAACCTAAAACTAAGGAAAAAATAAACTGTGATTAATGAACGCTTAAGCTATGCATCACAACCCTTTTTTTGAGACGGAGTCTCATCACTGTCACTCAGGCTGGAGTGCAATGGCGCGGTCTCAGCTCACTGCAACCTCTGCCTTCTGGGTTCAAGCGATTCTCCCGCCTCAGCCTCCCGAGTAGCTGGGACTACAGGCATGTGCTACCACACCCAGCTAATTTTTGTATTTTTAGTAGAGACAGGGTTTCCCTATGTTGGATAGGCTGGTCTCGAACTCCTGACCTCGTGATCCACCCACCTCGGCCTCCCAAAGTGCTGGTATTACAGGCGTGAGCCACTGCACCCAGCTACATCCCTTTTTAAACCATAAACAATACTACTTTATTGGAACACAACCACCAAAAACCATTTTTTGCCTCATTATAAGACATCACTTTCCATAAACAGCCCTGTTAGGTATGAATTCATAGACTGTTAATTATTTTCATGAGTCTTATTTTTCCTTTGAATTTCTAAATTTTTCTTCAGTGCAACTGCTATTTCACTTACTAAAGTGACATCCTCACTGGTTTTTTAGTCCTTTGTTCTCAACGTCCTCTCTAAATGATCATTCTCTAATCAATGTCAGAATGACATGTTCATGATGTCCTGGATTCCTTTCTTAAAGGTGGCAGTAACCACGGGAAAGAAGCAAATGGGAAGGGATGCGGACATTATAAATACATGGCTGGTTTAAGAGAAGCAACAGGCCGGCTCTCTTATGTGCCCTAGGAAGTCCCACAGTATATCAAGCAATACAAAAAGATTCGGAAATACTGGACAATTATGCAAAACGCATACTGCAAATTCTTAGTGAATCTACTTTAGGAAACTTTCTCAAAAGAGGTACACGTGCTCTGAAACACTACGCTAATTAAATACAACATTTACTATGATACGGTTTCCAAAGGACCTCTGCCCATCCTACATGTTCAGGGCTATGCTTTTTAAATTCCTATCACTGTGTGTGGGGAGAGGTGGGAAAGTAACTGGTGCCAGAGCTAGACTATTCCATGTGTAACCAGTGCTCTTTAGCTCTGCTGCATTTACGATGACATGTCAGGTCACTGTTCTTGAAAATGATCTGCAGAATAATTTTTTATTTAACATTTTATGATACTTACTGTGGTATCACCAAATTTTTAAAAATTAATTGAAAGCAAATCCAACTCAAGTCATTGTAAATGTCCAAAAAAGGAGAGATGATTTAAAAATTTTATTTCTATAGATAATAAAAATCAGCTAAAAAGTCAACTTCCCAAAAGTATTCCGATGGTATATAGGTATAGGAAGGGCCAGAATACAAAACAACATATAAAATAGGACCACCTTAGAAGTAACAAAACACAACAAAATATTAACAGGAAATATCTCTGAGTGATAAAATGATAGGTTATTTTAGTGATTTTCCTGGGAAAAAAAATCAACAATAATCACATAGTATTTAATTAGAGAAAAAATATCCCGAGTATTGAAGTCCACATCTTTGGGCACTTACTCTCAGAGTCTTTTAAAGAAGGGGCTCCCGCCAGGGAGCTGAGTCCACTTTTTAAGGGGGGTGCATCCGAGAGCGAGGCCAGACTTCCTGCTTGCTTCCTAGGTTCCTTCCTCCTAACAAGAAACAAGGACAGTTAATCGGTGCTCTTATGTTCTGCCACTAAACACTTTTATTCTGCCACAGAAACAAAAGCAACTTAAAGATATTTTATACGTGTGGTGGCTGGAAATCAAGAATATACACTTTAAAGATTCAAAACCATAAAGTACACCAAGGGAGTGCAAACTACAGATCAACCACAATCGGCACAGCCAGGGCGTAAGAAATCAGCTCACCTCTCTTTAGAATTCTGTTTGATATAAACTAAATTGACCTCTTCACTGTGATTTTTTTCGGAAGCCCTTTTCCATTACCCAGACATGCAGCCAAGGGACAATACAGGAGTTTACTAGCAAATAAGTGCCACCTCTCAGATTTAATATTGCTTACAGAAGCCACTAACAGCCATGCTGATGAACTCCCCTTAAAGTCATGACCACTAACCTCAAGGGGACCTTTAAAACTGCCCAACAACCCTCCGGGTTTCCACAGTGCCTTCTCGCCTTACTTTCTTATAGAAAGATTTCATGCTTTCTCCACTCTCCTCTTATCTCCAACCTCCGTCCTCCATCCTCACTCAACTATGAACTCAGGTGACAGCTTGCACAGGTGCCACCATCATATCCACCCCCTGCCTACAATGAGACCCACACGCTCTCCACTTTTCCAGCAAACACAAGCCCCTGCATGGGATTCCACTGCTGCGCAGCCCTCCAGTTCTCCTCTCACTCCCTTACATCATTAATTCTTCCATCTTTAAAGCTGAACAGCTCTCGTCAGCATACATGCTGTTATTTCTCCCACCTAAACACGTTTTTCAGCCCTAAATCCTGCCCCTCCAGCCACCACCCTGCTCCTCTGCACACTTTTACAACTCATCAGAAAACTATTTTTCATCTACAATCCTTTCCTGTCTGTCTTGAATGCACTCTAATTCTCTAACCTGCCTCGCACCCCCATTCCAACAAAACTGTGTCAAGGTCATCACTGACCTCCAGATGGCTAAATCCAACGGCATCATACAGCTACTCCTCCCTACCGCCACCTCCACAGACACCACTCTCCTGGTTCCATCTCCTCTGCTGCTTCTAGCTCCCTGCTCTGGCCTCAAGGTGCGCAGGACCTGCTTCCTTGGTGATCCTCTGTAGTCTCCCACACCCCACATTATCTACAAACTGATGACTCCTAATTTACATCTCCAGCTCAGACCTCTCCATCAATCCCAACGCATACACTCAATAGCCTACTTTGGATTTCCACTAGCAATCTTCTCTAACTTAGCACAGCAACAGGGGCCTCCAGGCTGTCATGCCACCTGTCTGTGTAATCCACTCTTGCTCTTGCCACTCTTCATCTAACGTGTTTCCAACCTTCTAGTTTTGCAGGCTAAAAACCATGATGCCACTCTGTATATTACTTTTCTCTAGCACTTACTGGCAAATCCTTTTCCATCATTAACGGCCTCCTAACTGGAAACTCTAAGACCAACCTTCCCCAGCAACCTCAGGATCCTTCTGTAATGTACGCCAGATCAAGATCCTCAGGGCTTCCAGTCTCAAAGAAAAGCCGTCCAGCTCCTCATCTCTGAGTCCACCTCATCCGATCCCCATCTTGCTCTCTCTGCTACCCCCAACTCGCCTCCCTGCTGTCTGTTTCCTCTCCCCAAAGCTCCATCAACCCACGGCAACTCCCTTACCTCCTCTAGCTCTTTGCTCACTGGGCACCTCCAAGTGAGGCCCCCTCCAATTTGGACAGCTGACATGCACCTGCCCTGACCACACACTCGGGCTCCCATCACTGCTCTGCTCTCATCACCCCACACACTGCAGCATAACCCTCATTGCCTGACTCTGTCACCAGAGCATGAGCTTCCTGAGGGCAGGAGTCTTCCCTCTTCTATCATTGCTGCACCCCACCCTGGAACAGCCCTGGCAAGTGGCTGACACTCAATCTACACTTACTTGTTGGAATAAATCATGTCTAGGTTTTTCTAAAATCTGGGATTGTTTTACAACATGAAAGGCATTAACAACGCATAGTCAGATTTATGGATCCAATAATTATAAACCTTCCATAGTTCATTATTTTTTAACTATAAAATGAAAACATTTATCTTATTTTTAAACCCCTAGTCTCATAGCTCAAAAACCATTTACTCACAAACCGTAAGTTTTCTCTGGCTTAGGAATGGGATCATCAAAGAAAGAATCTCCTTCCATATCATCTTCATCTGGACAAAGGCCAGCTTTGTCTTTGCCATCTAAAGTTCTGTTGCTTAGAAAAGATCCAATTTTTGTTTCATGGGACAGTAAGTGAAGGCTGCTTTTGCTCTTGGGTTCTGACAAGGAGACACTTGTATCACTCTGATTGGCCTCATCATTGGCCTTCTAGAAAGAGAGGGAAAGAGAAAAGGCCTCCTTGGTGAGATAAAACTTTAAGATATTTTCAATAATAAAAGAAGTCTCATGAGCATAATCAAACCTGTGTGTGTGCAACCTTTGTGTGTGTGTGTGTGTGTGTGTGTGTGTGTGTGTGTTGGGGCAGCTCTCAGCAGCGTGAACTGCAGAGCAATGCCACAATTCATCACTCCATCCCCAGGATTCCTAACATGGCAAACTTTCAAAGGGGGAAAAATATTAGAGAAATATATTAATACCATTCCTTTCCTCTTTCCCTAAATGGAAATACCTTTAGTATACCTATCCCATTTATAAACACTTTCCCATTGAGAAACAATTTCCCATCTCCTCTTCCATATGTCATTGCTTCATAAGTTATCTTAAATTAATACATTTTCAACTTGAAATCAGGAGAGATCATTATTATTAAAGGAGAAAAGAAAGATTATTTCATATGAATGAACCAAGCATTAAAGTAGTCATCAGTAAAAATAGCAATTTTCTATCCAGTGCTAAACACAACAGGCATCAAGGTGAAAGGCGCTGCCTTCAACCACTCATATTTCTAACATAAACCTTTGCTAATCAAAGTAATTATCTCAATTCTAACTTCCAGGGTAACTTCCTAACCTATACCTCATTTTGATGTCCATGGACATATATACGTGTGTGTGTGTGTGTATTTCTCTATGTATATTAACATCAATGTTATAAAAAAATTCTGAATCATCCTTATCCATGCCCTTGGATACAGAGTGATGTTACCACTTTTCTTTTTTGTTTTCAGGGAGTCCTAACCTTCACAGCCGACTTTCACTCCATTCTTGGTCAGATTTCTTTCTGCCCTTAGACGGGTCTATGTTAATAATAATAATGAAAACAAAAAATAATGCTAGTAATAATAAAAGCAGCTGACATTTATGGAGAACATTCAAATGCTTCACCTTATCTCACTGAATCTTGAAAATGGCCCTAGGATCTGGAGATGGCTTTCTATCTGTGGATATAAATCAGGAAACACAGAGACAGACATTGATGTCACTTGTCAAAGTCTCCAGAGAGTTAAGTGGTCAGGTCAATATCAAAGTCAAAGCCTGCTTCCAGAGGTTAACTCAATATTTATGCTATTAAGCTAAATTATAATGAATTTGTGGGCTTTATGGGTTAAAAATGGCAATTTCCCAAAATTCAGCCTTGCATACTAAAGAGAGCAGTATTGTGTAAAATACCCGTGGAATAATAGAAAAAGCACTCAACTGAAACAAGGAATCTGGAATGTAGTCCAAAATTATTAACTCCATTTTTTTTTCTTTTTTTTTTTTTTCTTTTTTAAGAAACAGGCTCTCACTATGTCATCCAGGCTGGTCTTAAAACTCCTGGGCTCAAGCAGTCCTCCTTGCCTCAGTCTCCCAAGTAGCTGGGTTTATGGGATTACAAGCACAAACTACACCCAGTCGTATAATCTTTTTTTTTTTTTTTTTTTTTTTTGAGACAGAGTCTCGCTCTGTCACTCAGGCTGGAGTGCAGTGGGGCAATCTGGGCTAACTGCAACCTCCGCCTCCCAGATTCAAGCGATTCTCCTGCCTCAGCCTCCTGAGTAGCTGGGATTTCAGGCGCGTGCCACCACGCTTGGCTAATTTTTGTATTTTTAGTAGAAACAGGGTTTCAACATGTTGGCCACGCTGGTCTCGAACTTCTGACCTCAAGTGATCCACCCGCCTCGGCCTCCCAAAGTGCTGGGATTACAGGCGTGAGCCGTGAGCCACCATACATGGCCCGTGTAATCTTAAGTAAATTAATTTCCTAGGCATGAGTTTCCTCAAGAATTGAACTAGATTCATATTTTTCAGATCAAATTATATCTAGGAAGGGATGGATGGCTGAGAAAGAATTAAAGAGTAGTAACTACTGAAGCATGGTGACCAAAGTCTGGGTTAGACATTACCGAACAAGACGCTCCTGAAGGATGGTTTCACTTTTCATATGGGTACAGACAGAATGCATTATGCATGTCTTATGATATACGTTTACATCTTTACACCAGGTAGAGGTCTTGACTAGTTGACAGTAGGCAAGATATATGCTGTGCAAATTTTATTGCCTTCTAGAGAGCTACACATTCCATGTTATTAATATAAATTAATGATTATAAAGAGATGTCTGAAAAAATAAATAGCAAGTTATAATTTTAGACAACATATTTTCAAAGGGATGGAAACTTTCAAAAATTTCCTAACAACTTTCTTGACATTTTCCTGGTATTATCAAATATAGAAAAATATTATGTAATTCACAGCAGTTGTAATTTCTGATTTTTACACTGTTTTAATAATGGATTTATGTCTTTTTAAAAGAATATGCATTTGGAAATAAATACCCTGATGTGATATTTAAACATATGTACAATGACACAGCCTGTGGCCACGACAGATTCTCTCCTTCTAAACACTCATGAGAAAGTGCCAAAGAATAACTGGCATGACAGAAACTGAAAAATGTAAATGTAAAGCAATATTATGAGAAACAATAATTATTCTGATTTCCCCAAGAATTCACACTGCCAATGTAACTTAAATCCACATAATGAACTATCTAGTATCAAAGCTGAGCAACTAGTAGGTATCCATGATTATTTGACAGGTTTGACCAATATTCCCGCTATAGACAGAAAGACCAGTTTTAGGAAGACAAGTTTTACGGAGAAGGGCATTACTATATTACACAACACATACTTGTAAACATAACAGAATTATTTTAAAAATATAGTTCTCTTAATCCAGGGAGTAAAAATAAATTCTGAAACAATCTGCTTTGGAACTGCTCTCAAAATCTAGTTCTAAACCACACAGTAACATGTTACTACTTTATAACTATGGCTCATTTTTGCCAAAAGACCATTACCAACTAGGTTATTAATGAATTCACTAAACTTAATTCCAAATAAACTTCACTATTAAAAAAATCTACAGGAAGAGGAGAAAGATTTGTCATCAACACATTTTGCAGATTAAAACCAAAGCACTGAAAACGCTGAGAGCAGTTTCAGTGGCTCCTCCATGTACACAGCAGGTGTACCCGTGTGCACAGCAGGTGTACGCGTGTGCACAGCAGGTGTATGTGTGTGCACAGCAGGTGTATGCGTGTGCACAGCAGGTGTATGCATGTGCACAGATGCTCAACCCACAACAGCGCTTCACCTCATCAACCGTCAAGTGAAAATATCACAAAGTGGAAAACGGGCACTTCATAAACATGAGGTGCAAAAACACAATATCCAAAAAATGCTGGCTATTCAGTCCCCTGGCATCAGAGTGCCTCGTGACCATGTGGCTGACTGGAAGCCGTGGCTCAACGTCACTGCCTGGCCCCGAGAGAGAATCGTACCACCGATTACTGTCCTGGGAAAAGATCAAAACTCAACGTATGCTATCTACTTAATCTATATCACTTTTGTACCATCATAAAGTCAAAAAAGCATAAATCAAACTGTTGTAACATTGGGGACCATCTGTATACGTATGTATACCCGGGAATCTGCTTTAAAAACCCTTATCATGAGTTAAGACGAACTTATGTTACGTACATAAACTTCAGTTACTTGGGTTTTGTATCACCTGGATTTGGCTAAGTTGAAGATTCAAAATGAAGCTAAATAACTAAGGTTAAGTATTGTTTAAAAACTAACAAATAAGATTTAAAAAATATAAGGCCAGGCACAGTGGCTCACACCTGTAATCCCAGCACTTTGGGAGGCCGAGGCAGGCGGATCATGAGGTCAGGAGATCCGAAACCATCCTGGCCAACATAGTGGAACCCCGTCTCTACTAAAAATACAAAAATTAGCTGGGTGTGGTGGCACGTGCCTGTAATCCCAGCTACTCAGGAGGCTGGGGCAGGAGAATCGCTTGAACCAGGAAGTTGGAGGTTGCAGTGAGCTGTAATCGCCGCCACTGCACTCCAGCCTGGTGACAGAGCGAGAATCCGTCTCAAAAAAAAATACACACACACACACATACCATGGCAATGCCTTAGAATTCATTCTCTGGACAAGCACAAAAGTTATGGGTCAAACTGTATCCCACAAATGAAATATGTTGAAACCCCTAACTCCCAGTACTTCAGAGTGTGACCTTATTTGGAAACAGTGTCCACTGCAGATGTATTTAGTTAAGATGAGTCCATTCAAAGAGTAGGGTGGGCCTGGGTCCTAACCTAATGAGTGGTATCCTTGCTGGGGGGAAGAGACACAGAGAAACACAGGGAGAAGTCCATGTGAAGATGGAGGCAAAGACTGGAGTAATCCATCTACAAGCCAAACAGCATCTGGGTCTAGCAGCCACCAGAAGCTAGAACAGGAGCCACAGCCCTCCGCGAACCTTGATTTCACATTTTTAAGCCTCTAGAACTGTGACACAACACATGTGTTGTTTTAAGCCACCCAATATTGGTACTTATATTACATTAGCCCTAGGAAACAAATCAAGTCATTTATAACAAAAAACTAAAACAAGTTTTGTCTTTTCATAAAAGTGAGGGACCTATTGCACAGCACTACAACGGTCATTAAGTTCTCTTGGCTGGAGCTCAAGACTAATAATAAGCTCTATGGGAAATTATAGTGCAGCCATAAGAAAGCTTTAGTATATATTTAAATTATCCAATAGTACACTCATATAATAAAGAAGCCAATCATTTCTAGATTAACAAAAAGTCAGCACTAGAGAAGTTTCACAATGAGAAACCTTAATTTTTCAGTAGTCAAAAACTGAATTGTATCAGACTGACTTAAGAACCTGAAAAAAAAAAAAAAGAATTTTTTTCCAAACTGTTCATGTAGGAAAAATATCAAAGAAATACTATTGTTTTGCAAAAGTATTCAAAAAATTCATGCAATACAGTTGTCCCTCAGTACCCAGGACACCTGCAGACACCAAAGTCCGAGGATGCTCAAGTCCCTCGTATAAAATGCTGTAGTATTTGCACATAGCCTACACACATCCTCCCATATGCTTTGAATCATCTCTAGATTACTTGTAATACCTAATAAATGTAATGCTATGTAGACAGTTGTATACCATTATTTTAAAATTTGTATCATTATTGGCCAGGCGCGGTGGCTCACACCTGTAATCCCAGCACTTTGGGAGCCCAAGGCAGGTGGATCACGAGGTCAGGAGATCAAGACCATCCTAGCTAACACAGTGAAACCCCGTCTCTACTAAAAATACAAAAAATTAGCCGGGCTTGGTGGTGGGCGCCTGTAATCCCAGCTACTCAGGAGGCTGAGGCAGGAGCCTCCCGTGAACCCGGGAGGCGGAGCTTGCAGTGAGCCGAGATCGTGCCACTGCACTCCAGCCTGGGCGACAGAGAGAGACTCCATCTCAAAAAAATAAAAAAAAAAAAAAATAAATAAATAATAAATAAAATTTGTATTATTATTTTTTATAACCATTTTTCCATTTACATACGACTGAATCTGCAGGTGTGAAAGCAATGCATATGAAACCTCCAGATATGAGGCTGACTGTATTTAAAATTCTCTTCACCCATGCCTCTGCCCCCCACCTCTCTCCCTGCCAACGACAGTTTCTGATCCATGACTTACTAATGAATTATTTAGAGAAGTAATTTTACTACAGGGCTAAGTGTGGGAACATTCATGCATCCATGTATCCATTCATTCAGGATGGTGTGAGAGTGTGACAGGGAATGGTAACGCCTGGTTTGGAAAATCCTCAGGTGACTGCCAAAGATACAAAAACATATGCCCCAAAACCTACACGTAATGTGAAAAAGCATCTCAATACATGTTAGTTTTAAAATACCTGAAAACTGGGCCAGGCACGGTGGCTCATGCCTGTAATCCCAGCACTTTGGGAGGCCGAGGCAGGAGGATCACTTGAGCCCCACAGTTGAGGATCAGAATGGACAACCATAGTGAGACCCCTGCCTCTACATGAAAACATTTTTTAAAAAATTAGCCAGCTGTGCTGGCATGCACCTGTTGTCCTAGCTACCCAAGAGGCTGAAGTGGGCACTTGACCCCAGGAGGACAAGTGGTGTGAGCCATGATCACACCACTGCACTCCAGCCTAGGTGACAGAGTGAGACCTTGTCTCTAAAAAGAAACAGACACCTGAAAACTATTTGTAAGAAGAAAGGATGATCTTTCATATTACATTTAATATAATGATAAAGAGCAACTAATTCTAAATATTAAAAACAAAAAAATATAGATCTTACTCAACATTTCCAACTAAATGGTAAAAACCTAAGCTAGTAGGGCCTATCAAAAGTCTGTTATAATTTTCTGATACTTTTTTTTTTTTCCAAACAATTAGGATGTTTGGTACAACGAAATGGAATACAATGAGATAAATTATCACAGATGATACTTTGGAAGTCAGCAAGTATTAATATATATTTCAAAATTATTAATTCATTTTTAAAATGCCCTCTCATTTCATATTTATACTCCTTGTATACCAAATCTTTTATCTTTAATCTTTATTTTATTTTTATCTTTATTGTCTCTTAGCAACAACAAAAATAAGAACTTCAGTTTTGCCCAAGTTACATCAGTTCAAAAACCCTACAAATCAATTCTAACTATACATATGAATGTTTTTTTAAGTTTATTTATAATATGAATATAGCTTCCCTGAAGAAAGTGCCAAGGGTCTCTGAGTGAGCCACTAGTACTTGTCGCCTCCTGCATTCGAAAGCAACCGGACACATGCGACACTCCTGATCAGTGCTCCAGAGCTCCGGGAGCAGCGGTACCCTAGGCCCTCCTGCATCGCATGCCCAGTTCACGTCTGCAGGACAGGCAGGGCTCCCATGATGGCTTTGCATACCTTGGGAGATGCCACTCACCTACCATGCGGATGGCTCCATCTGGAGTCTTGCTGTGTACAACCTCAACCACCACATGCAACATAGCATCTGGATGATGAAGATGTTGAGAATGTTAAGGCTGTTGGGAACTCACTGCATGCACAAGGCAAAGCAGAAAGGCAGGGGAACAAAGAGCTAAGGGCTTACCCATATAAGTAAGGCTGGCAATAGGCCACATGGGGTACAATACAGACTTCTCACAAGGCAGTTCAGAAACAAGATCAGAAATGTACAGGGAAAAAGGTTTCCAAGTAATTGAGGAAGCATCCTGGCCTCAGGAACACAACAATGAAATAGAAGAGACCCAAATTATGGACTAAATCCTGGGATATGGGCCCACCTAGATTCTTCAATCCCCTCTCAAGTCAGGGCACACACTACACTCTGCCCAAAGTACCGCGAAAGCTAAAGTCTGGGCCCATCACAGTTATTTCACATCACACAAAGTGAAAACCACATCTCTTAGGATGCCTTGGCTCTATGTATAAACTTCTTGAAAATGTTTAAGTTGTTTGAAACCCACAATAGCAGTAAGATTATAAAAGCTTAATACTATAAAATATGCTTTTAAATTTTAGAAAAGCCCAAGAAACTGATTTTTAAAATCTATTAAGAAGTTTTATATCTTACTTAAGGTATGTCTCATCTCTCCAATTAAACTATAAACTCCTTAAGTGAGAACTGTGTTAAATGTGTTGCCCAAAGCATTAACACACAATAACTTTCACTATGTAAATGTTAAAAAAAACTTACTAAATCATTATTTTAAAGCAACTTCTTGTTTAATAACGCATAAAGAACAGTGTGAACAGAAAGAGAATACAGTAATAGGAATTTACCTTTGAAACTCCTAGAACTAAAGCCATCTAACACAACAGGTGGAATTTTTAAAAAGCTTTAAGTTTGAAGATTTTCAACCTAGTGAAAAAATCTATACATAACCAAAGTTCAGCATAGGACTAATGAATCTCACAGAACTGAAAATTAAATATTTTGTCTTATCCTAAGTACATGTAAAAACTGTACTGATAATGTTTCTAAAACTTCTAATATTTAAATTTCATAAGCAGCTAATCTACTGGATTAGTCAATTTTTGTGATCTTTAGGAGAGGATGAAAAAGCAGCCAAGGCCTTGGTAGTATGCAGCACTGGCCCCCAGCAGTCTACTGTGAGCAGGGGCACTGAATAAAGGATCACAAATGTGCAATTGTCTGAAAAATGACAGAACACAAAAACATCTTGGAGGAAATACGTTTAATTTTTAATTTATCAATAGGTACGTATTCAAAAAAATAGTTTGATGTTCTATTTTCCTCAAATAAAAATCACAATGTTACTAATATGTATATAATCATCCATTCAAAAGAAAAATACGTATTTTCAACTCTAATTGCCAACACAACAGGAATTTTCAAAGTAAAACTGAGAGCATGGTTTTAAGATTCAACAGTATGATTTTCACCTGGATAAAAACTGACAGTGAAATTTACTTTTTATTTCATGCCATCGTTACTTTTTTGTTTTTTTAGACAGAGTCTCACTCTGTCACCCATGCTGGAGTGCAATGGCACGATTTCAGCTCACTGCAACCTCCGCTTCCCGGGTTAAAGCGATTCTCCTGCCTCAGCCTCCCAAGTAGCTGGGATTACAGGCGCACACCACCACGGCCGGCTAATTTTTGTATTTTAGTAGAGGCGGGGTTTCACCATGTTGGCCAGGATGGTCTCGAACTCCTGACCTCAAGTGATCCGCCCGCCTTGGACTCCCAAAGTGCTGGGATTACAGGCGTGAGCCACCTAGCCCAGCCTCAAGTGACATTTCATAAGAAAACTGAGAACCCAATCTGACAGGAGCCCAGCGCTCCAGGAGGCCCCAGAGTCGAGACCTGATGCCCACAGGCTGCTTTTCTCCTCTGCCCTCATGCATGTTACCTTGTCACCAGCCTTCTGCCCGCTTGTCTTCTTCTTACCTTGTCCTTTATACCTTGGTATCTGAGCATGAGAATAAAATGAGATTTTACCACAAAATAGAAATCTTTAAAAAATAAACTAACTCATTACCAAACAAAGATACCTACTGAAAAATGTCTCAGAAGTGGAACATCTAGTTAATATGTTCTGTGAGGCCTGCTTTTTTTGGTCCTTTCTTAACTATTCCTAGAGTGATCTACCTCATGTTTACTGTTTCCAATAGTTACTAGGTCAAACACAGATACCTTAGCCTCCACCTGCTCAGCTTCTACTGGGTGGAGAATCAGCTCTTTCATGCTACATTTTAGCAGCATTCTAAATAAGCCTCACTTGAGTTCCTAGGCAACTTCCTTGAAGACTTGTCCTGACCTCATCTGACCTTTCTCAGGAGCACACAAAGCTGGTTCCTAAAGGTTGGGTGGACCCTACTCTTGGAGAGTTTCTAGCATTCTCCGTGGGCCCTCAAGGCTGATTTGGTAGGAGGTAGCTAGCAAGAAGACGGTAGGGAAAGTACTGGATCCCAAATCCAGGTCCTTTAGTACTAGAGAAATTGCATTTTAAGTGCCAAAATAAGGGTTTATTTTAGAACAGATGCAACCCTACACAAGGACTATCTAGGGTATTTCTGAAGTGGGTTTATGAGGCCAACTGAGAAACGGAGACTAAACTAGAATAACGGGATGACGGCAGAGACAGCTGTTAGGACAAACGCTATTCTCTAAAGCAGCCTCAGGACAGTCCCCCCTTCTCTGGAAAAACTCACAGCATCATTTCCTGACTGACTTAAAACATTGAGATTCTCATTATAATTCTTAGATCTTAAAATGTATGTAGGGAGAATAAGAGTACGTAAAATAGACTTTAATATTTTACCCTGAAGACATACATTATATATAGGTTAGGATTGCTAATTTGCTTTAAAAACAGTAATAATTTGCTAAAAAGAGCTTCCAAATAGTCAAATGCTATAGGTACTGATAAGTATTTTGGAATATTCATTAATTTTAATTTTTCTAAAGCCAGGTATTTTCATGAAAAGTAAAGCTTACTTACATAGGCTGTTTTATTTGCAATTAATTTAAAGAAATTTTAAAAATTTACTCATGACCTTACTCTATCACTGGGGTTATAGCCTCCTATGAGTATTTAGGAAAAAAAAAATTTTAAAAAAAGGCCTTCCCTACACCAACTAGAAATCTCAGAAGGAGCAACTATAAACAATACAATAGTTGTTTCTTTGGTTAGAAATGAAGTATAAAATTCCTTAGTTTTCCAAACTTAAACAATAAAAAGGAGCAACAACATCAAAGAACAAGCAAAAAATAACAGCAATCGTTCAGCAATGTTCTGTGCCTAGACATTTAAAAAAGAAAGGTATCGTGTAGTATAATCACTACGTCCTGGAAGTTCATCTATTTAAAAAGATGCAACTGTATCTGAGAGTCGATCCACCACCATAAACCCACATGGGACCTCATCTTTTGGAATGGACTCCACAGCATCACTCTATTCCTATGGGATGAAAATCAAAGGGACAGTCAAAGAATACAAACCCGACCTGTCATGGACTGCAGGTTTGTGTAGTCCACAAACCCCCAGCTCCTATGTTGAAATCCTAACCCTCAATGTGATGGTATCAGAAGGTGGAGCCTTTGCGGGGTGAGCAGATCATGCGGGTGAAGGCTTTGTGAATGGGATTAGGGCCCTGACCCCAGAGAGCTCTCTCACCCTCTTTCCACCACGTGAGGACACAATGAGAAGGCAGCTCTCTGCAACCTAGAAGAGGGACCTCACCAGACCTAACCACAGTGATGCCGTGATCTTGGACTTCCAGCCTCCAGAACTGTGAGGAAAAATGTGTTGTTTGTAAGCTGCCCAATCTATGGTACTTGGCAGCCTGAACAGACTAAGACAGACCCCAACCTATCCTTTGGTAAGACCGCCTGGGACTACCAATTCATGCTGTGCTCTTGAGAAAACAAATTTCCTGACAATCATCTTTCTATCCATTCCTACATATCCTGGATCTTAAATTCAAAGTGTAGAGCTCATTTTTTTTCCCATTATGCTTAATCTCTGAAATCAAGTCTTACCTTTAACAACTCATAAACACACAAACAGACGCACACATGCATACACACACAAATGTAACCAAAGTACATACATTTTCTTAGAAATTGTATCAAAACAGCCCAGGTATATTAAAAACCATCATGATTTACAATTCTGAATCTCATCACCCATCTAGAAGTCTAAAATATTCATTCAATATTATATCCTATAATACATATTTCTAGCTTAATATTCTCAAGCTAGGAATTTATAAATGAAAAGTAAGTAAATCTCCTTGTTAATAGGAGAAAATGTCCGAAGTACCAAATAAATCCAAATATTCTATGATTCTGTTACTTACCAGCACATTCCTTTCTACAATACAAATGTCAAACAACTACCAACAAAGCAAAACTTTTTTTTTAATGTATACTTAATGGAAAAAAAGCACCTTCAAGAAACTAAAGAGCCCATGTGTTTATATAAAACAATACAACTTGTAACAAGAAAGACTAGAGAGAGAAAAGCAGAGCACTCTGGAGTTAAGTCCAGACATGACTTCCGTGTTCCACAGCTAACTCACCTTACTTGGTGTTGTCTGTGCACTTGTTTTTCCCTCTGGTGACTTTGGTGGAGAATGTACATCAGATAGATCAAGTGCACCCTAAAATATTTTAGTTTAAAATTAAAATACATTTAAAAATAAAACACAAATATACCAATTACACTCCAATAGAATTTTAGCATTTAAAAACACTATACAATGTTGGTATTTTATTTCTTATTAAAGTAACCATCCTTTTTAGATTTTCCTCTAATTTTACCCCCTCAAAAACCTTCTACACATCCCTAGATTCTAATTACCTGCAAAATATTTCATTTATTCACTTTGAACAGGATACTGTCTTTCTCCACTGAAATCTGTCCCAGGTCTACCATTCCAGGATTTACTTCCTCACTTCCCTTCTCCCTACTCTCCAGACAAATAATATCCTGTAATTCTCTAAGATCTACTTTTTGCCCTCCTTGAATTTGTTTCCCTACTTCATTTTATCTCAAGAAAAAATACCAAATAACAACTTTCATTAAAAATACTTTACCCCTTCAAATAGTAGTTCACTCTCCCAGTTTTCTACTTTCACACATTTTTTTTCCAAAATGGTAAGTACCTGTTCTAGCCCAACTTCCACAGGAGTCATCTGTGTCTGCTGCCCAGTGCCCTGTCACCACAGGGTTCTGAGCACTGTGGTTAATGCCAAGGAGGAGGTTTTTAAAATGTTTCTTAAATGAAAATCACTTCCTACAATTCATCCACTACCAGCACAAGCTCTAGGACACTGTACATAGTAAATACTGGCTGTTTGTTACAAAAATCCCTTTATGACTGACTGTAACTTTTTAAATACGAAAATGTGCTGTTCTTCATAACTTCAGTTCTCCCTCTTCAGTCCCACTATTTCTGTTGGTGATATTATCTTCTAGGCTAAAATCCTTAAACTGGCCTTTGAGAGCTTTTCTTTTCTCTTATTGCCTTCTGTGACCTTGCCCCATGCCAAAATATTAGTTTACCAAGTCTTGTTGATTCTCAAAAGGTCATCTTTATCTATTCATTTCTTTCTTTCTTTTATTTTTCTTTTTTTTGAAACAGGGTCTCACTCTGTTACCCAGGCTGGAGTGCAGTGGTGCGATCTCGGCTCACTGCAATCTCCGCCTCCCAGATTCAAGTGATCCTCCCACCTCAGCCTCTCAAGTAGCTGGGATTATAGGAATGCACCACCGCACCCAACTAACTTTTTTTTTTTTTTTTTTTTGAGACGGAGTTTCATTCTTGTTGTCCAGGTTAGAGTGCAATGGCGAGATCTTGGCTTACTGCAACCTCCGACTGCCGGGTTCAAGCGATTCTCTTGCCTCAACCTCCCGAGTACCACGCCCAGCTAATTCCTTGTATTTTTTTTTTTTTTTTTTTTTTTTTTTTTTGAGACAGAGTCTCGCTCTGTGGAGTGCAGAGGCGCAATCTTGGCTCACCACAACCTCCACCTCCCGGGTTCAAGCAATTCTCCTGCCTCGCCCTCCCGAGTAGCTGGGACTACAGGTGCACACCACCATGCCCAGCTAATTTTTGTGGTTTTAGTAGACAGAGGGTTTCACTATGTTGGCCAGGCTGGTCTCAAATGATCCGCCCGCCTCAGCCTCCCAATGTGGGATTACAGGTTTGAGCCACCGCACCTGGCCAATTTTTTGTATTTTGGTAGAGATGGAGTTCCACCATGTTGGCCAGGCTGGTCTCGTACTCCTGACCTCAGGTGATCCACCCGCCTTGGCCTCCCAAAGCGCTGGGATTACAGGCATGAGCCACCGCGCCCAACATTAATTTTTATATTTTTAATAGAGACGGGGTTTCACTAGGTTGGCCAGGCTGGTCTCAAACTCCTGGCCTCAAGTGATCCGCCTGCCTCGGCCTCCCAAAGTGCTGGAATTACAGGTGTGAGCCACCATGTCTAGCCTGTATGTCCACTTATTTCTATTCTTACTGCTACCATTCTTGTCTAGATTTGCCTTCTTATGTGTTTCACTTCTTTCTAGTCTGCTAACTTCTCCATATTTTACCAATCTAACCTCCACAAATCTTCTAAATGGGTATTCCTCTTCAAATTTTCAAAGGCTTCCACTGACTGTGAACAGTATGTTAAAAATCACTATGCCAGCTGGGCACGGTGGTTCACACCTGTAATCCCAGCAATTTGGGAGGCCAAGGCGGGTGGATCACGAGGTCAGAGATTGAGACCATCCTGGCTAACACGGTGAAACCCCGTCTCTACTAAAAATAAAAAAATAAAAAAAATTAGCCGGGTGTGGTGGTGGCTGCCTGTAGTCCCAGCTACTCGGGAGGCTGAGGCAGAAGAATGTCGTGAACCTGGGAGGTGGAGCTTGCAGCAGTGAGTTGAGATCTTGCCGCTGCACTCCAGCCTGGGCAACAGAGCAAGACTCCGTCTCAAAAAAAAACAAAAAAAAATCACAATGCCTTAGACTGTGTAAGAGATATGAAGATAAAGCCCTTGTCCTCAGTAAATTTCCATGTGTAACCAGTGCAGATCACTACTACAACTTTGACAGAAGGAGGCACTAAGTTACATGCAGTTTCCAGTAAGGAGAGAGGAAGAACAAGAGTTGCAGCTGAGGAGAAAACCTGACTGACAAAATTCCACAGCTGGGGAAGGGGAAAGAGTATAATTCCAAGTGGAGGATAGAATAACGAAATAAGAGAAGGCGAAAAAACACAAGCCACTTTCAAGTAGTAAGTCCAAAGTTCAATCTGACTTAAGTACAAGGTTCCACATTAAAAAAAAAAAAAACACATAAGGCTAGAAAGACAGGTTAAGGCCACATCACACAGAACATTTCATAAGGGCTGAAGAATCTGGGACTCCTGAGTCGGCAGTGCAGTCACTACAATCGTACAGAAGAAAGGAACAGAGGAAGGGCTGAAGTTTAAAAATAATTCTGCAACAGTGAATGACAGACTGAAAGCATGAGAACCTTTAGGAAGAAATGATCCTGGACAGATATAAGGACCTACATGGTAGAGGTGCTGAAGGAGATGAAAATGATCCATTGAGGGGCTCAGAAAACAAGAAAGGGCTTTAATTATCTACGGCTTGGGAGCATCCAATAAAACCAAACAAAAGTCAGGTTAAAGCGGGTGGGGCACAGCAACCTGATTCTTGAGGTGGTTAAAATGCAGTTTTGGTAAAAAGCATCAGTAATTTAGTTCAGTGAGCTTAACCTATAGCTAGTTTTCTACAGTCAAAGTCAAAAGCTAATAAAAGCTCTAATTTTTTATTTCATTATAAACAACAGGTTTTCTTCCAAAGTAATAGAAAACACTAATAAATAATGAAGGGCCAAAACATACATCTTTGAGGTCTCTATTTTAAATATTTTATCTATTTGTTTATATACATATGCACAAACTATTAAAATTAAATATCCAGATATTAGGAAGGGAAAACTAGCAAAAAATGGAGATGAGATGCCCAACTTACTGGTTCAGCAACTTGGGGGAGTAAAACAACTACCTTTTGAGGATACAGAATTCCTATCCTGGCTCTATTTGACAGAATCACAGCTATGAAAAAGTCAGGGCAAACTTCAGGGGAGGCCTCAAATCCACGAGTCAGAATGAAGTACTGAAGAACAGTGATTCTGTGTCCATTTTCACATCACACCCACTACACAGGCATGCTACTGGGTCTCATTTTGAGGTACACTCCTATCTAGCAGAGAACAGAAAGCCCTCCAGCAATTATTCTTTCTTCCACAGCCTGTTACCAAAGCTACGGGGTGCAAGGTGGAGAGTGAATCCTTCCTGACAGAAGAACTGAATCCAGAGCACATGTGAAGAGGTGGCTCCTTGGGATGAAACCAAGGAGTCACAGGAATAGAATCAATCAAAACACAGAAGTGAGCAAGAAGAACTTGAAGAGGGTTATTTGCGGGGAGTAAGGTGGGATTTGCTTTTGTCTTTATGTTTTTACTTTTTAGAGGTAAAGAGAAGAAAGTAAGTTTTTCCACACAGGATTCGAATATACTATTGGGTTATCCAGGGAGGTATGTTTTGTGAAGAGCTGGAAATTCTAGTCTGGAGCTAGGATAAAGGACTGAGCTGAGCTTAGGCAGACTACACTGAACTTAAAGAGTCATCCATACAATAACAAGAAACAGTAATACTAACACAGTCGTCCCTCAGTATCCACAGGGGACTGGTTGTAGGACTCTCCTGTGGACACCAAAATCCAAGGATGCTCAAGTCTCTTATGTGAAATGACATATTTGCATATAACTTATGTACTTCAAATCGTGTCTAACTTATATCTAATACAATGTAAATGCTATATAAATAGTTTTCTACTATATTTGCATTCTTTTGTTGTATTTTATCCAAATATTTTCTTTTTTTCTTTTTTTTGAGATGGAGTCTCGCTCTGTCGCCAGGCTGGAGTGCGGTGGCACGACCTCGCCTCACTGCCACCGCCACCTACTGGGTTCAAGTGATTCTGCCTCAGCCTCCCAAGTAGCTGGGACTACAGGCACACACCACCGCGCCCAGCTAATTTTTCTATTTTTAGTAGAGATGGGGTTTCACCATGTTGGCCAGGATGGTCTCCATCTCTTGACTTCATGATTCGCCCACCTCGGCCTCCCAAAGTGCTGGGATTACAGGCATGAGCTACCGCGCTCAGCCTATCCGAATATTTTCAATTCGCAGTTAATTGAATCCACTGATGCCTACTACAGTAACACACAGAGTCCTCCGTGCCAAGCACTGTGCTCAAAGCTTCACACATCTTGCTTCCTCAGACCCCCTCCAGACCTGTAGGCGCGATACTTCTGTGATCTCCATGTTGCAGATAAGGAACCTGGGCACACGGAGGCTGAGTGACTGCAGGCTCACAGAGCTAGAATGTAGCAGAGCTGGGGTTTCACCCAAGTAACCTGGTTCCAGAGTCCATGCTAGTGGTATGTTAAGGAAGAAAGATCAATCTAGACAGAAAAATATGCATAAACACCACTGCAATGAGGTGAGCCAAAGCACAACTACTAAACAGAAAAGAAAATGAAAGGGCAGTTAGAAAGAGAAGAGAGTTCTTCAGGGCCACAGAAGCCGAGAGGGGAAAGCCAATAAAGAGAGGTCATCATGACCTACAGACTGCTGGCCCCAGGAGACTGGGTTCTTTAGTTTGTTTTTGATTGCCCAGTACCCAGCACAGTATCTATCAAATAAGCGCACAATAAAAGCTTGCTGGATATTGATAAATGAAGGAATGAAATTATATGCACAAGCTGAAGTGACAACCTGCGCTCTGGGTGAGCCGCCTCACTCCCAGCCAGCCTGGGATCTGGCTATGCTCTCCTGCTCCCACGCTTGGCTGGCACCGTTCCAACTTCTCGGAAAGCCCTTCCCAATCCTCGCCCCACAACTGACATCCTACTCTCACTTTAAAATTGACTTCAATAAAATTTTGGCATGTGACAATCGCTTCCTCCTCTAAACTATTCATAATATGGTTGGAAATAATGTGTTAAATGACAATTCCTCCATAATCTTAAACTGTTATTTAAATGTTAATTTCCTTATTTGAGCACATTTTATCTTAAATAGCTCTGCGCTATTCAGAGACACAGAAGTTTCTTATATTTTATCTTATAGTACCCACAAAGTCTATTTACCATGCCTTACACATAATTAGTACTCAGGCAAGCTTTATCAATTTTCAAAAATTCTAATAGAAAACATCCTCTGAGACTCACCAAAGAAAATAACTGGAAACCTATACAGCCCTCCACATTCTTACCTATAAATTTCTGACTAAAAGCTCACATTTAATCAAATATCTGGAACAGTTACAGATGTTACCTGTATCTATAAAACAGAGTATCTTCATGTAAAATTAATGTATGAAAATAAAATTATATCATTAATCTCATTAGCACAATTTCTAAAAAAAGGTTAAGAGTATGAAAAGTACTACTGATCAAAAAAGTGTAAGTTTGAACTGTTTCTAAACAGCGTAAAGCAAAATCAACAGCTTAGTTTTAAGCCTAAAGAGGCCTTTAAGTCCAAAAATTTATTAACTATCCTATAAATCAGCCCTTTTATATTTAAATAAGATGTTTTAATAAAAATAATAGCAAGTTGAGTGCTTCTGTTGGCTTATGCAGAGAAGCCTCAGAACACCAAGGTAGGGCCTGGTAGAGCCCACTTCATACACAGTATGGAATGAATGGAGGATCAAGTGAGGCAACGAGGAGTTGGGATTTGTTCCAGACAGTTTAGCTCATGACCCAACACTCTTGAGGATCAAAAACCAGAACAGATATGCCACAGAATCACAGTCAGCACATTCCTAATTTTCATTAAAATTTGCATTGATACAATCTGAATGCATCTCATTTTGTTTTTAAGGAATATCTTCTAGTATGAAAACCTTAATTTACTATATATGCACTAATCTGCATGGCTAAACTAAGCAGCCAATAATTAAAATAGAAAAAGATAACACAGAATTCTACTTACTTCCCCAGTGGTTGGCCCTTTTTCTTTCTGTTGACAGCGCCTGATCACTTCTAATAATAAGGGTCCACCCACAGTACCTTCTGCTTCAATTATACCTAAATCTCGGGCTAAATTCTCTCGACCTTCGAGACCTTGCAGCTAGAAAAGAAGTTAAAATACAAGTGCACAAAAAAATAGCAGAAGTTATTCTCAAGGAGTAAAGAAGATATTTTCAGAGTTTAAAGACATCTTTAAACTCAAAGAGACTGTCTTACTAATGAATGAAATGTCTATTTTAAAAAATTATGCCTATTTCTTTTACAGAGCCTCTACCTTCAACGTTTCCATTAACAGGTGCACTCTAACATCGTATCAAAATTAACTCTATAGTAACACTTTTATTAGCAAGCTTTCAAGTAACACAAAGCAGCAACACTGGTGCCAGCTATCTGAAAGCTCATATGGCTTTTAAGAAAAACAGATAATCAACTACCAAAAATAATCTAAATGTAAAAAACTATCAGTTGTCAAATTCTATTAACTTTCAGCTTAATATTAACTCATTTGTATCAAAGGTTTCAAAAGATAGATGTAAAAATCATTATTCTTACTGTGCTAGTTTCAGGTTGAAAAACAGCCAAAGTAAAGTCAAGGTTAAAAAACTGAAGAAATTCTGCAACAAGACTAGCCACTAAACGACCTATAAAGATCAAGAAAAAGGTAAGTAAGCAAATCTTCAAAAACTGAATTTTTTAAATTAACATTATGAAATAGATACACTAAATTAATGGAAGAAAGGTTTCTAAATTTTTTAAGTTACAAATTTCCTCTTTGAATAATATGATTAAGTAATGAAAATCTCAATCTCCTGATTTTTTCACTGGGATCATCAGTCTGTAACTAACTGTAAGACAATCATCTCATAGATTTCAGTGTTTCGCTTTTTAATGGTTAATATTGGCTTTTTGTAGTAAAACTGGCTTTAAGCAACAACATCCCAAATCCAAAAATATGTAATAGCAACACGATTGTTGTACAATAAAATATTATTTTAAAATGAGGACCTATAACAATTGAAGACAAAAAAAAAGCCCTGAAATTCCTGATTTCTCCCAAATGGTATCAAGATTCAAAAATTCAGAGATAGATAAACAAGAACAAACTGAACATCTTACCGTCTTTGGTATTTAAAAACTTTTTCAGGCTCTCATTAACTAAAGGAGTTTTGTTCTGTTAAAAAAAAAAAAATTTAAGTGTCATGTGTTTACCCTAAAAACAACTACAAAATATAAAGTTTAACGTTTTCATTGATAAAATTATGGTTTTACAAAATCCATTCTACAACTGTTAATTACTACAGGACTTACTTTGTGCTATTTAGTAATTTCTCAAAGTTAATATAACAAAACCATATATGAAGATTTGTATTTTTAATTTTTAAATGTTTTATAAACTGCTTTTGAAGCTAGATATTTTCAAATACCTGTGTGAAATACAATTAAATGTCAACAACTGTTTATTATTTCAAATACATGAAGTTTGATAAAAGTTTTGTCATCTCAGGTATCTACCATTTATAGCATACTTACTATGAACAGGAATTTAATTATACACTTGTAATTCCCAGTTTATCCATGAAATGTGAGATGATCTTATGCGGCCCATAGGCCAACTTATTTTTGTAATTATACATTTATTTGAATAAGTATGGAAAAAATACTTCTAGACCATCAAGCCTGTGATTGTTGCTGAGAAGAGGCTACAGTAGGTAGCACATGGTAAGCTTCCTTAAGACCACATTAATTGCTGCTACAGTGGCAGCCTCATACACTGCTGATGGGAATGCAAAATGGCATAACGAGTTTGGACAGCAATTTGGTAGTGTTTCTTAAAAGTCACAAATATTCCTAGCATGTGACCTAGTCACTTCACCTCTACATATTTTCTCAAGAGAAATCACAGATCCAAGCAAAGACTTGTATGTGACTGTTCACAGAAACCTTATTTGTAATACTCAAAAACTGGAAACAGCCTAAATGTCTGTCAGCAGGTAATGGCTAAACTGTCATATCTGTACAATGTATTAATGAAATGATTTATTAATACATACCACAACATGAATGAATTTCAAATGCATTATGTTGAAGAAACAGACCAAAAAAAAAGAGTACCTACTATACGATTCCATTTATATAATTCTTAAAAAGGTTTGGGGTGGGGGAGAGGGTTACATAAGGGGCACAAGGAAAACTTTTGAAGGTCAAAAGTTTGAAGGATATGCGCAGTACCTTGATTGTGATGATCATTTCACAGCTGCATAAATTAACTATTAAAAATCAAATTGTACATATTAAATACTTTAGCTTTACTATAGGTCAATTTTACCTCAATAAAGTTGTTAAAATAAAAGACAAGGAGAGGAGAGATCCTCAAGGTAGTTGGTAGGCTGGTTCAGGGAATTCTAAGATAGGGAGTCAACTGAAATATTTTAAGAGAATGGAGGGACAGATCAGATGTGTACTATAAACAGCCAATCTAGGAGCAATGTGGAAAAAGGACTTCAGGGAGATGGTGAGGGACACCACGGAAACGGAGACTGGCAAGTAGGAAGGGGATAAGGCAATCTGGAAAAGAAGAAACAAGCACAAAGGAGGCAGCAGAGCACTCCCTTGGGGACACTTCAGATACACACCTGACAGACACAGAGCCAGGTGATGGCTGAGCAGGTGGAAAGAAGAGCAAGGCCTAAGAAACGCTTAGATTTCTTGCCAGATAAATGATGGTCCCATTAAGGGCATAATACAGTGGGCAGTTTAACATACAGGTCTGAAGCTCGGGAAAGAAACATGCATGAAAGTTACAGGGCTGGAGTTACTGGATGAATAAGGTCAGTCTGTGAGACAGTACAGAATGACAACTGTGGATAAGTCTCAGTCAGGTGTACAGGAAAAAGATCATGCTAAAGAAACCAAGGAGTGGTCAAAACCAGGTTGTGAAGGAAAAAAACCACAGCGGTATTAAAAGCAGAATGTGAGTAAAGGAAAACAGTTTACTCCTAATAGTTATTTAAACATGTTTTCAAGCTCAAAAGAAAAGCCATCAGAAAAGGAAGGGGTCAAAGATACAGTAAATAATTAAAGACTTGAAAGTATACACAAGACAGAGTGATTATTCTTGGACAGGACAGAGCCTCTTCTTCTAAAGCAGTAAGGAAAGAGGTACAGATAAACATAGACACAGGTAAGCATTTTCACAGGTGAGCAATAGATTGAGGGACAGGAGAGGAGGACATAAAGTTAGGATCTAATGGCTTCTACCTTCCCTGTGGAGGAAGCAACAAGACCATGTGTTCAGAGAGAAGGAAGCAGGGGTGACATAGAAGGCTACTGCACAGCTAGGGTGAAGAAGAGAGCTGCTGGGCCTGCTCAGGACCTAACCAGGTTGGTACCTGCCAATTTGCAACATCAGCAATCCACAGGATTGACTGACTCTTCTCCAAGAGCACATATGTGCAAAGTGGGAAGAGTTAGTTTGCTGGGTTAAATGACCACTGAGATTTCTTCCAGACCACGTATGACCGTTAAGGCAAGGTAATTAGGGGTCCAGACCCATAGGGTCCAGAGCAAAATGCTGCCAAGAGAAGACTGATGCCTGCACAGACATGGAAAGGGCAAAGAACTGAAGATTTTGATGAAATTAGAGATTAGGTATACAGGTCTAAAGAAGTGAGAGGACAGTAGACTGATTTGTCATACAGCAAGAGTTTAAGGCTTTGATGATGGTTCTATTCTTGTTGACAAATTCCAGAATATTTACTCAGGATGGTTGGTGGGACTCCGAAAAAGTTAAATTACCCACTTAAATATAGAGTAGTGGCTGCACTTTTAAAATAATCGCTGTCTTTTTCATTGTCAAAATAATTGAGTGGTCAGATAATTTTGGGAAAAGTTGCATACTATATACCCCGTTTCATAGGGATTAATAACATATTAGCTTACTAAAGGATCTGAGTGAACCTGCACTTAACACATTGACAATGGCACCATTTCTTCAAGAAACTCCTATGACCATTTGTTTCAGATTAAGCATTAGTATCAGAGTTACTGTGGTACCTTAAGATTACCCCCAAATTCAAAAGCTACACGAAAAAAGAATAATTTTGGCTCTCTCTCAATAGTAATGTAATCCTTAACAGTTCAAAATTATCCCTAGCTATATGTTACTATAAACTATTTTTAAGACGGTTTTTAATGAATAAGAAATTAAGTATTAACGAATACAGCCATGTTAAAATCTGGAAACTTCATACCTCTACTTTTTCTTGCTCCTCTAGTGCTAAAAACACAGCTGCTCGGAGTTCAGCCTTAAAAAAAAGTTAAGAAACAGGAAATTATAATTTCAAGACAATTTTCACAACAAGCTCACATTTATCCAGCAACAAACACGAGCAAGCCAACGAGCTGGGAGGGCAGGTGCAAAGGTCAGAAACGCCTTCCGAAACGTTCTCAGTCACACAAGCTCTCCGACCCCCAGGCTTCGGCTGGACGCGCTGCTTTCCCGCCGCGGATCATGCCCGAGCCTGAGGAAGAGACGCTGGGGCCGCACTCCAGGGCCCAGCTGCGGGCCGCCCGTGTGGCCCCCAAGCCCCGCGGTCCCGCCCCCACGGAATGAGGCAGGGGATGGGCCAGGCACCCCCAGTCCGCGGTGCCCTCCGGGACCACACGAACGAACGAGCCGACCCCCTCTGTGGGGCGGGCAGGACGGAGGCCATGCCGGGGCGCGCCCCCAGTGCCCGCCGGCCCCGGTCCCTCGCCAGGGAGGCGGCCTCCTCGCCGCGACCGTTGTGACGCCCGCTGTCCACGCAAGCCCTGCGGATCCGCCAGGCCCGGCCCCAGCCTCCGGCCTCACCTTGATGCGGTTCAGGACCCCGCTGTTCTCCAGCGTCTGCACCAGCAGGTCCCGCAGCTCCGTGTCCTCCTCGGCCACCACTGCGGCCGCCGTCGCCGCCATCTTGCTTCTCCAAGACAACCGCCGAAGCCGCGCTAACGGCCAACGGCCGCAGCAGGGTACGCTCCGCGCGCGGGCTACGCGGCCGACGCAGCCAAAGCCCCGCCCCGACGCGCAGCGCGCTGGCCCTGCCCCCTGGCGTCGGGAGGCGGGGCATAGAGACCTCGGGGTTGACGCTGGACACCGAGCCTTGGGGAGCGCCGGACCACTGAGCGCCGAAACTTAGGGTCGGCGCTGGGGGCGGGGCTGCGGGGCGCGGGTGGGCACGCAAGGGGCGGGGCGTCGGCGGGGCCTCCAGCCGGCAACCCGTTGGCTGCCGTCGCCTGAGGCGCGAGCTTTGAAGCCGGCGAGCGGTGAGGAGGAGGCGCCCTCGCGTGTGGAGAGCGGACTCCGCCTGGACTCCACCGCCCACGGCCGCATCCCATCGCCGCACAAGATCGCCGGAGTCATATTATCGACGTAGTTAAAGCCCACTAGCCTAAAGCCGGGCGGACTGCGGTAAGGAGGCCCCGAGACCGAACCTGCAGCCCCTGCAGCCCCGGGGGGGCGCCGGGGAAGGGACTC
The DNA here is from genome assembly GCF_000001405.40 of Homo sapiens. Taxonomy (NCBI): domain Eukaryota; kingdom Metazoa; phylum Chordata; class Mammalia; order Primates; family Hominidae; genus Homo; species Homo sapiens. The sequence goes on along the minus strand of NC_000006.12, from coordinate 166,998,851 downwards.
CCGAGAGGTCGCGAGGGGCGGAAGGCCCTGCAGGTTGTCACCCGGAAATAACGTTCTGAGGCCCCCCAGCCAGGCGAACGCACCCTGCTCGGCCACGGCCTCCGAGGCTAACCGGAAAGGTGCCAGGCCGAGGTGCAGGGGCGGGATGGCCCCAGGAAGAGCCGAGGGCCGAGGAGGGCGTTGGGTGGGCTCCGCGCTGCCCGAACTGGGGCCGCAGTCTCCACTCCCTCCTGCCCCGCGGCCCTCCGCCGACAGCCAGGCGCCGGCGGGGAGTCCTGGACCCCTCCCGGGCCCTGGAAGCCCCGTCCCGCCGGAGCTGACGCGCCCTCTTGGTATCCATCCGGCCGCCTGGGCTGCCCCTCGCCCCTCGCCTTGGCAAAACCAGCCCCCGGACCGAGCCCTGCCTTGGAGAGTGTGGGTGCGCAAGGCCAGCCGAGCTGTCGGTTCCGGGGTTTCGGGGTGCGCCACTGTATGGCGGCGTAAGCCGAGAAGTGTCCGAGGCCGGGCTCCAGCAGTTGAGAGGCTGATTTGGCCACGGTGAAGGACGCGCCCGGAGGAAGGAAACGGGAATCCGAAACGGGCGGTGGCCGCGCCTTTCCCGAGGCCGGCGTCGAGGGCTTCAGCGCCTCAGGGTGGGCGGGAGGGGAAGGTCGTGCGACCCGCGTGGCCGGCGGAAAGGAGCAGCGGGAGCCGCGGCCGTAGGGAAGCCACGGGAAGACGGGCGGCTGCGCTGCGATGCGCGGCCCTCTCCCTGAAGCCCTCGGCTCAGGCGCCACAGGAAAGGCTCCTTCGGGCAGGCCTCAGCTTTCAGCTTAAGTTTTTTTCCTTTGGCCGAGTCAACTGCGGTGCCGAGTTGTATTTTCCTTTCAGAGGTGTGTCCGAGAACCATTCTTAGGAGACGCCTGCCGGCCGCTTTGGGATAGGGCCTGTCTGCCCATGCTGGCTTCCAAAGGCCTCTGTGTGTTCCTGTATGTGGGCGTGCACGTACCTGTCACATGTGTACGCGCAGACCACAGGATGTCCACACTGGCTTCCAAACACATCTCTGTGTTTCTGTCTGTGAGTGTGTACGCAGGTGTCAAATGTGTACGCACAGATCACAGGGTGTCCACACTGGCTTCCAAACACGTCTCTGGGTTCCTTTATGTGCGTGTGTATGCACTTGTCATGTGTACACACAGATCACAGGGCATCCACACTGGCTTCCAAACATGTCTCTGTGTTTCTGTCTGTGGGTATGTACACACATATCACATGTGGAAGAGGTAGGAAGAGGCTGGAACAGGTAAGGGTCATGAAGGTGCAGTGCACTATTGTACTGTTTGCGCTTTATATGTGTTTGGTTAGTTTTGCAAGAACATGCTGGTGAAGGAGAGAGAACCCCAAACAATTGATTAGCAGTGCTACTGAAACTCAGATATACACAGGAATGGCAAAGAAACATCTATGAAAAAAAGCAGATTCTGGAACTCCATCTCCCTGAGATTGTCACTCATGGGGTCTGCAGGAAGTTTCAGGAATCTGCATTTTCTTCTAATAAACGTGGTCCACAGGTTATAAGTTGAGATACAAATAGAATATATAAAGTAAAAAAGGAAAATTTGAAGTTTCCTGCCTAGCCCAACTCTTCTCATTGGTAGTGTCTGTTAAATTGGAAACATATCTCTTTCCAGACATATTAATACCTTTTATACAGTTGACTCTTGAACAACATTAGTTTGAACTGCGTGAGTACACTTATATGTGGATTTTTTTCAGTAAATGGAATATTTTTGGCGATGGCAACAATTTTGTGAAAAACCTCACAGATGAGTCGCTTAGCCAAGAAATATGGAAAAAAAAAGAAAAGAAAAAGCTAGATATGTCATGAATGCATAAAATATATGTAGATACTAGGCCATTTTATTATTTACTATCATAAAATATATACAAGCCTGTTATAAAAAGTTAAAATTTATCAAAACTTACACGTACAAACAGACAGTTACATGGCACCCATTAGGTTCAAGAGAGGTGTAAACAGTTGTAAAGATGCAATATTAAATAATAACTGCATCAAATTCACTGTAGTACATAGAGTACTACTGTAATGATTTTGTAGCCACCTCCTGTTGCTATTGCAGTGAGCGTCAGTGTTGCTGGTATTGGCTAAAAATTCCAAGTAACATAATCATCTCTGAGTGAGCAGTTGATCTCTCCAGTACATTGCATATCACAGTAAAAGGTAAGCTCTTGAGGTTCTCACATATTTCTCGTTGTGTTCACTGCAGTACTGTAAACCTTGCGTAACACCATGGGACCATTACGAAGTGCCGCTAGTGGTGCTGGAAATGCTCCCAAGAATCAGAGAAAAGTTAATGACATTACAGAAAAAGCGGAATTGCTTGCTGTGTATTGTAGATTGAGGTCTGCAGCTAAGGTCGCCTGCCATTTTAAGATAAATGAATCCAGTATAAGGACTGTGGTATAAAAACAAAAGGAAGTTTATGAAGCCATCGCTGCAGCTACACCAACAAGCATGAAAACCTTGCACTTTTTGGGAAATACCTTTTTATCTCATATTGCAAATGCAGCTTTTTGTGGGTGCAGGATTGCTATGAGAAAGGCATACCTATATAATCTAATATTCAAGAAAAAGTGAAGTCATTATCTGACAAAGCAAAAGGAAGATGAAGGAAGGTATGATAATTTTAAAAAGTGGGTTGGCTTTCAAAAAATGTCAAGATAACAGGAGAAGCAGCTTCTGCTGACCCAGATGCAGCCGACGAGTTCCCAGATACCATTAAGGAAATTATTGAGGACAAAAGGCCAGGCTTTGTGGCTCATGCCTGTAATCCCAGCACTTTGGAAGGCTGAGGTGGGTGGATTGCTTGAAGCCAGGAGTTCGAGACCAGCCTGGCCAACATGGCAAAACCCTGTCTCTTCTAAAAATACAAAATTTAGCCAGGTGTGGTGGTGCACATCTATAATCCCAGCTACTGAGGAGGCTAAGGCATGAGAATCGCTTGAACCCAGGAGGCAGAGGTTACAGTGAGATTGCACCACTGCACTCCAGCCTGGGAGACAGAATGAGACTCTCTCAAAAAAAAATAAATAAAAAATAAAAATAAAAAAAAATAGAGAAAATCACTGAGGAGAAAAGATATCTGCCTGAACAGGTTTTTAAGGCAAACGAAAATGCCCTATTCTGGGGGAAAATAGTGCCACAGAGGATATTTATTAGGAAGAGAAGTGAACATCAGGATCCAAGGCGGGAAGGGATGGGCTAACTGTACTGTTTTGTGCAAATGCAGCCAGATGTATGATCAGGACTGCCCTTATCTATAAAATTGAGCCTTGAAGGGAAAAGAAACACTGCCTGCCACTCTTTTGGTTGTACAGCAAGATGGCTGAGCAGCAACTCTTTTTCTGGATCAGTTATATAAATGCTTTGTTTTTAAAGTCGGGAAGTACCTTGCCAGTAAGGGATTGCCTTTAATGTTCTTTTGATATTGGACAATGCCCCTGGCCACCCAGAACCCCATGAGTTCAATACAAACACATTGAAATGGTCTACATGCGCCTAAACACAACACCTCTAATTCAACCTCTAGATAAGGGAGTCATAAGGACTTTAAGGATCATTACACACAGTACTCTGTGGAAGAGAACCCCAATTGAGAGAATATCATGAACGTCTGAAAGGATTACACCATTGAAGATGCCATTGTTGTTTCAGAAAAAACCATGAAAAGCCATCAAGCCCAAACAAATTCCTGCTGGAGGAACTCCAGATGTTGTGCATCACTTCACAGGATTTATGACAGAGCCAATCAAGGAAATCATGAAAGAGATTGCAGATATGGCAAAAAAGGTTTCAAGATACAAATCTTGGAGAAATTCAAGAGCTAAGAGACACCACACCAGAGGAATTAACAGAAGACCACTTGATGGAGATGACTCCTTCTGAACCCAGTGCCAGACGATGAGGAAGAAGACGAAGCAGTGCCAGAAAACAAATTGACATTAGACAATCTGGCAGAAGGGTTCCACTTATTCAATATGGCTTTTGACTTCTCTTATAACATGGACTTTTCTATGAAACAGGCACTGAATCTAAAGCAAATGGTGGAAGAAGAATTGGTGCTAAATGGAAACATGTTTAGAGAAATGGAAAAGCAAAAAAGTCAGACAAATTATGATGTATCTCCATCAGATTACACTTATTGTGCCTCCCTCTCCTGCCTCCTCTTCCACCTCTTCTACTTCTGCCACCCCTGAGACAGCAAAGCCAACCCCCGCTTCTCAGCCTATTCAAGGTGAAAATTATGAGGACGGAGACATTTATGATGATTCACTTACACTTAATGGAGAGTAAATATATTTTCTCCTCATGATTTCCTTAAAACGTTTTCTTTAGCTTACTTTATTATAAGAATACAGTATATAACATATGTAACATACAAAATTGTCGAGTGCGGTGGCTCACATCTGTAATCCCAACACTTTGGGAGGCTGAGGCAGACGGATCACTTGAGACCAGGGGTTTGAGACCAGCCTGGCCAACATGGCGAAACCCCGTCTCTATTAAAAAGATAAAAATTAGCCAGACATGATGGTGCGTGCCTGTAATCGCACCTACTCGGGAGGCTGAGGCAGGAGAATCTCTTGAACCCAGGAGGCGGAGGTTGCAGTGAGCCGAGATTGCACCACTGCACTCCTTGCCTGGGTGACAGAGCAAGACTCCATCTCAAAAAAAAAAAAGTGTTAATTGTTTATGTTGTTGGTAAGACTTCCGATCAACAGTAGGCTGTTACTACAGTTTTGGGGGATGGAATTTTGACTGTGAGGGTCTGTGCCCCTAACCTCATGTTGCTTAAGGGTCAACTGTACATAGATATGTTACATACACACACATACTTCCTCCCTCTCTGTAATTTGGATCCTATGCCTATTATCTTTTAGTTTACTAACTTGACTTAAGAAGTCCTGATCATTTTTTGATGTTCATGCATACCGTATAGATCCTACCTCATTTGACTCCTACAAAATATTTGTTAAGGGTGTTCTAAAAGTTACTTTTTGTAGTTAAACTACACTTTATTTACATTTGTTTGTTATGGAAATAATGCATAATAATCGTTAAAAATCCAAACAAAAGGGGGGAACATATTAAAAGAAAAGTAAGGGTCTCCCTGCTACTCTACCTACCTACCCACCTACCTTATCTGTTACCATATCCTAGACCCAACTGCAATTAACAATTTCTGGTTTTAGTTCTTCTGGTTCTTTTCATTATAACCTTAAATACTGTACATATACATCTTGACTCACCAGCTGAAAATCCTTCAAAGGGACAAAAACTTATTCTTAACTCCTAATTTAAAAAATTGTATTACTTTTAGTTTTGCTAGAAGCTTTCATGACTTTAGGTTGTTTACCTAAATCATTATTTATAAATTTTACACACTGTATATTGGCTCCCTACTAGGAGAGGTGAGGAATTGGTACATTCTTACTTTCTCGTCTTTTCCCCTCCCCCTCCTAATTTTGTTAGTTTCATTCTCATTTTTAGTCTGTCAAGAATTTGCATTCTTTTTGTAAATAAAATTACAGACATCCCTTGGTATCCATGGGGGATTGGTTCCAGGACCTCTCGTATACACCAAAATCCACATACACTCAAATCCCACAGTTGGCCCTGTGGAACCTGTGGATATGACCATTCGCATCCCAAGAATACTGTATTTTCCACCTATTCTTGGTTTCAGTTGTGGAACCCACTGATATGGAGGGCCAACTGTATATATTGAAAACAATTTGCATATAAGTAGACCCACACTGGTTCAGACCCCTGTTGTTCAGGGTCAGCTCTATATCTTTCCAACTTTGTGCATTGATTGAAAAACCAACAACAGTATGATATTAGGGCTATAACAGATCTGTTAGGCCAAGCCCACATGCCCCTGAACAGAACATTCTGCACATTGGGCCAACTTCCAACTGCCGGCACCTGAAGTTATTTGCATTATCAGCTATCTTTGTCCACCAGAGCCTGCTCTGCCTGCATTTTGGGAAGACCTAAAGTGCCAAGGAATTAACACACCCTGCAAGTATGCTCAATTGAAGGCAATGAATAGAAAAAGACCCCTGACTCCTTCACCCCTGGATTTCAGGGAGGTAAATCCAAGATGTATGCTAAGGAGGTGACACTTAATGTCAGACACACACACCTGTTATGAGAGTTTCCTGATTGAATAAGAAAGAGGCATTCCAGGCAGAAGTACCCGAACATACAAGAGTGCAAGACCAAGAGGCTAAGGCAGATTGCTCTGTGCAAGAAGTGGCAGGTAGTGTGGCGTGGCTGGAGATGAAGAAATGACTGGATTGGGAAGGACTTTATCCACCAATCTAATGAATTTGACTTTCATCTTGAAGGTGTGAAATAGCGTGCTAAACAAGTTTAAAAGCAAAATGTCATTAGCCTATTTGTATTTAGAAAGAGCACTCCAGAAGCAAGGAGGGGATGGGTGAATTGGATGTACTGACACTGGAACAAGGAAATTATTCCAATAGTCCAGGAAAGAAGAAGGACATCAACTAAAATTGCACAAGTGAACATGGAAAAAAGAGGATGCGTCTGAGAAATATAAATATTGGCCGGGGCGGTGGCTCACACCTGTAATCCCAACACTTCGGGAGGGTGAGGTGGGCAGATTGCTTGAACTCAGGAGTTCAAAACCAGCCTGGGTAACATGGCAAAACCCCTCTCTACACAAAATACAAAAATTAGCCAAGCGTGATGGCATGGCCTGTAGTCCCAGTTACTCAGGAGGCTGAGGTGGGAGGATCACTTGAGCCTGGGAGGTTGAGGCTGCAGTGAGCCATGATCTCGCCACTGCACTCCCACCTGGGAGATAGAGTGGGACCCTGTCTAAAAAAAAAAACAAAGAAATATAAATATTGTATTAGGGTTTACCAAAGAAACAGAACCAATACGATATATGTATGTATACGGGTATATATATAAGGAGATTCATATAAGGAACTGACTCACAAGATCACTGAGGCTGGCAAGTCTACAGGATGAGCCAGCAAGCTGGAGACCCAGGAGAACTGATGGCATAGTTCCTGACCAGAGGCTAGCAGGCTTGAAATCCAGGAAGAGTCAGTGTTTCAATCTGAGTCTGAAGGCAAGAAACAAGCTGATGTCCCAGTCAAAAGATCAGAAGGCAGGAGAGATTCTTTCTTACTCAGGGAGGATCAGTTTTTTTGTTTTATTCAGGCTTCTAACTGATTGGATGAGACTCACTCATATGTTAGGGAGGTCAATTTGCTTTACTCAGGCTATCCATTTAAATGTTAATCTCATCCCAAAACACCCTCATACACACACCCAGGATAATGTTTCAGCAAGTATCTGGGCACTCTATGGCCCAGTCAAGTTGACACATAAAATTAATCACAAATATGTTCCAGTAACTTAGTTTTTAAACAACTAGATTCTTATGAGAATAAACTCAGGATAGGATAGGGGAAATGCTTTCTGGCTTTCCACTTGCATATTCTTGGAATGTCACTTTTTCTTAAATGTTAAAAATTGAAGGCCAGGCATGGTGGCTCATGCCTGTAATCCCAGCACTTTGGGAGGCTGAGGTGGGTGGATCACGATGTCAGGAGTTCCAGACCAGCCTGACCATCATGGTGAAACCCCATCTTTACTAAAAATACAAAAAAATAGCTGGGAGTGGTGGCGCGTGCCTATAATCCCAACTACTCAGGAGGCTGAGGCAGGAGAATCACTTGAAACCTGGGAGACGGAGGTTGCAGTGAGCCAAGATCACGCCACCGCACTGCAGCCTGGGCAACAAGAATGAGACTCCATCTCAAAAAAAAAAAAAAAAAATGAAAATGTGTCGTTAATCATCGAGATAGTCTTTCAGTCTGCACTCAGTAATATTAATGCCTTCTCATTGAAGTCATCTATTCTGTTCCCATAAAGATCAGGATAGTTTAGGTAGTGGTGAATAAATAAGGTTCTCAATGGCCTATTAGTTTTTTTAAATGTTCAAAAGATAGTAGCATGTTGGGAAAAGAGATGAATTCCACATTTCTTTTGGTACAGTACAACTTACTGAAATTGCTTTCTTATTTCAACAAGGATTTACCAGGTTGTGTGTAGTGGTTAAAAGCATGGACTTTACAGCCACATTACATGGGTTCAAATCCACTTACTAGTTATGTTAACCACAGGAAGTTAGCTAATGTCTCTCTGCCTCAGTTTTCTGTTTGTAAATTAGGATAAAAATCTCCGTAGATGTGAATATGTATAGCTAGATAGTAGATTGTATTCAAAATCCCAATCATAACATAATAAAAATATTAACTATTATTAGTTGTTTTGAATATACAACCTAATTTCATTTTCTCCATGATCTGAGCATGTTGAGTTATTTTTAAACAACTCCATTTTACAGATGAGACAGTGTTCCAATAAGCTAGGTAGTATGCCCACAGACACACAGCTAGCAGCTGAGATGAACCACCCAAGTCTATTTGGTTTTCAGCTCATGTTCTTTTCATGATATTTTGCTTTCTCTCAATATTTATAGAATTTAATTTAATTGACTAGAATTAAACTAAGAGAAAATGATTGAATGAAGAGATGCAGAAGGCAAGAGATAGCAAAGGTCATTCTGGGCTGGGCATGGTGGCTCACACCTGTAATCCCAGCACTTTGGGAGGCCTAGGCGGGTGGATCATCTGAGGTCGGGAGTTCAAGACCACCCTGGCCAACATGGTGAAACACCCCCGTCTGCTAAAAATACAAAAATTAGCTGGGTGTGGTGGCAGGCGCCTGTAATTGCAGCTACTCGGGAAGCTGAGGCAGGAGAATCGCTTGAACTGGGGAGGTGGAAGTTGCAGTGAGCCGAGATGTGCCATTGCACTCCAGCCTGGGCAGTAAGAGCGAAACTCCGTCTCAAAGCAAAAAAAAGAAAAGCTACCTTTACCAAAGACAGTTAAAATGATGGCCACCAAGGGGCAGTGTGCAGCAGGCAGAGAAGGTGGCTTTTTAAATTATTTTTCACTGCCTGCTGAGACAAAGATGTTACACCAGAATATGCCACCCTAACATATGCTTCTTTGGCATAAGGATTATTTTGAGCTGAAGACGATTGAGAAGAAACAAATAAAAGAAAAACTCTGCCTTCCCTTTCTTTGCCTAAAGGCAGGACATGCTAGTTAATGATCAACCCCTGACCTAATCGGTTATGTTACCTATAGATTACAGACATTTTATAGAAAAAGAAAAACACGGTGAAAATCCCTGTCCTGTTCTGTTCCATTGTAATTACCAGTGCATGCAGCCCCCAATCACATACCCACTGCTTGCTCAATCGATCATGACACTCTCATGTGGACCCCCTTAGAGTTGTAAGCCCTTAAGAGGGAAAGGAATTGCTCACTTGGGGAGCTCGGTTTTTGGAGACGTGAGTCTGCTGATGCTCCCAGCTGAATAAAGCCCTTCCTTCTACAACTCGGTGTCTGAGGGGTTTTGTCTGTGGCTACAAACCTGTCTTTGGCCAGTCTAATTTACAGGACCTCAGCCAGAGAACTAAGATGGGTAGAGGCAATACAGGAGATAGAAATAATTTAGGTAGGTAGATAGGGTGAAAGAGTCCCTGACAAAAGCTTTTCTTCTGACAAAAAACAGCTCAGAAATTACTTCCATTCTAACCACAGGCAGTCCAAATAAATCACTTCTCTTTTAACAAAGAGCAGCCTGGAAGATTGGACTGTATAATGTAGATAAGCATCTCCGGCACAGAGGGAGAGTTTCTTGGGTAGTCACCAAACTTACATAAATGGGTCCCAGTAAAAACAGTAGGCTTTAATGAGCACATTCCTTTCCCCTTTTTTGGACAGGGACACACTAAGGTTAGCTAGAAGCTTGCATGGTGGGGTGGGGGAAATGCCTGCAGCTGCAAGGAGGTACCCAGGACAAGGCATGGAAACTCCCCCTATTCTTGTTAGCACATGCAAGGTGGAAGGAGAAAGGCAGTGTGGAGTCGCCCAAGCTAAGAGCCTGCCTGCATGATAAAAGAATGGGGTAGGGGCTGCCAGAGATTCCACTCTATACAGATGACACACCTGGTCCTAACCAGGTTTTCATGCCCTATGTAGATAAGATACCCGCTCCCTACTAGCTCGTTGATAAAAACCCTCCATTTTACTGCAGCACGGCAACCCGTCTGGGACCTCTCTCTGTGAGAGAGAGCTGTCCTTTTCCTTTTGCCTATTACACTTCTCTAACTTCACCCTTTGTGTGTCTGCATTCTTCATTTCTGTGGCCATGAGACAAAAAACCTCAGCTGATATCCCAGACAACAAGGCTGCTTTAGAGGGAAAACGGATAGCTAATATTATCAGTTAATTGGCTATGTTAATTGATACCTTCAAATTAGGTGTTTTAAAATAAATGCTGAGAACAATATGAAAGTGTTTTTCTTTTACTAATTCTCTGAGGATTTTGTTATTTATTTAGCTTTACAATGCCTAGCCCCCTTTATAAATGTAATTATTGTGTTGCTAAGTGCATGTATACAAAAAATTCATTGGTTCAAAAGCCATAGGCCTGGTACCATAGCCATATATGGTACGTTCAAACCTTGGAAATGCACATTCTCAGTGTGTCGGAAGCTCTGTACTGCTCCTTCTTGAAGAACTACTTTGATTTGTGGTTAACTCGCTGTTTTGACTCACTGTTTTAACTCCCATTACTTCAGTATCTGACATTCAGCCTCAGAATCTGGCCAGTGTATCAGGGCTGGAATTAATTGATTAACACCATTAGATGGCAGTACTATTTAAATTCCAAAAATGGTTATAAACTCATTCTCTAAAATGTGTGTCAAATAGAATATTTGACTGATAATAACTCTAAGAGCACAAAAGGATTAAACACACACACAAGACAAAGTTTGGGATATACCCATTGGAAAAACCCTTGGTCTCTTTAAATTTTTTTTCATATGTATGTATATTGCACATATTGCCGGCCTCTTTATCTCTTTTTTCCTTTTTTTTTTTTTTTTTTTTGAGAAGGAGTCTTACTCTGTCACCCAGGCTGGAGCACAGTAGTGCAAACATGACTCACTGCAGCCTTGAACTCCTGGGCTCAAGCGACCTTGTCACCTTAGCCACTGTGACCAGCCTTCTTTTCCCTTTTGACTTTGTTATATCACACTGACTCTAGAAATGTGGTTCTTTATTGGGGCGATTTTGCCCTCCCCCGGGGACATCTGACAAGGTCTGGAGACATTTTGATTGTGGGTAGGGGGAGGGACACTCTGCTACAGGCATCTAGTTGGCAGAGCCCAGAGATACCGCTACACACCCTACACTGTGCAGAACAGCCCCTACGGCCAGGAATTATCAGGCCCAAACAAAATACCAAGTTAGTTTTTAATTTCAAAGTTTACGCGTAACATTATTTTTTAGATATAAAAAATATTCACACATTAATTTGATCACAAGAAATTTTAAAGAAATTTAAACATTTTCAGAAAAGGCTACTTCAAGGTGTCATGACAGCTTTGGACCAAACATTAATGTTCTATATGACTTTGGGCAAGTCAGTCATGTTTATTAGACTTAATAACCCAGGTAACGTTAGCTGTTGGAGGGTTTTTTAAAAAACGTTTTATTTTGAAAAAACTTCAAACTTAAAGGAAAAATGGCAAGAATACTACAAAGACCTATTTATTCAGATACACCAGTTGTCACAATTTTGCCATATTAACTTTATCTATTGATCAATTTCTCTTTCAGTCTATTGACCTATCTATCTTGAACTATTTGGGATTAAGTTGTAGACATCTGATCCCCTTACCCTTAAACACTTTACCACGTCTTCCTAAGAATAAGACCATTACTCCACACAGTACACTTATCTAAATCAGGAGACAGCATTGTTATAATACTGTTACCAAGTGGCAAGCTGGTGCACTGTCCAGACAGGGAGAGAGGGAGAGAGGACCTGATTTGTAACATTTGCCAGTTCCCATGTGTGATGGTTTACTTTGGTTCATAACTACCATTGTCCTTGTTACAGTCTTTTATTAAAATGTGGGGTGTGTTAGGCCGCAAGGGCAGGCCTCAAGAAACAGAATCTCTCTCCTGCCCTCCTTTCACCTGCCCCAAGGCAGGATTCCATCTTCTCCCACCTTTCCAACTGTGGGTCTTAAGACTTTTCAGAGAGGGTCCTGCCATACACACTGGGGGAAGGAATGCTGACGTCATGAAGCTTCCATGAAAACTCAAGAGGACTGAGTTCAGAGAGCTTCCGGATAGCTGAAAACATGGAGGTTCCTGGTTCCTGGAGGGTGGCGCCCCAGGCATGGAAGCTCTGAGCCCCTTCCTCCGCACCTCATCTCTTCATCTGTATCCTTTGTAATATCCTTTATTATAAAACAGCAAATGTGTTTCCCTGAGTTCTGTGAGCCACTCCAGCAAATCAATCAAACCCAAAGAGGGGGTCATGGGAACCCCAACTTGAAGCTCAATCAGAATTTCCCAAGGCCCAGATTTGCAACTGATATCTGGGGGTGAGGGTGGTCTTGGGGTCTGAGCCCTCAATCTGTGGGATCTGATGCTACCTCCAGATAGATAGTGAAGGAACTGGGTGGAGGTCCTGGCTTGTGTCTGCCTCTTGGTGGTGGGGAGAAGTTCCCACACATATGGTCACAGGAGTCTTCTGTGTTGATGATTGCTGTTGTGGTGTGAGAGCAGAGGAAAAACACAGTTTGAGAGAGTTTTCCCAAAATACCATGGTAAGTGGCTCATCATGGCTGATTTCAGGTTATCAACAGCTTAACAACCAGCTCAAAACATGCTTTGCTGTTTAACAATCAACTCTCAGGGAATCAGTGAACTGGTGAGCACAAAGCTACTGTTAACGAATCCATGGTTCATATGCAAAAGTTACCAACTGCTCTAATAATGTCCTTAATAGTCATGTTTTTTTCCAAGTTCATGATTCGGTCTGTATCATCATTTGTCACCTCTCTTTAGTATCCTTTAACCTGGAGTGGTTCCAGCCTGTTTTTGTCTACTGGGGCATTGCTGTTCTTGAAAGAGTACAGGTCAGGTGTTTTGTAGAATGCCTTTCAATTAGGGTTTACCCAGTGTCTTCTCTGGATTAGATTTACATTATGCGTTTTTGGCAGGAATACCACATACATGATGTTTACTTGGTTCATTGGATAAGAAGCCCGTGATGTCGGTTTGTCCTATTATTGGTGATACCAATTTTGGCCACTTGGTTAAGTGGCATGTGTGAGGTTTTTTCATTGTAAAACTGTTATTTCCTTTTTGTAATTAATATGAGACACTTTGAGACTACGCGGATATCCTCTCCCTCATCAAACTTTTCTCCACCAACTTTAGCATCTGGTTGCCACCCTCCAAAATGGCCCCAGTGATCCCATCTCCTAATAAGTACATGTCTGTGTGGTCCTCTCCCACACTGCATAGGAATGGCTTACGTAACCAATAGGTAGTTGAGGATGTGATGCAGTCTGACTTTTGAGGCTAAGTTGTAAAGAAAGACACTGTGTCTTCCTCCTTGTTGTCTTGGAGCGCTTGCTCTGGAGAAGCCAGAGGTCATGTCGTGAGGATACTCAAGTTGCCATTTGGAGAGGTGCACATGGTGAAGAAATGAGGCCTACTGCCAATGACCATGTAAGTGAGCCACCACGGAGATACTCCCATAGCCCTGATCAAGCCCTCAGATTACTGCAGCCTCAGCTAGCATCTGGACTGCAATCTCATGAGTAGGCCCAAGCCAGAATCACCCAGAAAAGCCATTCCCAAATTCCTGTCCCACAAAAACTGTCCAAAAATAAAAAATAGCCACTAAGTTTTGGAGTAATTTGTGGCATGGCAGTAGATAACTAATATAGCATCCATTGAAAACTTTTTTCTTGGCCGGGCACCGTGGCTCATGCTTGTAAGCCCAGCACTTTGGGAGGCCAAGGTGGGTGGATCACCCGAGGTCAGGAGTTAGAGAGTAGCCCAGCCAGCATGGCAAAAACCTGTCTCTATTAGAAATACAAAATTAGCCGGGCGTGGTGGCGCACACCAGTCATCCCAGCTACTCGGGGGACTGAGGCAGGAGAATCGCTTGAACCTGGGAGGCAGAGGTTGCAGTGAGCTGAGATCGCGTCACTGCACTCCAGCCTGGGCGATGGAGCAAGACTCTATCTCAAAAAAAAAAAAAAGACAACTTTTTTCTTCAATCAGTTACTAATAAGATGGCTGCAAAATGGTGAGGTTTCATCATTTTGTTTTACTTCATCATAACATCTACATTTATTAGTAGGCATCTACTCTAAACAAGAGCTTTTCCTTCTTGTTTTATTTATTTATTTATATCAGTTTGGTGTATAGACTCCTATTTTACTCAGTTAGTTATAATCCATTATTTTTATTGTTTATTTTGCTGCTCAGATTGTCCCAGCCCTGGCTGGTGTCCTTTTGACTCCTGTGTCCTTTTACAGAGTCAGTGGTCTTCCCTCTCCCAGCTCTGGAGCCAGCCATTTTTCCACGTATCTCTATTTCCTTTTAGTGGAGAATGGTATTCAGAAACCAAACTTACTGTCTATAAATATTATTCTGTACATTCTGCTGAAAGTTTAAAAGTGTTGCTTTTTATATTTGAATCCTTAATCTCCCTGGAATTTAGCGTATGGAGTGAGGGAGATATCAAATTTCATTTTTTCACACATATATAACCAATTATTTCAGCATCTCTTATATTGAGGAGTTGCTTCTTTACCCAGATAGCTACAATGCTGACACTAACATAAATCAGCTTGATATATGTCAGTTTTTTTCCTGGGTTCTCCATTCTGTTTCATTTGTATGTGTTTCCATAACTACACTAATAACAGTGTTAAATTATTAAAACTGTATAATATGTTTTGACATCTGATAGGGCAATCTTTCATTTATTCTTCTCTTTCAGGAATTCTTTGGCTATTCTTAGGCCTTTTCTCATCCAGATAAGATACTGAATCAGCTTATCAAGGGCCAACTTATTGAATTGTTATTGAATTTGAGATGAATCAATAAAGAGAAAGGAGAGCCATGAAATTAGAAAAACTACCCTAATTAAGTCTTCCCTTCTAAAAGTCAGGAAAACTAGCATTACTTGAAAATGAGTACCAAAAAAACTAAGGTCAAATCCCATACAAAGTCATTATGAAGAAAAAAAGAGAATAAAACATAATTTCTTTAGAAAATAAATTATGACAGAAAGCCATGGCTTCAAAACAGATGAAAACTAAAATATTTTAAAATAAGTTAATAAACATCTAAAATGACATTAGATATGAAAAAATGACGTGTCAGATTTAGAAATATACAGAAAGGAGATGACAAACTCAGAAAAGAAGTAAAAATTTTAAAAACATTTCAGAAATGAAGAGAGAAAGAAACACGAGCAAATAAACAGAACTGATAATGCATTAAAAGAAAAGATGAAAAAATATGAGGCTATAAAAGAGACGTGTGGTACAGGATAACGGTCACCCAAAGATGTCCCCATCCTAATCTCCAGAACCTGTGCCTGTGTCACCTGACATGGCAAAGTGACAGCAAATGTGACTACCTTATGGATCTCAAGAGAGAAGCCTGATCCTGGATCATCTGGCTGAGTCCAGCCTAATTGCATGGGTCCTTAACAGTGGAGAGTCGACTGCAGTGGTATGAAGGAAATGCAGCTATGGAAGAAACGGTCTGAGAAATGGTACATTGCTGGCTTTGTGGATGGAGGAAAGTGGTCATGAGCCAAGGGATGTGTACTACCTCTAGAAGCTGGAAAAGGGAAGAAAACAGATTTGCCCTAAAGCCTCCAGAATGAAATCCAGACCTACTGACACCCTGGTTTTAGCTCAGTGAGACCCATGGTGGGCTTCTGAAGGCAAAATTGTAAGATAATAAATGTGTTAAGACACTAAATTTATGGTGATATGCTACACAGTGGTAGAAAATTAGTACAAGATGAAAAAGATTTAAAAGGAAATGACAGATATACATATATAGGAAACAGGCAAGGAAGACCCTGTACACATGGGTACACGTGCATGCGCACACACACACAGATATATTAGTTCCTAAAGAAATAAAATCAGCCAGGCGCGGTGGCTCACGCCTGTAATCCCAGCACTTTGGGAGGCTGAGACAGGTGGATCACCTGAGGTCAGGAGTTCAAGACCAGCCTCAACATGGAGAAACCCTGTCTCTACTAAAAACACAAAATTAGCTGGGCGTGGTGGTGCAGGCCTGTAATCCCAGCTACTCAGGAGGCTGAGGCAGGAGACTTGCTTGAACCTGGGAGGCGGAGGTTGCAGTGAGCCGAGATCGTGCCATTGCACTCCATCCTGGGCAACAAGAGTGAAACTCCGTCTCAAAAAAAAAAAAAAAAAAAAGAAAATCAAAAGGAATAGATCCAAACAAACAAGATGTATAATTCAGGAAAGGTTTCCTGAAATAAGCATATACTTGAAACGACATATTGAAAGATTATCTAAACACCTTGGAAAATGGAGTCCAAATATCCAATACCAAGACATTCTAGTAAAATTATTGGAAGAGAAAGGAAAGAAGGAAGAAGGGGAAAGAAGGAAGAAGGGGAAAGAGGGAAGAAATAAAATTTCTTGGGGTTCCTTTCCCCACCAAAAGAAGATGCACTGACATTTTGAAAGAAAATTAGTTTGACATCAGATTTTTCAACAGCAATGCCTTATGTCAGAACAAAATGGAGTTACATATTCAGGCCAAGTGTGGTGGCGCACACCTGTAATCCCAGCACTTTGGGAGGCTGAGGCGGGTGAATCGCTTGAGCCCAGGAGTTCAAGAGCATCCAGGGCAATGTGGCAAAACCCCGTCTCTTCAAAAAATTAGCCAGGCATGGTGGCATGCACCTGTAGTTCCAGCTATTGAGGAGGCTGAGCTGAAAGGATCGTTTGAGCCCAGGAGGTTGAGGCTGCAGGGAGCTATGATCTGCACTCCAGCCTGAGTAACAAAGTGAGACTCTGTCTCAAAAAAAATAAAAAAAATAAAATAAAATGAAAAAAGATACTCGAGGAAAGTAAAGATAAGCCAAAATAATTTTCAAGTATAAAAGCAGCAAAGTGTTACCAAAATGCAAAGACTCAGGAAATACAGTTACCATAAGCTATTCCTAAGGAATCTACTAGTGAACAAGTTTCAAACAGTCACAATGACTGCAGAGACATTGACGTAAAGACAGATGGCAAATATTAAGTGGGTGGGTAGGTAGATACAGCTGTAGATATGGCCAGCTGTTTGCTGGAGGCAATTTGGACAAGCTTATGAGAGCCAATGAACTTTTCAAGAATTTTATGAGTTGGTTATTAAACATAGACATTATGAACAGTTAAAGTATATACATGTACGTACATTTAAATAAATTAAAAACAGTAAACACTAAAAACACATCGCTTCATAATTATGTTACTACATTTTACAATTATCTATGCTTTTGAGGTTATTTACATTGATTGTATCAAATGGTGGAGATAGGGTCAGCTTCTGCACATCTTTTCCCGAACTCCACATTTAATGATGTCACCTTGATAGCTCACCAATGGTGAAAGTATTTACTCCATGGAAAGCTGCAAAATGCTATGAATCAGGGCTTTTTCCCCCTTTTTCTGGAGAGTCTCTTGTTAAACATTTCCTAGCACATCAATGGATTCAAAAAAGAGAAGCTAGTATGCAACAGATCCATGACTTGACAATGTAGATACACCACCACTCTGAAGACATATGAGGAGGGCACTGGGAGAGCGTATGAAAAATGTCTTTTTAGCCTTTCAGTAATCATTTTGGGTGATAGTGATGTCATCGTTATTCTGAGAATGGAGTGTGTGCAATGTCAATTAAAGCAAATAAATAATCATATGATATATTTAATTGTGTTATCCTCTCTGTTTTGAAAACCAGGATTTGGCCGTGGATGGTGGCTCACACTTGTAGTCCCAGCACTTTGGGAGGCTGAGGCAGGTGGATCACTTGAGGTCAGGAGTTTGAGATCAGCTGGCCAACATGGAGAAAACCCCGTGTCTACTAAAAAATACAAAAATTAGGCCGGGCACGGTGGCTCACGCCTGTAATCCCAGCACTTTGGGAGGCCGAGGCGGGCGGATCACGAGGTCAGGAGATCGAGACCATCCTGGCTAACACGGTGAAACCCCGTCTCTACTAAAAATACAAAAAAAAAAATTAGTCGGGCGTGGTGGCGGGCGCCTGTAGTCCCAGCTACTCGGGAGGCTGAGGCAGGAGAATGGCGTGAACCCGGGAGGCGGAGCTTGCAGTGAGCCGAGATCGCGCCACTGCACTCCAGCCTGGGCGACAGAGCGAGACTCCGTCTCAAAAAAAAAAAAAAAAAAAAAAAAAATACAAAAATTAGCCAGGCCTGGTGGTGGGCGCCTGTAATCCCAGCTACTTGGGAGGCTGAGGCAGGAGAATCGCTTGAACCTGGGAGGCAGAGGTTGCAGTGAGTCGAGATCATGCCACTGCACTCCAGCCTGGGCAACAGGGCTAGACTCTATCTCAAAAAAATAAATAAAATAAAATAATAAAAATGTTTCCTCATCAAGTTAAAATGTATGAAGTGAAATAAATATTAGACTTACCCTCTTTAGTTTTTGCTAGCTTCTTATGTTTAATATGTATATTTTATAGTAGTTTTCATGTGACAAAGATACTGACTTCCCAAATGTCAATAACAAAGGAAGTAATTTTGCAGTCAATGAAAGCATTATTATTATTACTATTATTATTTTGAGACAGAATTTTGCTCTTGGTGCCCAGGCTGGAGTGCAATGGCGCGATCTCGGCTCACTGCAACTTCCATTTCCCAGGTTCAAGCGATTCTCCTGCCTCAGCCTCCCAAGGAGCTGGGATTACAGGCACCTGCCACCACACCCAGCTAACTTTTGTGTTTTTAGTAGAGGCGGGGTTTCACCATGTTTGCCAGGCTTGTCTCGAACTCCTGACCTCAAGTGATCCACCTGCCTTGGCCTCCCAAAATGCTGGGATTACAGGCGTAAGCCACCTCACCCAGCCAAAAGCATTATTTTGATAGATAATCAGCCATTTCATACAGCTCAAAAGATTTTAACTTTTGGGTTTGATTTAACAGTTTTAAGTGTATACTTTTGTCCTACTGGTCAAAA
Organism: Homo sapiens; assembly: GCF_000001405.40. Classification (NCBI taxonomy): domain Eukaryota; kingdom Metazoa; phylum Chordata; class Mammalia; order Primates; family Hominidae; genus Homo; species Homo sapiens. Next base: position 166,979,604 of record NC_000006.12, on the reverse strand, counting down.
TTTTATGACTTATTTTCAATCAGTAACCAAGTCTTACTCCTTTAATGTGCCCAGCATCCTAGAACAGCTAAGAAGTATGATTTTTTTTTTTTTTTTTTTTTTTTTTTTTTGAGACGGAGTCTCACTCTGTCACCTAGGCTGGAGTGCAGTGGCATGATCTCGGCTCACTGCAGTCTCCACCTCCCAGGCTCAAGCAATTCTCCTGCCTCAGCCTCCCAAGTAGCTGGGATTACAGGCTCCCGCCACCAAGCCTGGCTAATTTTTGTATTTTTAGTAGAGACTGGGTTTCACCATGTTCGCCAGGCTGGTCTCAAACTCCTGACCTCAGGTGATCTGCCCGCCTCAGCTTCACAAAGTGCTGGGATTACAGGTGCAAGCCACCGTTCCTGGCCAGAAGTATGAATTTTAATTATATTGACGTGAAGAAACCAGATGATATAGTTTTGCATTTCTGGATTTTAATTTTTAAGTGATATTTCTCTTTACAACAGTAGGATGTTTTCATTATAAAACATTTGAAAATAAGTAAAAGGAAATTTTTTTCAGGGTATTTCTCTAGCCCTTTTTTCTATATAAACATTATGTATATACATATATGTTTGGTTCAGTTATTTAAGACAAAACAAACATTCTTCTTTTCTTTTTTAGATGGAGTCTTGCTCTGTCACCCAGGCTGGAGTTCAGTGGCGCAATCTCGGCTCACTGCAGCCTCCGCCTCCTGGGTTCAAGCGATTCTCCTGCTTCAGCCTCCCAAGTAGCTGGGATTACAGATGCACACCACCATGCCTGGCTGATTTTTCTATTTTTAGTAGAGATGGGGTTTCACCATGTTCGTCGGTCTGGTCTCGAACTCCTGACCTCATGACCCACCCCCTCGGCCTCCCAAAGTGCTGGGATTACAGGTGTGAGCCACCACGCGTGGCACAAAACAAACATTCTTAATGAGAGTACCTCTAATATATCACTTACATGCAGTCAACTCCAGGATAAATCACGTAAATATATATTCTAGCTGTATGATAGAGTCAACTCTTAGCTCTCTGCAAAAGGCTAATGGTTTGGATTTTTAATGAGAAGAAATAAAACTGGTAGAAATACAGTAACATTGAAAGTATTTTATGAATTTTTAATTATATTCAATAATTTTCTCAATTTTAAAAGAATAATGTGAAACAGTATATATGAGTCAGTCTCATATTTGAATACTTGTATGGGGTAATAAGTTGTGTAATAGTTAAATTCCCAAGAGACCGAAAAAATAATTACCCGCATTTTAAAACAGTAAATTGAGGGTGAAAAGACTCAATCATTTCCTCAGAATGTTTTCTCGTAACTGACTCATAAATAAATACAGTCTTCCTGTAGATTATTTTAATTTTACCCAATGAAATTCACTATAGAGGTTATCACTAAACAGGACATATTCTTGCGTTTTTATCACATTGTTTTTGGTGACATTTCAAGAAGCCATAGTCATAATTTAGTGTGGAAGTTATGTCGGTATTCACAGTAGGCAGATACACACAAAATAATGTCTTTTGACAGAATCCAAATGCTTCTGTCCAAATCTGCTCTTATATCTAAGAAGTAATTCTCCTTGAAAGAGCAGCTTTACATAAGCTTTAAAACCCTAATTATAAGCTCAGAAACTCAGCTCTAAATTACTTTAATTACATAAAATTGATGTAAATCATAAAGTGTAGAGAAGTCACTTTTCCTTTTGTCTGTTGGCTGCAGCAAGCATCCTAAGAACTGCTCCAATGTCTAAGCCAGATAGAAATAGAAAGGAATGCTGTAAAAATACCTAAGGATGAAAAATTCAGAGAGGAATTTCTATTTGTCCTGCAAAACAGTGCCTGGGAGATATACACGAATGGGCGTGCACATGCGTATATACACCTACCCCACACCCCCATAAGCATATACACATATATGTGTATGCTGACCGAAAAGAAAATATTTCTCAACATCATAGCACTGCAGTCATTTCACCAATCTATTAACTCAACAAATTCGTTTCCTACTCTAAGCCAGGCATTCATTTCAGGGAAATAAGAAAAGGAATTGCCAGATATCAAAGCATTAAAAGAAAGGCGGGCTGGGCGCGGAGGCTCACGCCTGCAATCCCAGCACTTTGGGAGGCGGGCGGATCACAAGGTCAGGAGTTTGAGACCAACCTGGCCAATATGGTGAAACCCTATCTTTACTAAAAATACAAAAATTAGCTGGGTGTGGAATTAGCTGGGCGTGGTGTCTGGTGCCTGTAATCTCAGCAACTCAGGGGGCTGAGGTAGGAGAATCGCTTGAAACCAGACGACAGAGGTTGCGGTGAGCCGAGATCGCATCACTGCACTCCAACCTGGGTAAAAGAGTGAAATTCTGTCTCAAAAAAAAAAAAAAAAAAAACAAAGATAAAGAAAGGCGATGCCCCCAGCTACTGAGCAGAGTGAGGTGATGTCCTATGACTCGAGGAGGCTGGAAAACGGCTGGAGTGCTGATTCCCTGGAGGCCCGTCTTGGGAAGATTTTTCTCAGAATCCAGCTGCTACTTCAGAAGGATCCCAGAGATCCCCCCCATGCTGAGGGGACTCTGGTGGAGGGGAGGACACATGGGGGGACTCTTGTGGGGGGGGGGACACATGGGGGGCTCTGAGGGATGAGAGGCCACATGGGGGTGGGGCTCTGTTTGACCGTCTCAGCTGGGCCTGTCTTTCCACCATCCCAGCCCAGTGCCCCATGTGGGAGGAAGGGCTCACCCAGTATGCGCACTCTCCAGCCCCAGCTGTCTCAGGGCCCAGCCATTTGAACAAATTGAAACCAAGTGAGTCTTCCCAGCAGAGGCTCCAAACACTGTGGAGCAATGGCAGTCATCCCAACTGGGCCTTTTTAGAATTCCAGACCCTCACAATGTGTGGGCATAACAACATCATCACTGGTTTATGCTACAAGGTATGGGGTGTTTCTCAAACACGTAAAAGAAACCCAAGACATTGGTCCTGCAGCTGGAGAGGAGAGTGCAGAATCAAGGGACATTGCTTAGTTGGAATTGACAGTGTTTCTGGGACTGATTCAACATGGGTATGAGTGAGGGGGCTGTCTGGGCTAATTAGTCCATTTGGGCTTAGGAAAACAGTGGCTCCTATTTCTGAGATGGTCTTTTACTAACACCGTGCATTGCCTGCATCTTCCTGTGCATGGCTTTGTTTGCTCCTATCTGCAGGTTGGTGAGCCCCACAGGGCAGACTGTACTATGCACTGTCATAGCCCAGGAAAGCCACTTTCAGACCAGGTGGCTTGCTCCAGAACCCAAGGCTAGTAAGGGGCAAAGCTGGGTCTAGAACTTCAACTTTCTCTTTTTCTACTCCACGATATGACTGACATTTAGGTTTGCACACAGCAGCGTTACATCTATGGGTTCTTATTTAATAATGATAAATAATTTTTTTTTCTTTTTTTTTGAGATGGAGTCTCGCTCTGTCGCCCAGGCTGGAGTGCAGTGGCGCGATCTCGGCTCACTACAAGCTCCGCCTCCCAGGTTCACGCCACTCTCCTGCCTCAGCCTCCCAAGTAGCTGGGACTACAGGCACGCCCAGCTATTTTTTGTATTGTTAACAGCGACGGGGTTTCACTGTGTTAGCCAGCATGGTCTCGACCTCCTGACCTCGTGATCCGCCCATCGTGGCCTCCCAAAGTGCTGGGATTACAGGCGTGAGCCACCGCGCCCGGCCAATAAATAATTTATTATTTTGTTGACCTAAAAGAAGGAACTGAGGCACAAAATATACTTTGGTTTTATTTTATTTATTTATTTATTTTGAGACGGAGTTTTTGCTCTGTTGCCCAGGCTGGAGTACAATGGCGCAATCTCGCCTCACTGCAACCTTCACCTCCTGGGTTCAAGCAATTCTCCTGCCTCAGCCTCCCAAGTAGCTGGGATTACAGGCTCCCGCCACCATGCCCGGCTAATTTTTGTATTTTTCAGTAGAGACGGGGTTTCACCATGTTGGTCTTGAACTGTTGACCCCAGGTGATCCACCCACCTTAGCCTCCCAAAGTGCTAGGACACCCAGCCACAAAATATAATTTTAAGGAGTTTATGCAGTCATAAAGAAGAACAAGATCATGTCTTTTGCTGGAACATGGATGGAGCTGGAGGCGATTATCCTTAGCAAACTGACACAGGAACAGAAAACCAAATACCACATGTTCTCACTTGTAAGTGCGAGCTAAATGATAAGAAATCATGAACAACATAGGTTGGAAACAAGACACTGGGGTCTACTTGATGGGGGAGGGTGGGAGGAGGGAGAGGAGCAGAAAGGATAACTATTGGGTACTGGGCTTAGTACCTGCGTGATGAAAAAATCTGTACGACAAGGACCCCGTGATGCAAGTTTCCCTTCACATGTACCCCAAACCTAAAATAACAGTTAAAAAAAAGTTTACTTGAGCCAAGTTGAGAGGACAGCCACCTGGAAGACTCAGACCCAGGTCACCTTGGATATGAGCTCTGTTAGGCCTTTGACAGAAGCAGGTTTTCCAAAGCAATAAGAGGGACAGGGAGTGGGCTGATACAGCTGTTTGTCAGGAATTCCCATTGGTTAGACAAATAAGATTGATTAGTGATTGACTATACATTGGTGAACTGTGGGGTATGGAGTATGGTGTCCAGTGAGTGGCCTTGCTTGGTTAGTTGATAGCTGCTTGTGGCAGCAGCTGGTCTAGAGCCCACATAGCAAGCAGCTTCAAGAGCTGATTACTTAGCTCAAGGCGGGTGGTGGGATGGACTGCTGCCTCACTCTCATGCCTCTGTGGGTCTATAATTTATAGCAGGCTTGCATTCCTCAGATAAAGTTTCTTTTCTTTCTCAATTTCTATACAGAGATCCCTCAAGTTGCAGGAAATATGGACAGGTACTCAGGCCTTTTGATTTCCAGCACACAAGTTTCTATACCCTTGCCAACAGTTAGCTGCCTGATCTTTTCTAAAAGGGCTCAATGAATGCAAACGTCAAACTTCTCTTTGCAGCTAGATCCAAATGATCACCCTGCATTAGTCTGTTCTCACACTGCTCTAAAGAAATACCTGGCTAATTTATTAAAAAAAGAGTTTTTTGTTTGTTTGTTTTTAGGCTCACTGCAAACTCCGCCTCCCGGGTTCAAGTGATTCTCCTGCCTCAGCTTCTCCAGTAGCTGGAACTACAGGTGCCCACCACCACACCCGGCTAATTTTTGTATTTTTAGTAGAAACAGGGTTTCACCATGTTGGCCAGGCTGGTTTCAAACCCCTGACCTCGTGATCCACCCTCCACGGCCTCCCAAAGTGCTGGGATTACAGGCGTGAGCCACCGCGCCTGGCAAGAAAAGAGGTTTAATTGGCTCACGATTCTGTAGGCTGTACAGGAAGCATAGCAGCTTCTGCTTCTCCGGAGGTCTCAGGAAACTTTCAATCATGGTGGAAGGCAGAGGGGAAGCAGGCATCTTACATGGCTGGAGCAGAAGGAAGAGAGAGAAGGGGAAGGTGTTCCACACTTTTCAAACAAGCAGATCTCATGAGAACTCACTTTACAGTACCGAGGGGGGATGCTGTTAAGGTGTTCATGAGAACTCCGCGCCGTGATCCAATCACCTCCCACCAGGCCCCATCTCCAATACTGGGGATTCCAATTCCCCATGAGATTTGGTCGGGGTACACAGATCCAAACTGAAGCAGAAAAATAGGGTCTGGAAGCAGGGAACATAAGGCCGATTCACACTTCAGCTATTACAGGAAATATCCTCTCCACAGGGTGCACACCGAGTAAAAGACTGTGTATCTTTACTTCATCCTCTTCATTTACACAGGGTGCACCCAAAGTAACCAATGGAATATAACCTCTAGAGGGTATCTAAACTCCCAGAAATTCTGTAACGGGGCCTTAGAGCCCCTCTGTTCAGCCCTGCTCCCACACTGTGGAGTGTACTTTCATTTTCTTTTCTTTTTTTTCTTTTTTTTGAGACAGAGTCTTGCCCTGTCACCCAGGCTGGAGTACAGTGGTCTGATCTCGGCTCACTGCAACCTCTGCCTCCCAGGTTCAAGCAATTCTCTGCCTCAGCCTCCCGAATAGTTGGGATTACAGGCGCCCGCCATCTCACCCAGCTAATTTTTGTATTTTTAGTAGACACGGGGTTTCACCATCTTGGCCAGTCTGGTCTTGAACTCCTGACATCAGGGTGATCCACCCACCTCGGCCTCCCAAAGTGCTGGGATTACAGGCTTGAGCCACTGCGCCCAGCTGTGTACTTTGATTTTCAATAAATCCCTTCATTCCTTCCTTATTTTGTTTGTGCCTTTTGTCTAATTCTTTGTTCAAGACACCAAGAAACTGGACACCCTCCACCGGTAACATATTTTGGCGAGCCAGCCAGGAGAAGGTAGGCCCAAAGTTTGGGATTTATTTTTCTCCTTTCCCCTTTTACATACAGGGAGATTTTTCTCTGTCTGTCTGTTCCTTTCCACCTCGGGACCCTTGGTGGGAAGCGCAGAAACATGGAAGCAACTGCAGGTTTCTGGCTGTGACCAGTGAAATAAGGGGTTTCCATGTGGAGGTGCCTAACCACCACCACCCTATTCACTTAAGGGACCTGAGTGTTTTTCTTTTTTCTTTTCCTTTGTTTGTTTTTCAGTCTTTTAGCGGCTGTTTCCTAGTAGCTTCTTGGAAATTGAGGGCAATTCGCTGGGGTCACTCCCTGGTATCGCCTGAAGGCCAAAGAGTGAATGGGAATAATTGCCCTACCCAGAAGGGGGAATGACTCTTTTTTTTTTTTATCTTTTCCAGGTGTGGTCCCTGATCCCTACGGTGGTGGTGGTAACTCACACTTGTTTCAGGTGACTTAAACCTTTTCTTATGCTAAGTTTTTTGCTTGTCCTATTCAACTATCTAAGGACAAAAAAGCCCACCCAGCATCCAGTTCCTATGTATCATTACAGTTCAGGGCTATCCTTATCAAGCTCATAGCTCATAGGAGGCTCTGGAGGGAAAACATGCAGAGAAAGGTCAGAGACGTCTGACACTCTTTTGGACCCCATAGGGGGACGCCCTGAGGATCCTCCGAATCTCAACCTCTCCAAAGGGGGTGCTCTCGGCAGAGGTTTTGAGGTCTAGTACTAAGCCCCCCTTAGAATTTTCTCTCCGGTTTGCAATACTGTTTAGCCCCAGTATAGTTTGGAATCTGGAGTTTCCTGTTGAATGGGAAAGTGGGATGGCATTGCATGTATCCAGCCTTTGTTGCTGCTGTTCTAAGCAGGGGGCCTGGTTAACATGTGACATGCTCCTTGGGTGCTGTTTGGCCCCAGTGTTCTTTGGAATCTGGAGAGGTTTGGTCTTGAAAAATCAAGCTCCATGGAGACTGCTTTACCTGAAATTTTGGTTCACAGCCTTTGTTGGATTATCTATTGAGACAAAGTAAATGCCAACAAGCTTGTATTGCTATCTCACAGCTAAGGTTCCAAGCTGTTGGTTCTTCGTTTATGTGTGGGTCTACATGTCTAGATGTGTTTATTTGTATGTACACCTATTGTAATACATTGTGTCTACCAAATTGGCTTACAAGTAAAAGAGCACTCATAAATAAAGTAAATAAGTTTAAGCAATTTTCAAGTTCACCTGACTTAAGTATAACTTTGCTAAACAAGCTGACTTTAAAATTATTGGTAGAATAAAAACAGAAATGTAGGAAGGGCACAGTGGCTCATGCCTGTAATCCCAGCACTTTGGGAGGCTGAGCTGGGTGCATCACCTGGGGTCAGGAGTTTGAGATTTAAAATGCTACTACTGCACACAATGTGTTTTTTAAAAAATGTTAAGCCAGTAAGTACTCAAGCACTAGGAAAACCCTCCTAAACATGCCCTGACGTAACCCTTCACAGAGAAAGGTCCTATAAAACCAACCCACACACTACCCTTGGGGAGCAGCCTAGTCGTTTTTCCTTCTTGGTGCTGACTTCCTTGTGCACAAGCTAAAATAAACTCTCTTTGCTACTATGTCTGGTGATCTCTCTTGATTTCTATCCTGGGAGATTACAAGGACCCAGGCACCTGTAACACCACGGTGCAATGCCAGCCACAGTTGGCTTCCTAAAGTGGGTGTGTGGCAGGTGTCCGGGAGCATTTGAGGCCAGGGATCTGGACCAGTGGTTCCCGATTGGAAGCTTCTGGTCCTCAGGGGACATTGCAATGTCTAGAGGCATTTTGTGTTGTCACAACTTGGGTAGGGAGTGCTCCTAGCATCTGGTGGGTAGAAGCCGGCAATACTGCTAAACATCCTACAGCACCCGAGGCAGCGCGCCCACCCACCGCGCACCAGAGAATTACAGCCCAACGTGTCAGTTATGCTGAGAATGAATCTTGATCTTGAGGGTCAACTTGATTCAGTATGAAGTTATTTAAAACATAACCCCCGAAGCTTTGTACATTCGTGAATTCTGCTGGTCAAGAATTCTCAGGAGGCAGAGTGGGCAGGCCCCTGCTCCGTGATGCTTGTGGCCTCGGCTGGAAAGAGCTGAGTGTCGAGGTCACTGGGGCGGCCAGAGCAGGCCCCGGGCTTCCTCACTCCCATGCCTGCCCGGGGCCACCCAGGGGTGAGGCGAGCTGCGACCGTCCCCGTGCACCTGCACGCAGCCTGTCTGTGTGGCCAGGCTTCTTTATACCCGACACCTCAGAGCGGTCACCTCAGGGCTCTGAGGGGGAGTGTTCCTGCGCTCAGGGTGGGACTTTTATGATGGGACCTTTATGGGAGCCACCCAGGGTCCCTTCTGATGTACGCTGTTGGCTATAGCAGTCACAGCCCTCCCAGATTCAGAAGGATGGAACACAGGCCCCATCTCTCCATGAAAAGAGGGTCCAATAATTTGTGACCTTGTTTCAAAATTGCCACAGAGATGGCCCTCCCTTTTCACTGCTCAGCTCAGCCGTGCTGTGACCCAGTGCTTGGGCTCAGCTTGTCCTAGAGCACCATCCCTCCCACCCCTGCAAACCCGGGGCAGAAACGCTCCTGGTGTTTGTCCCACCCGAGGCCTCCATATCAAGGATGTATAGGTTTTTCTTTTAAATGTCAACAAGAAATGTCTCTGTCCCTAGACAATGGGGCTGCTTACAGTAACCTAGGTGAATTCTCTCAAAAGTGATTCATCTTGCTAAGGGAAGGCTCCTCTGTACTCCTCCCTCTGCCCCAGTGTGGGACCCTTACTCTTGACAGGTGCCATCTGCTTCTCCTAGGGGCTGGAGGGGTGCACACAAAGCTACCTGCTGCAATGATTTCCAGATGTCATGGTTCCCTTATTTATCAAAGTATAATTTTCAAGAGGTTGTAAAACACAATCCTCATACCAATGTATGAGGATGCAATGTAAGTGCATGTCAAAGACTTAATACTGATGTGGAAAAAATCAGGTGATAAAGCTAGTTCAAAGATAACCTGAAACATTGTTTATTTGCTGAAGAAAGATGAGGAATGAGATTGCTAGATACAAAACTGGTTAATGCACCTTCAGAGAACTAAAACTTAACTTCAGAAATTATCTTTTCTATGAGACAAAAATAATTTGCATTTGTATCCTAGCAAGATTCTAAAAGTTGTTGGAAACAGTGAGTTCCTCCTCAAAGGTTCCTCTTGTCCTTTATTTTCAAAGCCTAACTACCTTGCCTCCTTGCCCGTAATTACAGTAAACAACCTTCCAGCCGTTCCCAATCTGTAACCCACATCCGTTCCCAATCTGTAACAACCCACATCTGTTCCTTATTTGACGCCCTTAGTTCTGAAACTGCTCTTCCTGCTGCTGGAGCCCCCACCCCTGCTCCATTTTGAAGTAGCTGATCCGGATCAGCTTAGATTGTGCCAAGTTTCAAGAAAAAGATGAAATATGAGTTGCATTTTGACAAATGAAGAGGATGTGAAGGGCAGAAGGAGCAGAAACTACCAGCAGAGATGCTAAGATGAAAGGTTAGCACACCAGTAGAGACAGTTAGACTGGGGAAAAGCCTAATTTCTAGTATTCTGAGCCATGCGCCATGGCTGGCTTTGCGTTCTGGTGCATTTTCTATTCCTGTTGCTTGTCTGGTGCAGAGCAACCTTCAGTCTCTTCCCCTGTACCTGCCTTTAATGTTCTTTCCCCCGATGCTTCTGTTTGATGTTGATATTAACAGACATGTACAGAAGGTTAACACTATGATGAGCCAATTAGCCATCCCACACACAGACTTATTAGGACAATAATAAAAGCCAAATGATGAGGACATCTGGTTTACTTCAAGCTAGTGAAGACAAGTCATAAGTCATCATCTTAATCTAGTCCAGGTAAACAATTTTGTGGTTTAACTAGCTTCCCAAGCCAAAATCAGCTCCAAGAGTAAAAGTAAATTACTTTAATGACTAACTATATTTTGAGGAAGGAACAAGATAGCCTTTAGACTAAATAGACTCTACTTTTTAATTTGTGGCCAAATGCTTGAAAGAGATTAAAGGAAAATGCAAAGATATGTCAATATAAGAAAACAAAATAAAATAACAAAATAAGAAAACCCTTTTATTCCTAAATTTGATTTATAAATGTCAATATGGACTCATGATATATTTTCTTTTAAAAAAACATAAATCAAGGCCGGGCACAGTGGCTCACGCCTGTAATCGCAGCACTTTGGGAGGCCAAGGCAGGTGGATCACCTGAGGTCAGGAGTTCAAGACCAGCCTGACCAATATGGTGAAACCCTGTCTCCACTAAAAATACAAAAAAATTAGCCAGACATGGTGGCACACACTTGTAAGTCCAGCTGTTTGGGAGGCTGAGGCAGGAGAATCACTTGAACCTGGGAGGCAGAAGTTGCAGTGAGCTGAGATCACGCCACTGCACTCCAGCCTGGGTAACAGAGTGAGACTCCATCTCAAAAAAAAAAAAAAAGAAAGAAAGAAAAAAAGAAAGAAAAAGAAAAAAAACCATAAATAGAACAAATGAGCAAACAAAATTTATTTCCTAGCTCTATCTGCTGAAAAGTGTTAGAAACAAGGACCAACCCAGGGGCAATAAGCAACCCTTGGGCCAGGACTATGACCTCTAAATACAAATTTCAACTAAAAAGAGCCAGGGTTCCCTTTAACAAAATAAGGCAGGAGTAGCAATATGTGTATTAACTGATATGGAATTTGAGGCCAAATGTATGACAGTACAAAACAGGACTTTAATGACAAAAAGATGAATTTTATAAAGAAAATCAAAAGAAATTGTATCAAGAAAAATAAAATGTTATAAAGAATGTCATGGCCAGGCACAGTGACTCATGCTTGTGATCCTTTGGGAGGCTGAGGTGGGTGGATTGCTTCAGCTCAGGAGTTTGAGACCAGCCTGGACAACAAAGTGAGATCCTATCTTTATTTTTTTTGAAAGGCACAGAGTGCAAGTTGGATTGAAAAAACAAGACCTATCCGAGTGCTGACTTCAAAAGACTCATCTCATACATAATGACACCCATAGGCTCAAAGTAAAGGATTGGATAAATATTTATTATGCAAATGGAAAACAAAACAAAAAAAAGAGCCAGAGTCACTATTCTTATATCAGATAAAATAGACTTTAAACCAACAAAAGTAGAAAAGGACAAAGAAGGGCATTAAATAATGATAAAGATTTCAGTTAAACAAGAAGACTTAACTATCCTAAATATATATGCACCCAACATTGGAGCACCCAGATTCATAAAACAAGTACTTCTAGACCTATGAAAAGACCTAGACAGCCATAAAATAGTAGCGGAGGTTTTCGACACCCCATTAGAAAGGTCATTGAGGCAGAAAACTAACAAAGAAATTCTGGACTTAAATTGGACACAACCAGCTGGACCTAATTGACACCTACAGAACACTCCACTGATCAACCACTCTTCTCATCTGCACACAGAACATACATCAAGATTGATCACTAGCTTAGCCATAAAGCAAGTCTCAATAAATTCAAAAAATCAAGATCATACCAACCACAATCTTGGGCCACGGTGGAATAAAATAGAAATCAATACCAAGAAGATCTCTGAAAACCACACAATTACATGGAAATTAAAAAACTTACTCCTGAATGACTTTTGAGCAAACAATAAAGTTAAGGCAGAAATTAAAAAATTATTTTAAATAAATGAAAACAAAGATACAACATACCAAAATCTCTGGGATGCAGCAAAAGCAGTGTTAAGAGGAAAGTTTATAGCACTTAACGCCTACCTCAAAAAGTTAGAAAGATCTCAAATTAACCATCTAATATAATTCCTAGAAGAACTAGAAAAACAACAACAAACTAAACCTAAAACTAACAGAATAAAATAAGTAACTAAAATCAGAGCAGAACTAAACCAAATTGAGATGCAAAAATCCATACACAGAATCAACAAAACCAATAACTGGTTATTTGAAAAGATAAACAAGACTGGCAGACCACTAGCTAGAGTAACAAAGAAAACGAGAGAGACAAAAGATCCAAATAAGCACAATGAGAAATGACAAAGGCAATATTGCAACCAATACCACAGAAATACAAAAGGTCCTCAGAGACTATTATCAACACCTCTATGTGCACAAACTAGAAAATCTAGAGGAAATGGATACATTTCTGGAAGCACACAACCTCCCAAGATTGAATCAGGAAGAAATTGAAACCCTGAACAGAACAATATCAAGTTCCAAACTTGAATCAGTAATAAAAAACCTACCAAACAAAAAAAGCCCTGGTCCAGATGGATGCACAGCTGAATTCTACCAGATGTTCAAAGAAGAGCTAGTACCAATCCTAGCTCTTCGATTGATTCTTGGAATCATTTTTGGAAATGATTCCAAAAAATCAAGCAGGAGAAACTCCTCCCTAATTCATCCTACAAAGCCAGAATCACCCTAATACCAAAACCTGGCAAAGACACAACAAAAAAAGAGAAAATCACAGGCTAATATCCCTGATGAACACAGACAGAAAAATCCTCAACAAAATACTAGCAAACCAAATCCAGCAGCAACATACACAAATCAACAAATGTAATGCATCACATAAACAGAACTAAAGACAAAAACCATATGATCATCTCAATAGACATGGGAAAAGCTTTCAGTAAAATCCAACATCCTTTCATGATAAAAGCCCTCAGCAAACTAGGCCTCAAAGGAACATATTTCAAAATAATAAGAGCCATCTATGACAAACTGATAGCCAACATACCAAATGGGGAAAAGCCAGAAGCATTCCGCCTGAGAACCAGAACAAGACAAAGATGCCCACTGTCACCTCTCCTATTTAACGTAGTCTTGGAAGGGCTAGCCAGAGCAATCAGTCAAGAGAAATAAAAGGCATCAAAACAGGAAAAGAAGAAATCAAACTATCTCTCTTCACTGATAATATGATTCTATACCTAGAGAACCATAAAGACTCTATCAAAAGGCTCCTGGAATGATAAATGACTTCAGTGAAGTTTCAGGATACAAAATCAAGACACAAAAATTAGTAGCATTTCTATCTACCAATAATGTACAAACTGAGAGCCAAATCAAGAATGCAATTCCAGGGCCAGGTGTGGTGGCTCACACCTGTAATCTCAGCACTTTGGGAGGCTGAGGTGGCCAGATCACTTGAGGTGAGGAGTTCGAGACCAGCCTGGCCAACATGACGAAAATCTGTCTCTGCTAAAAATACATTAGCCTGGTGTAGTGCCGGGCACCTGTAATCCCAGCTACTCAGGAGGTTGAGGTGAGAGGATGGCTTGAGTCCAGGAGGTGGAGGCTGCAGTGAGCTGAGATGGTGCAACTGCACTCAAGCCTGGGCAACAGAGTAAGACTCTGTCTCAAAAAAATAAAAAAAAATAAGCCAGTCGCAGTGGCTCACACCTGTAATCCCAGCCCTTTGGGAGGCCGAGGCGGGCGGATCACCTGAGGTCAGGAGTTCGAGACTGGCCTGGTCAACATGGTGAAACCCCATCTCTACTAAAAAGTACAAAAATTAGCCAGGCATCGTGGTGGGCGCCTGTAATCCCAGCTACTCAGGAGGCTGAGGCAGGATAATTGCTTGAACTTGGGAGGCAGAGGTTGCAGTGAGCCAAGATCGCACCACTGCACTCCAGCCTGGGCAACAAGAACATGACTCCATCTCAAAAAAAAAAAAAAAAAAAAAGCAATTCCATTTATGATGGCCACAAAAACAATAAAATATCCAGGAATACATCTAACCAAGGAGGTGAAAGATCTCTACAGGGCAAACTGTAAAACTCTGCTGAAAGAAATCATAGATGAGACTGGGCGTGATGGCTCATTCCTGTAATCCCAGCACTTTGGGAGGCCAAGATGGGCAGATCACGAGGTCAAGAGATCGATACCATCCTGGCCAACATGGTGAAATCCTGACTCTACTAAAAATGCAAAAATTAGCTGGGCATGGTGGTGCACACATGTAGTCCCAGCTATTCAGAAGGCTAATGCAGGAGAATCGCTTGAACCTGGGAGGCAGAGGTTGCAGTGAGCTGAGATTGCACCACTGCACTCCAGCCTGGTGACAGAGCGAGACTCCATCTCAAAAAAAAAAAAAAAAAAGGAATCATAGATGACACAAAGAGTAAAGCATTTGATGCTCATGGATTGGAAGAATCAATATTGTTAAAATGGTCATACTGCCCAAAGTAATCTATAGACTTAATGCTATTCTTATCAAACTGCCAACATCATTTTTTCACAGAATTAGAAAAAAACTATCCTAAAATTCATATGGAACCTAAAGGAGCCTGAGTAGCTAAAGCAATCCTAAGCAAAAAGAACAAAGCTAGATATATCATACTATCCAACTTCAAACAATACTATAAGTCTACAGTAGGCTGGGCTCGGTGGCTCATGCCTGTAATCCCAGCACTTTGGGAGGCTGACTTGGGCGGATCACGAGGTCAAGAGATCTAGACCATCTGGCCAACATGGTGAAACTCCGTCTCTACCAAAAATATAAAAAATCAGCCAGGTGTGGTGGCACGCACCTGTAGTCCCAGTTACTCAGGAGGCTGAGGCAGGAGAATCCTCAGCTTCAGGAGGCTGAGGCAGGAGGCGGAGGTTGCAGTGAACCAAGATTGCACCACTGCACTCCAGCCTGGGCCACAGAGTAAGATTTCATCTCAAAAGAAAAAAAAAAGACTACAGTAAACAAAACAGCATGGTACTGGTACAAAAATAGACACACAGACCAATGGAACAGAGTAGAGAACCCAGAAATGAAGCAGCATACCACATACTTACAGTCATCTGATCTTCCACAAAGTTGACAAAAATAAGCAATAGGAAAAGGACTCCCTATTCGAAAAATAGTGCTGGGATAGCTGGCTAACCATATGCAGAAGAATGAAACTAGACTCCTATCTTTCACCAAAAGTTAACTCAAGATGGTTTAAGGATTTAAAAGACCTCATACTATAAGAATCCTGGAAGAAAACCCAGGACTCACCATTCTGGACAATGACCTTTGGAAAGAATTTATGACCAAGTCCTCAAAAGCAATTGCAGCAAAAATGAAAGTTGATAAGTGAGATCTAATTAAACTAAAGAGCTTCTGCACAGCAAAAGAAACTATCAACAGAGTGAACAATCTACAGAATGGGAGAAAATATTTGCAAACTCTGCCTCTGGCAAAGGTCTAATATCCAGGATCTACCATAAAATTAAATAATTTAACAAACAAAAACCAAATAATCTCATTAAAAAGTGGGCAAAAGACATGAATAGACACTTCTCAAAAGAAGAGATACAAACAGCCAACAAACATATGAAAAAATGCTCAATATCAGTGATTGTTAGGGAAATGCAAATCAAAACCAGAACACCAACCAGAATGGCTATTATTAAAAAGTCAAAAACCCCAGCTATGGCAACATGGTGAGGCCTTCATCTCTATACAAAAAAACTTTTGTTTTTTTTTGAGATGGAGTTTCGCTCTTGTTGCCCAGGCTGGAGTGCAGTGGCATGATCTAGGCTCACCACAACCTCCGCCTCCCGGGTTCAAGCGATTCTCCTGAATCAGCCTCCCAAGTAGCTGGGATTACAGGCACACACCACCATGCCCAGCTAATTTTGTATTTTTAGTAGAGATGGGCTTTCTCCAGGTTGGTCAGGCTGGTCTCGAACTCCCAAACTCAGGTGATCTGCCCGCCTCGGCCTCCCAAAGTGCTGGGATTACAGGCATGAGCCACCTCGCCCAGCCTACAAAAAATTTTAAAAAATTAGCCAGGCGCTGTGGTGTGTACCTGTGGTTCCAGCTACTCGGGAGGCCGAGGTAGGATAATTACTTGAGTACAGGAGGTCAAGGCTACAGTGAGCAATGTTCACGACATTACACTGCAGCCTGGGTGACAAAGTGAGACCCTGTTTAAAAAAAAAAAAACAACTCAAAAAACAACAGATGTTGGCAAGGCTGTGGAGAAAAAGGAACATTTCTACACTGTTGGTGGGAATGTAAATTAGTTCAGCTACCGTGGAAAGCAGTTTGGAGACTTCTCAATGAATTTTAAAAAGAACTACCATGGTCAGGCGCGGTGACTCACGCCTGTAATCCCAGCACTTTGGGAGGCTGAGGCGGGTGGATCACCTGAGGTCAGCAGTTCGAGACCAGCCTGACCAACATGGTGAAACCCCATCTCTACTAAAAAATACAAAAATTAGCCGGGCATGGTGGCGGGTGCCTGTAATCCCAGCTACTCGGGAGGCTGAGGCATGAGAATCGCTTCAACCTGGGAGGCGGAGGTTGCAGTGAGCCGAGATCATGCCGTTGCACTCCAGACTGGGCGACAGAGCAAGACTTCATCTCAAAACAAACAAACAACAAAAAAAACTACCATTTCACCCAGGAAAAATCCCATTACTGGCCATCTATCCAAAAGAAAACAAATCATTCTACCAAAAAGACACATGTACTCTCACGTTCATCACAGCGCTATTCACAATAGCAAAGACATGGAATCAACTTAGGTGCCCATCCATGGTAGGCTGGACAAAGAAAGTGTGGTATGTATATACCATAGAATACTACACAGCCATAATGAAAGAATGAAATCATGTCCTTTGCAGCAACACGGATGCAGCTGGATTATTCTAAGCAAATTAATGCAAGAACAGAAAACCAAATACCATACCACATGTTCTCACTTAAAAGTGGGAGCTAGGCTGGGCACGGTGGCTCACGCCTGTAATCCCAGCACTTTGGGAGGCCAAGGCAGGTGGATCACTTGAGGTCAGGAGTTTGAGACCAGCCTGACCAATATGGTGAAACCCCATCTCTACTAAAAATACAAAAATTAGCTAGGCAGCCGGGCATGGTATTTCACACCTGTAATCCCAGCACTTTGGGAGGCCGAGGCGGGAGGATCACGAAGTCAGGAGATCGAGGCCATCCTGGCTAACACGGTGAAACCCTGTCTCTACTAAAAATACAAAAAATTAGCTGGGCATGGTGGCAGGTGCCTGTAGTCCCAGCTACTCGGGAGGCTGAGGCAGGAGAATGGCGTGAACCCGGGAGGCGGAGCTTGCAGTGAGCCGAGATCGCACCACTGCACTCCAGCCTGGGCAACAGAACGAGACTCCGTCTCAAAAAAAAAAAAAAAAAAAAAAATTAGCTAGGCATGGTGGCCCTCGCCTGTAATCTCAGTTTACTCAGGAGGATATGACAGGAGAATTGTTTGAATCCAGGAGGCGGAGGTTGCAGTGAGCGGAGATCAGGCCACTGTACTCCAGCCTGGGCGACAGAGCAAGACTCCAATGTCAAAAAATAAACAAATAAGTAAGTGGGAGCTAAACCCTGGTTACCCATGGATGACAAGATGGCAACAGTAGACAGTGGGGACTATTACAGAAGGGAGGTAGGGAGCAGAGCAAGAGTTGAAAAACTAACTATACGATACTAGGCTCACTACCCAGGTGACAGGATGAACATACCCCCAATCTCAGCATCACGCAGTATACCCGTGTAACCAACCTGCACATGTACCCCCACATTTAAAATAAAAGTTGAAATTATTTTTTTAAAAAATACTTATTAAATATCTATTAAATTGTTGTTGTTGTTGTTTTGAGAGGGAGTCCAGGCTGGAGTGCAATGGCGCCATCTCGGCTCACTGCAACCTCCGCCTCCTGGGTTTAAGCGATTCTCCTGCCTCAGCCTCCCAAGTAGGTGGGATTACAGGCACCTGGCACCACGCCTGGCTAATTTTTTTTTTTATTTTTAGTAGAGACTGGGTTTAACCATGTTGGTAGGGCTGGTCTTGACCTCCTGACCTCAGGTGATCAGCCTGCCTCAGCCTCCCAAAGTGCTGGGATTACAGGTGTGAGCCACCGAGCC